>NC_000014.9:67793531-68096561 GCF_000001405.40 Homo sapiens
GCTCTGGTTGTACATGCTCCGAGCCTTACCTGATGCTAAGTCATTCAGGGGCTGAAAAGGTATGGCCTCCCCTCACCTGATGGGCTTCTGCGAAGTTCCCGCGAAGGATGCAGGATGCCAGCAGTGACTCAGGTGGGGAGAACATCATGGGGATGAGTGAACTTTGAGGATGGGGGTGCAATCTACTGTGCAGCTCATTCCGGCCAGACATGGCACTCAGACTTCCCTCTGTTGGGACACAAGAATGTGTGGGGCCAGAGAAGCAAGAGGAATTAAGGAAATGCTATATTGCTGCCACCTCCCACCAAACTTTTATCTCCTCAATGTCCTTCTGTAAAAGGCCTGTAAATAGGTCTTAATTTTTCCTCAAATGAAGGGCAAACCTATGCTACCATCTTTGAATAGAAGATGCTAAGTGCCAACTACCTTCTTTGGGTATTTACCTCTATTTCTCTCTGTTGCTGGATAACTAAATTGAGAATGAAACAGTCCTTTCCCTTCTCCCAGCTAAAATCTGGCCATCTGCCAACCTTGAATAACAACCTTGACTGCTCAATCCTGGCTTTACACCATGGTGTATGGCAACTCTATATCAGGGCAAAGCTGCTCAAAGTTGGCAACTGGTGGAAATCTGCATACCTGACGTACTTGTGCTCAGCTCACTACTTGTACTTTCCAGGGATGGGTTTGAACCTCTGTCTCGGCCATCTACAGGTATTGGGAAGAAGAGAGAAAGTCAATTATCAGCTCCTTATAGAGTAGGAAGTGTGAAGTTGGCTTGACAGCCAAGATCTGTGTAGTTAGAGACAGAGGATAATGAATAACTATGACACCTGCTGCTCCTTCTACAGCAAAACACAAGCTCCTATAGACCAAAGGCAAAGGGTGGGCTGAATATGGCAACAGAGTTCACCTGGGTAATAGCCTATACCAGTGGTTCCCAACCTGTGGGTCTCAGAGCCCCAAGAACTTTCAAGTTATTTTTAGGGGTCAGTGATCAGCACCTGCTCAGTAAGCACTGGCAGTATTCTGAAAAAATAAAAGCACAACTGTTATGACCAGGGAGTGGTAGGGACACAGTATTTCCTGACATAGAAAAAGGTATCTTCATACTTGAAAAGGCAGACAACTGGCTGGGTGCAGTGGCTTACACCTGTAATCCCAGCACGTTGGGAGGCCGTTGTAGCAGGATAGCTTGAGGCCAGGAGTTTGAGACCAGCCTGGGCAACACTGCAAGACCCCGTCTACACAAAAAATTAAAAACAAATTAGTTGGGCAAGGTGGCATGCACCTGTAGTCCCAGCTACCCAGGAGGTTGCGGCAGGAAGGATTGTTTGAGCCCAGGAGTTCAAGGTTACAGTGAGCTATGATTGTGCCACTGCACTTCAGCCTGGGTGACAGAGCAAGACCCTATCTGTATTAAAAAAAATGTAGGGAACCAAAGTCTAAGACCTGGCTGGCCAAAGACCATGATATTCAAAGTCTCAGAGAAAAAGCTTCTCTCTTCTCAACACCAGGCTTCCTAACATGTTAGAGCTTTCTAACAGAGGCTCGCTATTCCTTAGCCTGGTCATTCGAGGGGCTGTCTCAGCCTCATGCAAGGGAGGCACCTCAGTTCACTGTTTGGAAGCCCTTTAGAAGGAACAGCCGTAGAAGAGATGATGGGTTGTGCATTCTTGTGCTGAATGGGTCAAGTGGATGCAAACTCTGCCTTCTGACCCAAAACAATTAATGTAGCAGCTTAAGGGACTTAGCAACGCAACCTTGAAGCTTTCTCTCACGGCATCCTCCGCCCCACCCAGTATGCTCACCTTTCATGTTGCCACTTAGCTAGAGCCTACTCATTCTCTGGAGCTTGGTTCAAGAGTCAACTCCTTCATGAAATCTGTTGCCCTGACATCTGCAGGTCATGCTGATATCCTCTTTTAAGACATTTCTTCTGTTTTCAGGCAGGGTCGCAGGTCACTTTAAACTTTCCATGTATACTATCTAAGCAGGTACATTACAAATTGTTCGAAGTCAAAAGCCTAGCTTGTGCCTCATTTACCTCCCTCAAGATACCTAGTATTGTTTAGCCCATGGGAAATCCTCATGAATTCCTTTTAATTTTTAAAAGATCAACACCAAAAGCCATAATGAAAACTTGATTCTCTAAAAATTTAATACTCCTGCATAATGCGCCTATATTAACTTCTCTAAGAAAAGCCTATAAGTGGAATCAAAAGGCAAAATAGAGAAAAAAATAATAGCACATGATGAGAAAATATTTTCTGTAATGTATAAAGAGCTTTCTAAAATTGAAGATAAAAGAGATTCCTAAGAGAAAAATGGACCTTAGACATTAGGCAGTTTACAGAAAAATATAAACAGTCAATAAATATGTGAAAAGATATTCAATCTCAAACTAAAAAAAATACTACTGAAGCAATGAAACATCACTATTAAATATATTGGTGAAGGTTTTAAAAAATCTAATACTATTGACTGATGAGAGTATGTGCAAACAGGCAATCACATACAGCTTGCAGAACTATAAATAATAGGAGGGAGAGAAGGATGGGGAGAGGGTGATTAATGAATATAAAATCAGAGCTGGATGGAGGGATCAGTTCTGCTGTTCTGTAGCACTGCAGGATGAATATGGTTAACTATAATCTATTATATATTCTCAAAAAGCTAGAAGAAAGGATTTTTTTTTTTTTTGAGATGGATTCTCACTCTGTCACCCAGGCTAGAGTCCAGTGGCACAATCTCAGCTCACCCCAACCTCTGCCTCCCAGGTTCAAGTGATTCTCGTGCCTCAGGCTCCCGAGCTGGGCACCCACCACTACACCGAGCTAACTTTCATATTTTTAGTAGAGACAGGGTTTTACTATGTTAGCCAGGCTGGTCTTGAACTCCTTACCTCAAGTGATCCATCTGCCTCAGCCTCCCAGAATGCTGGGATTACAGGTGTGAGCCACCGTGCCAGGCCGAAGAAAGGATTTTGAATGTTCACAACACAAAGAAATGACAAATGTTTGAGGTGATAGATATTACTCCAATTTGGTCATTACACATTTTATAAACATATTGAAATATCACTGTGTATCCCTTAAATATGTACAATTATTATATGCCAACTAAAAATAAAAGGGAGGCCGGGCCCGGTGACTCACGCCTGTAATTCCAGCACTTTGGGAAGCTGAGGCAGGCAGATCACTTCAGGTCAGGAGTTCAAGATCAGCCTGGCCAACATGGCAAAACCCCGTCTCTACTAAAAATACAAACATTAGCCGGGCATGGTAGCACGCACCTGTAATCCCAGCTACTCAGGAGGCTGAGGCACAAGAATTGCTTGAACCCAGGAGGCAGAGGTTGCATTGAGCTGAGATTGCACCACTGCACTCCAGCCTGGGCAACAGAGTGAGACTCCATCTCAAAAAGAAGAAAAAAGGAAATAAAAATAAAACGGGAAAAATAATAAGACCTACTTCATAGTATTGTGAGGATTAAATAAGTTAACAATTATAAATATAAGGAATGTAGAGCAGCATCTGGCATACAATGAATACTTAATATTAATCCCTATAGAAAAAAAGAAATCCATATTGGTCTACCTTATTTTTAAGGCAACTGGGTAATATCTATATATGATACCCATATAGATCTGACCTAGTAATTCTGCTGCTAGGAGCTTATCCTGTATTTACACAAGTATGCACAGACATGTACAAGGTTTTTTACTACAGCACTGTTTATAATGGTAAACAACTGGAAACTTAAATGTCCATGAACAGGGTGTTTCTGACAATGGAATACTAAGCAGTATTTAAAATGGTAAGTGAAAAAAGTTCTCAATTTATAGTATAATACATCTGTATATATAAAAGGATATAAATGAAAAAAGCAAGCTGCAGTTCTCAATATATAGTATAATGCATGTGTATATATATAAAAGGATATACATGTTTATATTGCATGGAAAATTTCTGAAAGGATACATAGGAAACTATTAACAAGGGTTACCTTGAGGGAGTGGGAATAGGATAATTTTACAACGCTTTTGTTGTTTTTGACCATGTGCTGTTTCTTAAAGAGTATTAGACAAGCAGCATTACACCACTTGCCTAGTGCATGGGAATGAGCTCTTCAGATTACCTGCCTGGCTCCTTCTTGTCCGACGACCCCGGCGGAGACTGGGGTGACGTGTGGCAGGCTGGTATCTTCGGGAAGGTTGCTCCTCTGAAAGAGCAAACCCAATGGGACAGAAAGGAGAGTGATCAACTTTGATTTGGCCCTTTCTTGGCATAACAGGTTGGGGAAGGTTTGCACTGGGCTCTGAGACATGGAGCATACCCCAGTGTTCTGACACTGGTTGCCATGGTGACGATATGCCCTGAGTTATGGGGTGACTCCTATGTACTCCTAGCTCTCTCCCATATTCCTGGGATCTTTCTCCCTCTCCACCTTCTGGTCCCACCAGTTCCACCCTTCTCTCACCTGAACGATGGTTGCTTGTCACCACCTTGTGTCTCCACTGGGCCTCAGAGACAACCTTGGAAAGTCGATGCAGGCGGCTCTGCAGTCCATCTCTGCTTCCTGAGCAGCTCTGACTTTCTTGCTTTGGCTTCTCAGGAGGGCTGCGGCTACTGATCTCATCCAGTTGCTCTTGGAGAAGCCTGAGGAAGGCCCCTATTGCAAATTCATCAGCCAGAAATCCACTGATACCACTAGTAAAGTGTTTTAAGTCCAAAAAGCTGTGCCTATGAGGCCCTGGGTAACTGTCTTTTGGCTCTGCCTTCACATGGCTTGGCATTGTATAAGCAAGGGTCTTTGGGACTCCCAGGGAACCCCGTTCTGACTTCCTTTCAGGATGTGCTATGTGCTGAGGGCTCTCTGATGGGGACCTCAAACCTGAGGGGCTCTTCCCCTCAATGTCATCATCCTCAGCATAGTCCTCAGGCAAGTGAGGCTCTGGGTGAAGATCAGCAGAGGTGATGAGAAGCAATGAGAAGATGTTTTCCAGAAGCTCCAGGCACAGAGAGTCAGGAATACTGCACAGATACTGTTGACACCTGGCCAGGTAAGTTGAGAAGAGATTTGCAGCACCTACAAAAACATGTACAAGAGAAGAGGCCAGAGAAAGAGAAGACAGAGAATGCAAACATTAGAAACATTACCTCCCAGCGTCAAACATTCTCGCAACTTTAGCTCATTTATTTATTTTTTAATTATAAGGGAACTGAGGTTACAGTGAGAAGAATAAGAGACTTAGGATGTCTTTTAATGATTTGCAGAAAGATTTTGCCATTTTAAAAGTACAGCTGGCCGGGTCCCGCCCCGAGGCCAACCGGGCCTCCCCAGCCTTTTGGCCACCAGGCCCCGCCCCCGGGGAGGGCGCTGAGCTCCGCTTGGCGCCTCTGATCTTTATTTCTCGCGCCGCGGTTTCGGTGGGAGGGGCGGGGGTGATTTACGGATACTCTCTGCCCTCAGATCCTGGGAAAAGTCTATTCCGTTCCCAGTGACAAAGAACAGAGAGCAGTGTACGATGAGCAGGGAACAGTGGACGAGGACTCTCCAGTGCTCACCCAAGACCTAGACTAGGAGGCGTACTGGCGGCTACTCTTTAAAAAGATATCTTTAGAGGACATTCAAGCTTTTGAAAAGACATACAAAGGTTCAGAAGAAGAGCTGGCTGATATTAAACAGGCCTATCTGGACTTCAAGGGTGACATGGATCAGATCATGGAGTCTGTGCTTTGCGTGCAGTACACAGAGGAACCCAGGATAAGGAATATTGTTCAGCAAGCTATTGACGCCAGAGCGGTGCAATCCTATAAGGCCTTTGTCAAAGAATCGAAACAAAAGATGAATGCAAGGAAAAGGAGGGCTCAGGAAGAGGCCAAAGAAGCAGAAACGAGCAGAAAGGAGTTGGGGCTTGATGAAGGCGTGGATAGCCTGAAGGCAGCCATTCAGAGCAGACAAAAGGATCGGCAAAAGGAAATGGACAGTTTTCTGGCTCAGATGGAAGCAAAGTACTGCAAGTCTTCCAAAGGAGGAGGGAAAAAATCTGCTCTCAAGAAATAAAAGAAATAATAGAATTTTTCTCTTCAAAGGTCCTTAGGTGTAAATTGATGCCATGGTAGGCAAGGTGCTGGCAAGATTTGAAGGCAAAAGTCAACTCAACTCTTGAGAAAAGGTGTCTTTCCAGCCTGAATTTTTCAGATTGACTAGGCCAAGCAGAATCTCTCAACCTGATCTTAGCATTTCCTAGAAAGCACTTGACATTGTGTGAGGTCTCACCTGAAGGAACTTGGTGGTGACAATTGGGAGGGCGGAGGGAGGCAGTGTCCTTCCTGACAGCACTTGCCTCCATGGATCTTCTGTACACAGAACTCTATCTAGGATGTGGTTCTGTTCATGTTGTTTTCTGTGATGTGCGTTGTCTGTTAGAATAGGCTCTCTACCCAGCTAGAATACCTTCCAAACACTTGCTGGACAGCTATCTTCCACATCCTTCCCATTTTACATTTGGTCTTAATGATCTTGAATAGACCCTGTCTTCATTTTACTCAGCCAGGTTTTGTACTGATGTACAGGTATTAAATTACTTTAAGCATTTTTGTAAGAGTTGTATATGATTAAATAAAAAAAGTAAAACATGATAGTTAAGTTCTGGGGGCTTTGTAAATGATCCCAGTAAAATGTGACCTAGAAAAAATGTGAATGGTGTTTAGGATGAGAGAAAAGGGGAAAACAATAGCCCTGGTCAGCTTTATAATAGACAGCCTGGTTTCCCTAGCATAAAGAGATGTATGTTATAGTCCTGCCACTAATTGCTGAATGTCTTGAGTTGGGCCACTGAGCTTGTCTGAATCTGTTTCCTTTTATAAAAGAGATATTACATCAAAACAAAGAGTGAAATCCAAACTTTTCAAACTGTATGTATTAAATATGTCCAGTTTTTTGGTTAAAAAAAAAATTGCACTGGCTTTGAGAGAAAACACACAGGGTGAGGGAATTGGGCTAAATGACTTCTTAGAGGCCCCTTTCTGACTGTCTAACTTTGAAAGACAAGCCATATTGATCCAGTTGTTATAGTGAACTCATAGTAACGGTTTGTGAGAACAATACATAGATTTTCATTTCTATGTAGATGAGTTGGTATGAGAATATATGGAATGTTTTTAGGGTCTGTTTGAATCTTTGATTTGTAGACTATTAAATATACCATATGCATAAAGTAAGCCTTTAGCTCTAAGGTAAAGTCGACACATTTTCAGTTTGTGGCTACAAATAGGTTAAAAATAGTTTTTAATTGTATTAAAAATATAATTTAATGCAGGTTGTTTGAAGCATCTGTCTTCATATAATGGCATTAGAACACCTTGGTATAATAAAAAGTTACCGTATAAATAAATAAATAAATAAATAAATAAATAAATAAAAGTACAGCTGGCCATGGGCAGTGGCTCATGCCTATAATCCCAGCACTTTGGGAGGCTGAAGTGGGTGCATCACCTGACGTCAGGAGTTCGACACCAGCCTGGCCAACTGGTGAAACACCATCTCTACTAAAATACAAAAATTAGCCAGGCTTGGTGGTGGGAGCCTATAATCCCAGCTACTCAGGTGGCTGAGGCAGGAGAATTGCTTGAACCCAGGAGGCGGAGGTTGCAGTGAGCTGAGATCAAACCACTGCACTCCAGCCTGGGCAACAGAGCAAGACTCTGTCTCAAAGAAAAAAAAAAAAGTACAGCTTACTGAAAACTAAAACTCATTATTTTGTATCTGCTTTGTAAATGTTACATTGTTCCTCATCCCTGATAAGGACTCTATATTTCAGTTCCAGGAATGAAGGTAACATGCAGACCCTTTACTCCTCAATTCTATTTCCACTTATTTTTACACTAAAGATGATCACGCCTACTTAGATCTCTTAAGAAATCCTTAATAGGCAAAAATGACCATGCTAAGAGGTAAAGATCTATTCCAAAGCTAGGAGAGAGGGAAAACTGATCACTAGTCAGTCACAGAAGGCAAGTTAAATTATTAAGAAAAATGAGAGAGGATAGGACCATTAGGTTGGTACTTTTCACACTGTAGGCTGTGACCTATGAAATTGCCTTAGAAGACTACATTTAAAAAGATGAAATAGGAAAGAAAAATAATCAGGAGTGTGCTCTATGAAGTAAGCATTGTTTTTAAAACTTAGTTTATATATCACATATATACACATACATATGTAAACACACAAATTATATACCTAGGTGCAAACTGGAGTAGGATGTAAAATGCTATTCCTACCGTGAAATATAGTTTTTAAAAAAGCGTTTGGAAAACACCATACTAGGTGATCAGACTCTGTTAAAACTTAGGCAATCACTTTCTTTTTCCATGTCCCTTTGATTCAGAGGCTGACAGATGGATGAAACTATCCCTGGGTGAAATAAAACCAAGGCCATCACCCCACTCCCAATCTTGGTGGAAGAGGGTAAACACACAAAGCACCCACTGGCATGTGTTGTTATCAGCTTATCTCACGGATGGAGGGAAGTGCTGTACCTGGGGAGGAGAGAGAGTCATTCGCTGGCTCTGTAGCTGAGGCCAGGTCCTCAGAGAGGCTGTCTTTGCAGTCCTGGCACTGGGAGTGCTGGTGTGAGTTTACACAGAGGGCATAGATGGCATACTTCATGGCACAGAAGCCCTGGTAGAGTGTCAGGTTCTGACACTGGCTCAGGTGCTCAGGGACTGGAGCATCAACTGCATCTGAATTACAAAGAGAAACAGGCTGAACTTGAGAGTTAATTAATTCAGGATGCAAGTATGGGTGAAGCAAAGAGATGCTGTGCCATACTTAGAGGTCCACTTGTAGGTTCTTACCCTCTCTCCTTTCTGTCGGTCTGATCTGTGTCACTTCTAGGGCTTTTCCTCAAGTCAGTATCAACTTTCAGTTCCCTGCACTTCCTTTCCCCCACTCACCTCCCTTCTACATATCTCATGACTTCTACATGGCATTATTGCCCAGGGCCAGGACTTGCACCTGACAGTGAGTGCCTCCTTAAATTTTGCACCTTAAATGTCTCTCTTGCCTCACCCTAGTTGCAGCCTTATTATTGCCTCTTTTTTGCCTTTTTGAAGTGTGCCCCAGTGGGTCCAGGGATCAGACTTAAAATACTGTATTTCTTTGGAAGGCCTGTATACTTGCATGTAAGAGCAGAGTTCGTATTCCTACAGGAAATCTGTTAAACAAGCTGCCTATCTTTCCAGAAAAAAAAAACATGGAATGTAATAACACTGGTTCTCCAATTAGTAGTAGGTCCTTTTGAAAAGTAAAGCAACATCCAGGCTGGGAAACCTCAAATGCCATGTAAGAAAGTTTGTGTCTCTCAAAGTAAGTGTCTCTGTCCTGTGGGGCAGATTGTGACTATACAATGATACGTTTCTTAAGAACAAAAAGAAATGTATACATTCCACAATGTATATATGCATCAACACATCACTTGTATTCCCAAAATAGATACAATTACTATTAGTCAATTAAAAATAGGGTAAAACTATATGGGGTATAGTGATAAGTGCCTGTAGTCCCAACTACTGGGGAGGCTGAGACAGGAGGATCACTTGATCCCAAGAGTTTGAGACTAGCCTGGGCAACATAGCAAGACTCCTTCTCAAAAACAAACAAATGAACAAAAAACCATGGTGAGAATTCATCTGAGAGGGGAGGGAAATAAGATAAAACTTAAAGAAAAAGAGCTTTTTAATGGGGTCTTGAATTTAAGCAAAGATCTTAGGTTAAAAAAAGGCTTTGTTCCCGTTTCAGACAAGTCTTCTTCTTTTTTTGAGATGGAGTCTCCCTCTGTCCCCCAGGCTGGAGTACAGTGGCACCATCTTGGCTGACTGCAACCTCCACCTCCCGGGTTCAAGTGATTCTCCTGCCTCAGCCTCCCGTGTAGCTGGGATTACAGGCGCGCACCACCACACCCGGCTAATTTTTTATATTTTTGGTAGAGACGGGGTTTCACCATGTTGGCCAGGCTGGTCTTGAACTCCTGACCTCAAGCAATCCACCTGCCTCGGCCTCCCAAAGTGCTGGGATTACAGGCGTGAGACACTGCGCCCAGCCCAGGCAAGTCTTTCTTCTAAATCTCCTGATCTGTTATATGGAGTATGAAGTGGACATGGGAGAAAAGGCACAAAACATGCTATCAGAAAGCTTATAAAACATGAAGCCACTCACTAAGAATTTGCATAAACACTGACTAACAATGCTGTGTATTCAGAGGGCAATTTCTAATTCTGTTTCACTGGAATGAGGCTGTAGTAGTGGTTCCTGTGATGGTTCCACAAGGACAAAGAATGCAGGATCATACTCACAGGATTCCCTACACCTCACCAAGGAAGAGGAGGAATGCCCTATATCCCATAAACTGATTAGGACAAACAGTGCTCATTTAGAGGAGACCTCCTCACCACCCTCTTGAAAGATCTCAGCAATCACATCTGGATAAATCTCATGCTGGAAGAAATGTGTAAGAATGTCCTAAGAGGAAATCCTGGCCAGGTCATTCCATCCCAACTCACCAGGCTCTTGCTGGGGGTCCTTGGCTGGCACTTTCTGTAAGAGCTTGAGAACATCTTCCTCCCTGAGGGCTGGAAGGTTTGTAAGGTGATGGAGAGTGTAGAGCACTGAGTGGCTGTCTCCACCGTGTAAATGATACAACAGATCTCTCTTTGGTATGGGGTTGCTGAATGGAAAAGTTGGGAGGATGGAAGAGAGGCAGTTTATATTATTGCTCGAAGAAAGATCAATCTCCATTCCCTCTTGTTCTTCCTCTCTGGACCATAATGCCACAGGCTTCCCTTCCCTACAATCTAAATTTTAGTTGGTTTGGGACTGAGCCTAACATTTATTTACCCTCAGGGAAGTACATCTATCAAACCAGCTCTAGTTGTCTAGAAAGGTCCTAGAAAGGGCCTTTCAGATCAGTAGGGTCTAGAAAGGTCCTACAGACTGAATTTTCTAATTTCTACACCCTCTCCAGCTTCAAATGAACACAAGTTTCTCTGGCTGTACTTTGAGTAAGAGCCCCTTGCTACTTCCCCCTCTGCCTACTCTACTTCAGAAAGTGCTGGTGAAGTGAGTGAAGAACAAGATAGAAACCTAAGTCCAGGCTAAGTTACCAGAGAAACACAGGGCCTCATGCACAGTTCAGTAAGCATTTGTTGAATAAAAGTGTGATCCAGGATAACGTAAGACTAAGAATGTGGATGACATTGTGAGCTGTGTGACTTTGGACAAGTTATTTTATACCTGTGGGCTTCAGTTGCCTGACTTTTATAATGAAGATAATATTGGTATCTACCCATAGGATTATTGTGAGGCTTAATTGAAATCATCCATGTAAAGGGCTTAGAACAATGCCTAGCTTATGGTAAGTGCACTGGAAATGCGAGCTATTGTTCTTTTTGTTACTGTCATCCTAAAATTATCCTCCAGTTATGACCTGATTGTCATGGTGAAGGTAATAATTACTTGTGTTTCTTTCTTGGTTTAATTGTTGGAACAATTTTTAGTAGCTGGTCAACATTGCCAACTCAAAACATTTATGTGGAAAACGCCTTGAAATGGCCACACATGCGGAGCACAGGGTCAGCTGTGCCCTGTGGTGGGCAGGCGCTGACTGCACAGGGCCATACCTGCTCTGCTGTATGCACCACTCCAGGACCTCCAGGTGAGCCCACAACCCATCACAGGCATCCCTGAGGAGCTCATCACAGCCTGGGCCCTATGTTGATATGGGAGAAGAAAGAGATGCTGACTCAGGCACCTGGGGTTACAGATTATGACTGATTTTAGGGCTCTGCATTCAGCCTAAGCCCGAAGCCCCACGTCTCTCACTTCCAGAGCAGCCTGGGATGCTGAGTGAGAGTTACCTGGGTCCTGTGCAGGGTCTGGAGCAGCCTCTTGGCTGACTCTAGGCTCTGGCAGTGTGTCCAGCCCAGGAGTACAAGCAGGCAACTGAGGGGCCTGAATTCTCTATCAAGTAGGCAGCCAAGATTTGGGAAGTCTTCTTCTTTCAACAATGTTAGTGCTGTTACCTGTAAGTCAAAGAAAGCTGTTATAGGCAGCTATGTGGATGAGACAGAATGGGTTCTAGCTTACTGCTCTTTAGAGAAAGAAGTATTTTAGTACAGCAGGGAGATTTCTGACAATAACAGGAGTGGTTGGCTGGGCGTAGTGGCTCATGCCTGTAATCCCAGCACTTTGGGAGGCCAAAGCAGGTGGATCACTTGAGGTCAGGAGTTTGAGACCAGCCTGGCCAACATGGGGAAACCCTATCTCTACTAAAAATAGAAAATTAGCCGGCATGGTGGCACATGCCTGTAATCCCAGCTACTTGGGAGGCTGAGGCAGGAGAATCGCTTGAACCCAGGAGGCAGAGGTTGCAATGAGCCGAGATCGCGCCACTCCACTCCAGCCTGGGTGACGAGGGAAACTCTGTCTCAAAAACAAAAAAATAGAAGTGGTGAATTGAGTAAAATAAATGTTTATGAAAACACTAGACTGTGAGCTCCCTGAAGGCAGAGACTGACTTCTGTTGTAACTCCAGCTCCTATTACAGTACATGGCACAGAGGATGAGATTAATAAATATCTGCTGAATTAAACTGAAGCCCAGTTGCAATCTGGAAGGAAAAGGTTAAAGTAATTAAATTCTCCTGTCAGCTAGGCAACATATTGTTGCCACTGCCTTTTCTTTCTTGCATCCTCCAGAAAGCACATACATATACAACATTTTAGTTTCTGCCAAAGGACCGATGTAAAATGACTGCAACTGTAAGTATGAATGGCACTGATTCTCAGAGTCTCCTTTCCCATGGGACTGTGGGAGGGACAAAACCAAATGACTCAACACTAATTAGACTGCTTTATGGTGGCCAAATGAGTGGGAGAGAAATGAGGAATGAAAAAGTCTGGGGAGAATCCCTGGGTACCTCTGTGATGAACAATTAAGCTTGACTTACCAGAATCTGCTCGAGGAAGTGTTTGTTGTTGCTCAGGCAGTAGAAATAGGCCACTTTCCAAGCCTCGGCTGGGTTGGGATTGGAGAACAGGGCTAGCATTGCCCGCTCAGGATCTAGATGATCCGGTGAGACTGAACATCAAACAAGACGGTTATCAGGAAACCAAGAACTCTTCTTTTCTAAGCTAGAGCCCATTTGAACAACCAAGTGATGTGAGAGTTTGCTCTTTTAAAAACTTAGGCTGGGTTTTCCATACTTTATCTTAGGGTATCTTAAAGAATCTTTACTTCCCTTGGGAGCTTCAGAAAAGCTGTTTCCTGCTATTGCTATTACTTTATTTTTTTTCCTCCCAACACCTCTATCTTACACTAGAAAACCTATACTTTTATTTATTTATTTATTTTGAGATAGGGTCTCACTCTGTCATGCAGGCTGGAATACAGCGGTGCAAACACGGTTCACTGCAGCCTCCACCTCCTGGGCTCAGTGATCTTCCTGCCTCAGCCTTCCTGCCTGTGGTTCAAGTAGCTTGAACCACAGGTGTGTGCCATCACGCCTAGCTAATTTCTAAATTTTTTTTGTAGAGATGGGAACTCACTATGTTGCAGAGGCTTATCTTGAACTCCTAGCCTCACATGATCCTCCTTGCCTTGGCCTCCCAAAGTACTAGGATTACAGGCCTGAGCCACCATGCCAGGCCTGTACTTTTACGAAAGAGCATCGCACCCATTTTTGCTTAGCCTCCCCTATTAGATGTCCTGAGCCACACGGAAGGCAGCAGTCTAGAGCCTCCAGCAAGGCTGGGCATACTGGAATTACTGAAACTAAAGGAGCAGCAGCAAAGGGAACACACCTTTTCCCGAGGCTGTAGCCCTCGGTGGCTTTTCTGTGACCTTCTCTGCATAGGTATGGCCATACAGGGACAGCAGGCCCCGGCTGGCCTTGTGCAGCAGGCAGCTGAGCAGCCGCTCCTCCCGCAGGGGACTCCCCTCGGTCCTGCAGGCCTCTAGTAGTTCCTCACACAGGAGATGCAACTCAACCCCAAGTGGTTCTGCGGGGCAACGCAGAGTCCGCAGGGCTCCATAGATGGCATCGACTACCCCAGGGGGCACCGAATCAGGGCCCTGCAAAGCCCGCAATGCCTTTCGAATGAGGTCCACCAGTGCATTCTGCAGAGGCCAGTGACAGAGGCCAGTACCGTCATCCTCCTCAAGCAGGAGCTCCAGCAGGGCCTGTGCTGGCTGGGGAGACTGCCTCAGGAGATCCCAGAGCACAGAGACAGCTTCGGAGCTGAGACGAGGAGTCCAGCTCTCCCTCCTTGGATTTCCGTCAGGCACGTGGCCTACTGCACCCTGTGTTAAGGTCTCATACAGCTCCTAAATAGAGGATGAAGAAAAGGATGGGTGGTGGGCATGCCTGGAATGGTATCACTTGTGTGCCTTCATGCTTTCCTCTTTTTCAGTTTACTTATATAATAGTGGCGGTAACAAATACTTATGTCGTAGTTACTATGTGTTAGACATTGTTCTAAGGCCCTTTACACAGAAAAATCAAATTAATCCTTACAATAGTCTTCAGAGGAAGACACTACTATTACTCCTATTTTATAAATGAGGAGTTGGAGGCTGGAAGAGATGAACTCAATTGCCCAGGGCCTCCATGCTCCAGCTAGTCCCACCTCACTGCCTCCAAAATGTGTACTGGTGATGTGAATCAAGGTCTGCCAACTCACAGACCAGGTAAGACATTATGCCCATCTAAAGGCATTTACATTCAATTTTTAAAAGAATGTCAGTTTTTAACCCTTGATCTAAATCCCAGCCATGCTTTCAGTCCATTCTTTATCCTACTACAAAAACCTTCTCCAATACCTCCAACCCATACAACTTCAATGTACTTAAAATTAGTACCATATGATTTAATACATAATAGTGTGTGTTTTAGTCCTTCTTCCTCAGTCACCTAAAAGCAAGAACCTCTAGAGCCTATCCTCTGTTTGCAGGGTGAGGGTACAGGGAGAGAAGGGGGTGAGAAGTAGGTTATTTCCCATACTTAAGCATCATGCCTATAGATGGTACTCGATGATGCCACTTCATTAACTGCCTCAGAGATGGACTGCAAGACCATGAGTCCTTTACCTAATACAAGTGAAAGTCCCTCTCTTAAATCCTACTGTAAATATGTCTTTAATTAACTGGTGTCAGGGTCATTAAAAAAATAAGTATTGGGCCTCAGAGCATATCTCAGGCACTAAAGTAGTAACTGATACATGCTATAACGATATAATTAAGACTTAATTTGAATCTACCCCCAGAAGGTTGTTATGAGAATTAACTCTAACACATTCAGTGACCCTGTTATAGAAAAGATAGTCAACGAATACTAGTTCCTTGTCCCCTTCATATTCCCTGCTATCTACTAATAAATCTTTAATTCCCAGTTATACTTGGTACTTCTGGACAACCACATCAAAAATTCTAAAATCATATAAGTTTACCCTAACTCTAAACTCTCCTCAAAGGAGCTTCTGTGTTGCCTTGCCTGAGAACAAAGTATGGGCAACATCTTGGAGACCTCTCTCTTCTGGGTCCATGGAAGCTAAGCTGCTTAAGTGACTGTCAACCCTGGGCAGATGGTACCAGGGCTCTCTCTCACCTCGAGGATGTTCTCTGGAATGTCACCTTGGAGGTCTTCTGACAATAAAAGAAACTCAAGCTTTCTCCGGAAAACAACTGGGAGTAACTTCTAGAAGAATCAAAAGAATGAAGCATAGAGATGAGATATATGTTTTAGTTAACAAATTATAATTAAATATTTCTGTCCAGTTAGTCTTATTTCTGCTATTTCTCTAAGATGAAGCACTCTTTTTTTTTTTTTTTTTTTTTTTTTTTATTTTGAGACAGAGTCTTGCTCTGTTCCCCAGGCTGGAGTACCGTGGCATGATTTTAGCTTACCGCAACCTCCACCTCCCAGCTTCAAGCGATTCTCAGGCCTCAGCCTCCCGAGTAGCTGGGATTACAGGTGCGCACCACCACGTCCAGCTAATTTTTATATTTTTATTAGAGACAGGGTGTCACCATTTGGCCAAGCTGGTCTGGAACTCCTGACCTCAAGTGTTCCACTCACCTCGGCCTCCCAAAGTGCTGGGATTACAGATGTGAGCTACCACGCCTGGCCTAAGATAAAGTACTTTTAAACACAACATTCCTGGATATGTTTTCAGTACTATTCTTTTCTCTTTTTTTTTTTTTTTTTTTTGAGATAGAGTCTCGCTCTGTTGCCCAGGCTGGAGTGTAGTGGCGCAATCTCAGCTCATTGCAACCTCCGCCTCCTGGGTTCAAGCGATTCTCCTGCCTCAGGCTCCCGAGAAGCTGGGACTATAGGCGTGTGCCACCACTTCTGGCTAATTTTGTGTATTTGTAGTAGAGATGGGGTTTCACCGTGTTAGCCAGGATGGTCTTGATCTCCTGACCTCGTGATCCGCCTGCCTCGGCCTTCCAAAGTGCTGGGATTACAGGCGTGAGCCACCGTGCCTGGCACAGATACTATTCTTTATAAACAAAAATAGCTAAACTTGGACATACACTTCTCTTAAAAACTAATACTTAAAGCCCACACTGATCAGCCGTAAGTTCCAAGGTTTGTTCATTTCATTAACCTTTTTTGTCACTTGAGGTCTTTCCCCAAGAATCTCTCTTGTTGTGTTCAAAACACCCAGTTGTGGGTAAGCCTGGGAGGGTATGGCCCACATGATCCTCTTTTGGTCCAAACCTCTGTTTTTGTCATTCACTATCCTTTGCATAGCAGTGAAAGAAGAACAGTATAAGGGGAGAAATCCAATGTTTATTAAACACTTATTATATGCCAGTACCTCACAGGTACTGTGTGCCATATTTTATTCTTAATACACTTAATTTCCAAATCAAACAAAACTGTGGCACATATTTATATATTTTTTACAAATAATCTTTACTAGAGGTAAAATGGTTAGGAAGCATTTTTCCCAATTTTTTCAAACAAAAAGGAAAAGGTGATCCCAGTGTTTGTTAATGAGATGTGCCATCAGAGAGGTCTAATATATAGAGACAAAGGCTCTGACTCTTCCTGCGCCTGCTTGTTTCACAATAACTTACCTTCACCTGGTCCCTAACACACAAATTGGAGTCTCCCCTTTTCCAGACACAAATAAAAATAGCAAGAGTCTGAGACTTATCCTGACAAACACTACCTTAAATATGAGACATCTGTCAATCTTGCCTCTGGTTAAAGCTTCCCAAAGATAAGTTTTATTGGAAGGCAAGGAACACCTGCAGGGATGTGTGTGTGTGAGAGTGTGTGTGTGTGTACAGCTGCAGGTGTGTGTGTGTACATGAGTGAGGAGAGTTTAGAGCACAAGACCTAACTATCTCCATTCATGTACCATTCACCACATCAGAGGCTAACATGATCTAATGTGTTCTTGGTCCAAAATCTTATTTCTTCTAACCATGTACTTCCCTAATATGTGCATCAAGGCCATGTGAATGCTTGTATAATGCCTGTGATTGGAAGCTGGTGGATAAAATTCATGCTGGGAAGCTGAGGATTAGTGCTTCTATTGAAGACTAACAGAAAAGAATAGATAAGATGTCTAGGACAGCAGATCCTTAATAGCCTGGCTAAGATTTTATTTAGAATCCTAAAGACTGAGTAGATTATACTTATTTTACTGCTGAAACTACTTTAAACATATTCAGGATCATAATTGACTAACATTTATCTTCCTAAAATAGGCAAGAATTTGCTCAGCATTTCTAAGCAAGGATGTCATGCAAAAGTGGAACCAAAGACAAAATTAATTCTGGTGACCGAGAGGAGCAAAAATTTAAAAAACTGGCAAAATTATAGACATCTTAAAAGTAGAATTTGTGGTTTCTTAGTTTTAAGTCCATCTGGGCTAAAAAAGTAGTGTTAAGGCAGA
This sequence comes from Homo sapiens, assembly GCF_000001405.40. Taxonomy (NCBI): domain Eukaryota; kingdom Metazoa; phylum Chordata; class Mammalia; order Primates; family Hominidae; genus Homo; species Homo sapiens. Next base: position 67,811,505 of record NC_000014.9, read on the forward strand.
AAAAGCAGAGGATTGAGGTCAGAAGATTTTGGTTTCAGCAGCAGTTCTGTCAAATAACTTTACGGTTACAAGAGCAAGGCATGTTCAATGTAGAAAAATTGAATATACAAATAAGTAAACTAAAATATGTTATATATATATAAAACATATGTATGTCCAGTTAGTCTTATTTCTGCTATTTCTCTAAGATAAAGTGTTTTATCCTAGAGAGAGATATGTAACATATATGTTATATTTTAGTGCAATATAATATATATAACATATGTTAGTTTGCTTATTTGTATATTTAATTTTGTAATTTTACAAATTTAATTGGTGTATTTAGTTACATATGAAATATATAATATATAACATATATGAAATTTATGATATATAACAAATATAAAATATATGATATATAACATGTATTATATATGAAATATATATCACATATGAAATATATTACATATAACATATTATATATGAAATATATATTTTATATATATTCTCACTGAAGGAGAACAATTATGAAAACTGTGGTCTAAGGCCATTCATTCAGACCATTTGCTATGCACATCTCTATGCATGTATACCAAATGTACTTTTTTCTAAACTGCCTTTTTTCCCATACAGCAGACCATGAACACTCTATGTTAGTGAAAACTCATTTGCCAAATACTTTTGAATAGTGGTATAGTATTTTACATATAGATATATTTCCATTTATTAACCTGTCCTATACTATGGACATGGGAGTTGTTTCAGTTTTCTTCTAATAGAAGTAGCATAGACGTGAACATTTCTGCAGCTAAATCTTTGTATAATTGCTTACACATGGAGAGATACATCTCTGCAAGATTAAAAGGCAGAAGGCAAAAATGAATGGAGGAAAGGGAAAATAGAATCACTATTTCATCTAATAATTAAAAGGGAAGCTTTTGGCAAAAGGTGGGAACCTGGAAAAGGACAGGCAGCCAGTAAATTCCTAGATGATGAAGGCACCTTCAGGATAATGACTGGACTTGGAAAACTACCCCAAGAATTCACTGGACGCCATGGTGCTTATATAGTTTTAAAATTCTATGAGGAACTAAAATAGTCCCACAACTGTTTAAATAAGCAAGTCATTGAAGCTTTAAAGACCAAATAATCTATTTGTGAACCTGGGAAAAACAAGAACGGGAAGTGGAATCCATCTCCTGACATAGTTGAGCAACTGTCTAGAAAATAAGCAACCATTCAGATATAAAGTAAGCAAATAGTCTCTACTGAGGGGAAAGTTAATTTGATTTGACAAATTCCATGTTTGTACTAGAGAGATCCCTTAATCAGTAACAATAGTTCTTTTTCTCTTTGAAGATACTATAGTAACTATAGGTTACTATTTTAGTTCAAGTTTTCTCTTTTAAATCTGAAACCATAGCCAACTCTTAATGATGCTGGGTTTCATTATGTTTCAATCTTGTTTTTCTTTCTTCTCGCTCCTACTAGTCTTTCTGTCATTTTTCTTTCCTAAACAACTGGCTAAATCCTGGATAAGAGATACATTCAGATTAGCAATTTCTGTTACTTTTTGACAGCTCTGTGAGGAACGATAAATATCATGCAAAAGTGGAACCAAAGACAAAATTAATTCTGGTGACCGAGAGGAGCAAAAATTTAAAAAACTGGCGAAATTACAGACATTTTAAAAGTAGAATTTGTGGTTTCTTAAAGTCCATCTGGGCTAAAAAAGTAGTGTTAAGGTGGAAAAAGCAGAGGATTGAGGTCAGAAGATCTTGGTTTCAGCACCAGCTCTGTCAAATAACTTTACGGTGTGTCCTTGGGCCAGTCATTTCTAAGTTAGAGGTTCTTCACTTAAATCTCAAAGTCTGAAGTTCAATATGAAAATGTCTCAGAGTAATTCTTTTATAAGATATAAATTTCTGATAATTAACATACTTCTAAAAGGACTTTTAATGGAAGTTTATCTTTAAAAAAGGTAATTCCTTACCAGGTTTTTTTTTTCAATATTAATTTGCTTACTTGTTTTTATATCTGGTAATTTTCTGTTCAATTCATGTGAATTATTAAACTATGAATTAATGGAATTTGAATCTATGAGATGTCATGGAATTAGGCTAGTTAAAATATGATTTTTGGAAGAAAAACCAAGTTTCAGCTCAGCCCATTCTCTATTACTTAAATGTTGAATAGATCCAAATGTTACAGATTCATATTTTATTTGCTATTTTGTTACCTTCACTGAGTTTCCAAAAGTTCTCTTTAGGCACAAGACTCATGGTGGTATTTAACAAACAGTAATATATGCCAATGTATATTAGTGCATTAATGAATGAATTTAGGTAAGGAGACAGCAATAAAAATTTAAGCCATTCTTTGAGAATGAGTATGATGAATTTAATGATAAAGGAAGTAACAGACAGAAGGGAAATCCCACAACTACTTTCAAGTTCTTCTCAGTCCTGGCCTCGGAGGAAAATTTAATATAAACCTACTTACCTTTTCCCGGGCCAACCATTTCTCCAGTACAAGAAGCCAGACCCAGGCTACTCTTTGAGGGTTGATGTCCTGCCCACATCTGAAAAAGGTAAAAAGAAAGACTTGTAAAAAAGAGTTTCTACTGATCTTTCATCTTTTGTCATCCAAGACAGATTTCATTGCTTATTCTGTTTTAAACCTGAACAGGCAAGACACTGCCCTAATGAGATATTTTTAAATGTATATGACAGTTCAGTAAAACATTGGAACCAGGCCAGGCAAGGTGGCTCACACCGGTAATCTCAGCACTTTGGGAGGCTGAGGTGGGTGGATCACCTGTGGTCACGAGTTCGAGACCAACCTGGCCAACATAATGAAACCCCATCTCTACTAAAAATACAAAAATTAGCCAAGTGCGGTGGCAGGCGCCTGTAGTCCCAGCTACTCGGGAGGCTGAGGCAGGAGAATCGCTTGAACCTGGGAGGCGGAGGTTGCAGTGAGCCTAGATCATGCCACTGCACTCCAGCCTGGGTGACAGAGCAAGACTCTGTCTCCAAAACAAACAAACAAACAAACAAACAAACAAACAAATCAGAACCAGAACAGAGCTAGCAGCTTTCATAAAAAGCCTTAATCTCACCTCCACCTCCTTATCTTAGTTTAAAATAAAATAATATTCGAGAAAACCATAATAGCTAATACTATCTGAAGCATATTTTTAATACAGAAAGTGAATCAGACAGTCTTAAAAAAGGAACTTCATACAAATTTATTTTTAACTATATGCTAAAAACAGGACTTTAGGAATTCATAAGCCTTTCTTTGAAGTTAGGAATTTAGACGGTAACTGGCTAGATCTCAAATTAAAGGAGAAAAAGAAAAGGAAGGGATCACTTAAGTTTCTCCATCGTATATGTGCTAATACAATATGTAAACAGTATAGCATAACAGTCAAAGGAAGGAAAACCCAAGGAAAGACTTAAAACGGTACATTTGACTCCTACATCACCAGTGGTTACTAGCATCACCAGGAGGAACTTCATTGAAAATCAAGGATGGAGAACTGTGGTTGCCAGGGAACAAGGAGGGGTTGTTGTATAAATACAAAGAGGTAGCACCAAGGAGTGAGGGAATTCTTTTGTGGTAATGGAACAGTTCTGATCCTTATTACAGTGGGATTACATGAATCTATATATGGATAAAACTGCATAAAACTACAAATGAAAAAATGAAGGCAGATTAAGAAAATGCTGAAAACCAAATAAACTCTGTAGTGTCATTTAAAGTAATGTGCCAATGTCAATTTCATGGTTTTGATATTGTACTACAGCTGTATGAGACGTCGCAATTGGGGCAGACTGGGAAAAGGATACGCTGGACTCCATTATTTTTGCAGCTTCTTGTGAGACTGCAATTATTTCGAAATAAAAAGTTTTAAGTAAAGCGACAACAATATTTTCAATCTCATAAGCAAGAAGAGAGCAGGGTTTGCTTTTTTGGAGGCAAAGAAAATAGTTTTCAATGCAGTTCCACCATCTATATTAACGAGGATAAACAAGAAATGGCAGTTTCAGGCACACTTTGGCAGCCAGGCTTACATTCAGTTGCAGATGATAATCAAAAGCCAATATTGACTAAGTAATGGATGTATACTATAGAGGTAAAATTTCAGAGCACGTGAAATACACTGTGCCTCTGCTTATTCTTCAGAGGGTAGTTGAGTGGGGGCACATTGACCAATGCCCAAATATTGAACCACATGTCTCTCACCCTGGGACCGTCTGGTAGGAAAAGAGATCCCTTACCTCAGCAGATTTGGACACACCACCAATGCCTGAAGTATGTCTTCTACCCTCTTTGGGATATCCCCTTGTCCCTCCTGTAGCTGAGGTACACATGCCTGTGCCAGCTCCCATTCTCCCCTCCGCAGGCATTCGCAGAAAAATCCAAAAAGCTGCTTCTGCGAAGCAGCTTCCTCTTTTCCAAATGGATGATTCATTTTCCCAGCACAGAGTGCAGGGAGATACAAAGAAATGAGTTATGCCGAACACATTCTCAATGTTCTCATTCGCGGAGTACCTCCTAGAAACAACACAACGCCAGTGAGAAGAAACAGAAGGCACTGTATTAAGACAAAGCAGCAACTACTGGTCCGCCTGGGAAAGGCGGGACTTGCTTGCCTAAGTATCGTTTTCAGTTTAATTTCCCACGTTACTTTTTGAAAACACTTTCTTCAAGGGGTGGATCCCATCTCTTCACGCGGATTCCTATATTTAATAATATTAATAGTCATATTTGCTCCGGGCGCAGACCCATAACTCTACGTCCGTATTCCCTACTGAACGTTATGCCCAGTCTTGACTCCAAATCCCCAGGTGGTCGCCTCCTCAAGAATGAGAAATTCAGCAGGAACCTCCCTAGTTTGAGCCCTCTGTTAAGGCAGAGGATTGACGACCAGGAGACGAATCTGTGTCATAAGTGGAAAGCAGTGTGGGGGTGGGCCGCAGGGACGCTCTCTGCGGGGGTCGTGGAGAGGGGCCCCTCCCTCTCAGGGGTGTCTTACACTCACCTGCTCCCGGCGCCCAAAGCAATAGAGCTCTCAGCGCAGCCATGTTTGAGCCGAGTCAGGTGACAGAACCCACTCCGAACAGCGGTGGTGGGGGTGGTGACAAAGACTGAAAGCCCCACTCCTATTGGCTCAAGGCAGGGAAGATGAAAATTAAGTGCCATATTTGTTTGAGTCACGTGACGCCACCTCTCCGGGAGTAGGGAAAGCTAGAAAGCTCGGAAAGAGGAAATCAGCTACCTGGCTGCGGACCATCTCCCTCAATTGTGACAGCTCCGGCGCTCAATACTTTCAGTTCTGCATTCGGCCGAGCAGGTGGCAGGAAGAACTGTGACCCTGGATTTTTTTTTTTCTTCCACTCTCTTATCTCCTTAACATGTGAAGTCAACATTTATTGAACGCCAACCAGTGATGGTGTTTTGCCAGGCGCGGGGGATACCCGGAGCTAGGAGAACTGGGTTCTCCTCCATTATTATTCTATCTACTGGGCTCTTTTGTTCCGGAACTCTGCGGTCTGAATTTCCATATTCTTCTGCTTCACTCCATTCATTTATTTGCACATTTACCCTACAACTGTTAATTGAACGGTGTGCTAGGCTTTATTTTATTTTTTTAGAGACAGAGTCTCTCTGTCGCTGGAGTGCGGTGGTGTGATCTCGGCTCATGGCAGCCTCGAACTTCCTGGATCAAGTAATCCTTAAGCCTCAGCCTTCCTGTAGTAGCTGGGACTAGAGGCGCGCGCCACTACACCGGGCTTAGGCCCTATTCTCTAAGTTGAGTAAATGGAGGTCCTTCTTCTCAAGGGAGATGCAGGCCAAAAATTAGGAGACGGTGGGCTAAATTATAAGACAGAAGTATGCATAAGAGATCAGAGAGCAAAGAATGAGCAAAGGCTTTTTCGCAAACACAATAATCTGAAACCAAGTCTTTTGTTTTGAGACAGAGTCTCGCTCTGTCTCCCAGGCTGGAGTGCAATGGCGCGATCTCGGCTCGCTGCAACCTCCGTCTCCCGGGTTTAAGCGATTCTCCTGCCTCAGCCTCACTGTGTAGCTGGGATAAGCGATTCTTCTGCCTCAGCCTCACTGAGTAGCTGGGATTTACAGGCGCGCGCCACCACACCCGGCTAATTTTTGTATTTTTAATAGAGACAGGGGTTCACCATGTTGGCCAGGCTGGTCTCGAACTCCTGACCTCAGGCAATCCGCCCACCTCGGCCTCCCAAAGTTCTGGGATTACGGGCGTGAGCCACCGTTCCCAGCCTGAAACCAACTCTTGAAGTAACGGCTTACTAGGTTTGCTCACCACAGCTGCCTTACACCAAGCCTTTTGTTTGGTTTCCCTGGTGTGCTTTAATCACAGACTCTCAGCTTTCCTCACTATGTGTGTTTCAGGTTTAGTAATTTCATTCAGCATTTCCCAAACTATTTAATCACCAAAGGGTGGTGAAAAGAGCAAGTTAAAACAAACAAAACGTTTTCTTCCAAAAACTCTTCTGTGATTGGTGGATTGTCCTCGATTCCTGAGAAAAGTAACATGGCTTTCTGGCCCATTAAGGTTTTTTTTTTTTTTGAGGCAATGTCTGGCTCCTCTCACCTCAGCCTCCCAAGTAGCTGGGATCACAGGTGCCTGCCACCATGTCTGGCTAATTTTTGTATGTTTAGTAGAGGCGGGGTTTCGCCATGTTGGCCAGGCTGGTTTCGAAATCCTGAGCTCAAGTGATCTGCCTGCCTCAGCATTCCGAAGTGAAACCGCCTTTGCAAAATTATAACTGAGGAAATTATGACAGTGAAAGAAATCAGACCTAACCGACTCTATCTTGCTTCTAACCGTTAAGCTGTCCTTGTTCATTCCTGGGCGTAGGCTGAACTAACTTTGGGGAGGAATTCAGTTCATGGTTTGACTCTGAAACAAAATTGATAACAGCCCTTTCCGAAAAGACCCACTTCTTGCCTGGGGACCAGTCTGCCTTTGCAGGACTAACAAATTAGCTACAAGTTTAGAAATTACAGTTTAGAGGTCATGCAGCCTCTGGCTCCAAGAGTCTGAACCTCCCCAAATTGCTCCCGGGGGTGACATCACTATTGCAAGCCCTAAGATCAGTGCTTGAGATATTTTGTAGACCCTGCACTCCATGGATCAGCTGACACCACTCAGACCAGTAATTTGGCGCAACCAGTTTTGCCATCACACCCAGGAACAGAAGACATTAAGAAAACCTCACTTCGACCCCTTATGATTCCATCTCCAACCTGACCAATCAGCACTCCCCACTTCCTAAGCCCCTACCAGCCAAATTATTGGTAAAAACTCCGATCCGCAAATGCTCGGGACAACTGATTTAAGTAACAATAAAACTTCAGTCTTCCGCACAGCTGGCTCTGCGTGAATTACTCTTTCTGCATTGCAATTCCCCTGTCCTGATAAATCGGTTCTGTCTAGGCAGCTGGTAAGGTGAACCCATCGGGCAGTTTCAAAAGTGCTGGGATTACAGGCATGAGCCACCGCGCCCAGCCTATTTTTTGTATTTTTTTGTAGAGGCGGAGGGGTGGGGGAGGGTGTCTCACTATGTTGCCAAGGCTAGTCTCGAACTCCCAGGCTCAAGTGATCCTCCCGCCTCGGTCTCCCAAAGTGCTGAAATTACGGGCGTGAGCCACTGCGTCTGGCCCCTTTAAGCCATTGTGAAAAGTGATGATACACGAAAAAAAAGATTTCCAGGGCCGAGAGCGGTGGATCACGCCTGTAATCCCAGCGCTTTGGGAGGCCGAAGCGGGCGGATCACGAGGTCAGGAAATCGAGACCATCCTGGCTAACACGGTGAAACCCCGTCTCTACTAAAAATACAAAAAAATTAGCCGGGCGTGGTGGTGGGAGCCTGTAGTCCCAGCTACTAGGGAGGTTGAGGCAGGAGAATGGCGTGAACCCAGGAGGCGGAGCTTGCAGTGAGCCGAGATCGCGCCACTGCACTCCAGCCTGGGCGACAGAGCGAGACCCCGTCTCAAAAAAAAAAAAAAAGAAAGAAAAAAGAAAAATTTCCAAACAGGGTGTTCCCTTGTTTCACATTCTCTTTGGTGATGGTCCTGCAACAGATTTTGATAATCACTATATTGAGAAACTGCTTCAGATTCGATCTGTTAGGCTGATCATAGTATTAACTACAATTCCCAGCAAGCCGCGGAGCCAACCTGGGCCTCTGCCGGCCTCTGATTGGATACAGTAGCCAGAATGACGACTCAATCAGTGCTTCGGTTGTTGCTTTGCGGCGTTTTCCGCGGGGAAACTGTGTAAAGGGTGGGGAAACTTGAAAGTTGGATGCTGCAGACCCGGTACTGGAAAGTTTCATGTGGGGTGCCGTTGTGGGGAAGTGGGGTTCGCTCATTATTTCCTGCTCCTTCCCTAGGCTCGTGGGTTTCGATATTGGGGGAGCGGAGATTTTCTCTTGGGTGCTGGTCACGCCCCCTTAAGACTCGGGATCGTCACTAAGAACCCCGCTGTGAATTGGGGGAGCTTCGGGCCTTCTTTTGGTGGGGAATGCTTGGAAGCTGCTCATTGTTGGAAAAAGCTCTTTTTAGGGGATTCTGGGTGATGTTTCCGCCTGTTGCTGCCCATCTTCCTCCCCAGCCCCTTCCCGCTTCGGGCAGCCTGTCATTAGGGGAAGTTGAGGGACTCTCCCACTTCAGGTGGTGTTGGAGAGCGTGGAATCTGGAGTCCGGTCCCTGGATTCGAATGCGAGCTTCACACCAATTGTCAGCTGTTTAACTTTGCCCAAGTTTCTCAACTAGTTACCTCAGTATCCTTATCTGTAAAGTGAGGTAAAATATCCGAAGCCTTTGGAACAGTGTGGCACGTAATAAGGGCTCAATAAATATTAGCTAATATTGTTCCTAAACAGTTGTTGAACATCTAACATGAAGAATTTTCTTTTCTTGGTGGTAAGGAGGACAGGGTTCATTCTCCAGGGTTGACCGTCTCCCCTCATGTGCAATACACATACGTGCTTTCGCGCACACATACACCGCAGGAATTTACGTGCTCCGGTGGGGGCAAACAAACTTGCAAGCCATAATAGTATTTTGATAAGATTATCGAATAGATATGTGCGAAGTTGATGAGAACATTGGAGAGGAAAAGACTTGACTCTGGGGAAGGTTTTGTGGAGGGAAGTCAGGGAGACAGGATGCGTGACCTACCAATACACATACCATGTGGCTGGAGGGCAGATCATGTGAGAGTCATTAAATGATGATTGCTGACCTTAAGTACTATGTGCCACGCACTCCCCGAGTCCTTTAACCTCCACTACAGTCATATGAAGTAGTAAATTCATATGACTGTAAAACAAGGGTTTTAAGGAAATTAAGACACTGAGAGGTGAAGTAACTGCCAGGAAGGATAGGAACTGAACGTTGCAATGTGATGTATGAGTGAGAAGGAAGTGAGGGACCAATTTTTGATGTTTTTCTCTGCGACCCTAAGAAGTTTGGAATTTATCCTGTGGTCTACCAGTCCCATGGGAAGTGTTAAAGGATAATCGTGACTTTTTAGGAAGCTACTCAAGGCAGGATTGTGACACTGATCTGACTTTTGCAGGCGAATTTGGGGCTTCTTCCTGTCTGCTTCCATAGCACTTTTAAATAGCAATTGTAATGCTTACTGCATGGCTGTAGTTATTTGTGTGTACCTCTCTTTTCATCTCAACTATGAGTATTCAAAGGGGAGGGAATATGCTTAAATGATTCTTGTACCCCAGACCTCAGCAGGGTGTGTATTTAAATGCCTGTGGAAGGAGTAAATTAAGGAACAAATGAATGGAGTGGCCAGAAACAATATGCAATAGTCCAGGCAAGTGATGGGAGTGGCCCTATTAAGGCAGAAATGGCAGAATTGGTTGTTGTTAAAGTCCTTGTAGTTTAGAATTTATAGTTTTTTGTTTGTTTGTTTTTTGTTTTTGATAGGGTCTCAGTCTGTTCCCCAGGCTAGAGTGCAGTGGCATGACCACAGCTCACTGCAGGCTCGACCTCCTGGGCTCAGGTGATCCTCTCATCTCAGCCTCCTGGGTAGCTAGGACTACTACAGGTGTGCGGCACAATGCCCAGCTAATTTTTGTATTTTTTTGTGGAGACAGGTTCTCTCTATGTTGCCCAGGCTGGTCTCAAACTCCTGGGCTCAAGCAATTTGCCTGCCTTAGCCTCCCAAAGTGCTGGGATTGTAGGCGTGAGCTACCTTGTGTGGCCTATGGTTCTTTTCTTTCTCCTTCTTTTTTTTTTTAAATTGAATTTATCAGTCTAAATGGTGTCATTACTTGAAACTACCTGATCTGAAAAGACACTAGGCAATATTATAGCAGGTATCACTTGGTTTTCTACTGGGGGAAACAAGTCATTGCTAACAAATTCCCATGGAGAGAAATGAGGAGGATGTATTTTTGTTTGTGAGAGGTGTGTATGTATGTATATTGTGTGTGCGTGTGTGTGTGTGTGAGAGAGAGAGATTGATTCAGTCTGATTCAGAGAATTTAGGTGTTAAATAGAAATTTGGGCCATGGTATTGGAAATAAACAAATATATACATTCTCAGTATACATATATTTTCATTCCAAAATGTTACTTCTTTTCTGATAACTATATTGCTTTATTCCTTGGATCCATGAAGAGTTCCTGTTTCAGTTCGTTCCAGAGGATACTTCTTTACCATCTCAATGAGATATACAGCTTCTCCTTTGTATGCATTAAGAGACTCACAGTAATTCTTTTTTAGCTCTGTGAAGATAAATCTTTCATGAGCCTCATTTACCCCTAGCAAGGTACAATAGTGAAATTTAACTGCATGTGAGAATATAAGCAGCTAGTGTAATAAAGAACATTTTGGGCCAGGTCTGATCGCTCATGCCTGTAATCCCAGCACTTTAGGAGGTCAAGGCGAGAGGATCACTTGAGCCCAGGAGTTCGAGACCAGCTTGGGCAACATGGCAAAACCCTGTCTCTACAAAAAATACAAAAATTGGGCAGGCATGGTGTCGACCCTGTCTCTACAAAAAATACAAAAATTAGCCAGACATGGTGGTGCACGCTTGTGGTCCCAGCTACTTGGGAGGCTGAGGTAGGAGGATTGCTTGAGCCCAGGAGGGGGAGGTTGCAGTGAGCTGAGATCGAGCCACTGCACTCCAGCTGGGGTGACAGAGCCAGACCTGTCTCGCTCTCTCTCTCTCTCTCTATATATATATTTAAAAAGAACATTTTAATACTGCAGTGATAAAATCTCATTTGATTCAGAAGGTGTGCTCTGACTCCTAGAAAAAGGAAGAGTTAAATATGATTATGGACTTGCAGTAGAGTGTAATGGTTAAGAGGATAGGTTTCAGAATTAGACTGCCTGGATTCAAATTCTGGATCAGTTATTTATGTTTTCTGGTGACAATGGACTAGCTAACTTTTCCAGGCTTTAGTTTTCTCATATGTAAAAAAGGGGCCAATAATCTACTTTCCTTCTAGGGCTATTGAGAAGATTAAATGTGATAATTTAGATAAGTTTTGGAACAGTGCCTGGTATGTGGTAGGTGCTCCATAAATATACCTATTGCCGTTACAGTGCAATGTAAATTGTTACAGTGCAATAGACTTTCTAGTAGTTCTGTTTGGAAATATGCCTTGAAAGTTAATTACATTTCCAAATAAAATTTATACATGCATTGAACATTTTAAGATGCTCTACAAATGTGAAGTGGTACTATATTCATGTAGTAAATATCAATTAATTGTGTGAAATTATATTTGAGGTTGCCTTGTAGATTTTCTATGTGCCTGTTTGACGAACAATTGTCCCTCCTATTTAAAACATTTAAAAAGGTTCTATAGCATTCCTTTATCAGTAATATTTTTAACACAATATGTTTCATTTTGCATATGGAGAAACTTGAGGAATTTTTAATTTTGTTTTGGATAGCCTATTCACTATCACTTATGTTATATTCTGTTGTTTTTTTCATGGTTCTTCTTTTCTTTGCTGGATCTGGAGGCATGGGTAGCAAGAAACTAAAACGAGTGGGTTTATCACAAGAGCTGTGTGACCGTCTGAGTAGACATCAGATCCTTACCTGTCAGGTAAATTTTATTTAACATTTTTATTGATAAGTTTTATGCACAAGTTAACTTTATACCTTAATACCTCTTAAACTTGAAATATGAAAATGTAGGCTTACAAAAAAAAGATAAATGATGGTGCTTTTCCATAGGCTAATTGTAAATATCAAGCCTCCTTGGGTGCATTTCCAACTGCTATTTCATTTACCCAAATTTAGTATTTTTGCATTTTGAGGGGAAAGTGGTCACGGCATAAGGTGAAGTAACAGCTTTACTGTTTTATAGTTACATGAGAAATAGGACTCAAATGAGGAGATACTATTCAACATGTATCATTTCTCTTAAAAGCAAAAGAAATTAATAGACCATTTTCTTATTGATGGAGCATGAGAAATATATAGAGCGGATCTTGCATTTTTAAGCAAGGTGGTGAAGCAAATCCTCCTTAGCAGGGTAAATAAGATTTAAAGGTTTTGGTTGGTTGTTTTTGTTCTTTGTTGTTTTTGAGACTAGGTTCTCATGCTGCCCCAGCTGATCTTGAACTCCTGGCCTTAAGCAATCCTCCAGCCTCAACTCCCAGCTAGCTGGGATTACAGGCACACACCACTGTGCCTGGCTAGATTTAAGGTTTTATCTTAGGATTTTATCCTTTTTTTGTTTGTTTGTTTAGAGTCAGTGTCTCACTCTGTTGCCCAGGCTGGAGTACAGTGGTGCCATATCGGCTCACTGCAATCTCCTCCTCCCCGGTTCAAGTGATTCTCCTGCTTCCATCTCCTGAGTAGCTGGGATTACAGGCACATGCCACCACACCCAGCTAATTTTTGGATTTTTAGTAGAAACGGGGTTTCACCATGTTGGCCAGGCTAGTCTCAAATTCCTGATCTCAAGTGATCCGCCTCCCTCAGCCTCCCAAAGTGCTAGCATTACAGACATGAGCCACCGTGCCTGGCCTGATTTTATCTTTAATAAGACATTTTCACAGAGCATTCTGCAATTTTTTTTTTGAATTGCTTTCTGTGTTAAAGATAACATCGGTTCCTTTGTTATACATTTAATTATTTGCATATTTATACTCGGAAACATTCTTAAAAGTATGAAATTTGTTATTTCATCCTATAGTCAGTTTCATTCTTTTTCAACTACGAAATATTATCTCTGAGTGAACTTCTAGCTTAGAAAGAAACTCTTTCGGCCGGGCACGGTGGCTCACACCTGTAATCCCAGCACTTTGGGAGGCCGAGGTGGGCAGATCATGAGGTCAGGAGTTCGAGACTAGCCTGGCCAATATGGTGAACTCTTGTCTCTACTAAAAATAAAAAAAATTAGCCAGGCATGGTAGTGAGTGCCTGTAGTCCCAGCTACTCAGGAGTCTCAGGCAGAAGAATCGCTTGAACCCAGGAGGTGGAGGTTGCAGTGAGCCGAGATCGTGCCACTGCACTCCAGCCTGGGCGACAGAGCAAAACTCTTGTCTCAAAAAAAAAAAAAAAAAAAAAAAAAAAAAGGAAAGAAACTCTTTCAACCTGACACTTTCTGGGCATATATTTATACCCAAATTCTTTTTGGCACAAGTGTAGCGCTCATACGCACCTGGATTGGATGCTGGTGCTATGTGATATTATTTGGTGTATCCTCTGGTATATGCCAACTAAACAGGATAATTAGAAGATAAGTTTGTGTCATTACAACTTTTAGTTAAGGCATATTTATGGGGAAAATACTACAATGAATGTATAAATCTTTGATCTGCGATAAATTATACTTTTGTCTACATAAGCAGTATCAATTGAAGGTTTCCTTTTAACTCTAGTATCTTTGTTACACATATATGTTTAAAATACTCTCTTTATGTTTCTTTAGGACTTTTTATGTCTTTCCCCACTGGAGCTTATGAAGGTGACTGGTCTGAGTTATCGAGGTGTCCATGAACTTCTATGTATGGTCAGCAGGGCCTGTGCCCCAAAGATGCAAACGGTATATTTATATTTTATTATGATTTGATTATGAATGATTCCTCATCTCATTAAACATGTTTTTTTAGGGATGAGGCACATGCAGAAATAGAGATGAGTACCTCAAAAATACTGAGTTTTCTACTATAGAAGTTAGTTCTCTAAGGAAAATACATGTGAAAATTTTTTTTTTCTTTTTTGAGACGCTCTGTTGCCCAGGCTGGAGGGCAGTTGCACGATCTCGGCTCACTGTAGCCTCTGCCTCCTGGGTTCAAGCGATTCTCCTGCCTCAGCCTCCTGAGTAGCTGGGATTACAGGCACGGTGCTACCAAGCCAACTTATTTTTATATTATTAGTAGAGATGGGATTTCACCTTATTGGCCAGGCTGGTCTCAAACTTCTGACCTCAAGTGATCTGCTTGCGTCGACCTCCCAAAGTCCTGGGATTACAGGCGTGAGCCACCGTGCCTAGCCTATGTGTGAAAAATTTATGTAGTTTATAAACTCATGGGAGACAATTTCTAAATATGGGAATTAGGGAGCAACAGAAAGTTTTTATTTTTTTTTCTATAGCCAATAGCAGTAGTTCAAAAGGTCATCTTTCTCTGATTGATTAGGTAGTATTTGATGGCCTCATAGTTAAATTATAATCTTAATTTTAGAATGCCCCTTTCTTTGATATACTGACCTTTACCATCATCACTTGCTCTAGATCATAAAGTACACATAATTGTACTTGTAGTTGCTTATTGATTGAATAAAAGGTAATTAAAAATTTATCCTTTACTCTTAAGAAAATTTGAAGTCTTTTACAAAAGCCCTCATCAAATTGTACATTTTTTCAGACTTTTTGTGTCATGACTGTAGCTTTTCAAAATGTAGATTTGGAGCATGATAGAAATATCTTGTTTTCTCACAGTAAGAGTTTCCTAAAATTCTGTTCGGTGCTTTGCAAATGTATTTATTTATGTGGACTGTAAGTTTCTTACCTTACTGCCTTATATTGAAATTTACTGAACACTGAACAATGAAGTACAATTCTCTGAAGAAGGGGAGAAGGAAGGAATGTTAGTGTCACTGGAAACTTCTAAAAACAATGAACAGATATTTGAACAACAGATATTTTCTTTCTTTTTTTTTTTTTTGAGATGAGGTCTGTCTCTATTTCTCTGGCTGGAGTACGGTGGTGTGATCTCGGCTCAGTGCAGCCTCCGCCTCCTGGGCTCAAGCCATCCTCCCACCGCAGCCTCCCGAGTGGCTGGGACTACAGGTGCACACCACCATGCCCAACTACGTTTTGTGTTTTTTGTAGAGATGGGGTTTTGCCACATAGCCTAGACTGTTCTTGAACTTATGAGCTCAAGTGATCCTCCCGCCTCGGCCTCCCCAAGTGCTGGGATTACATCAGCCACTGTGCCTGGCCAAACAACAGATATTTTCTTTTGTTCAGATTTAGCTTGTGATCTGAGGAAAATATTTTAAAGACAGGATAGTCAGAAGGAGAATCAGAACTGGAGTTAGAAACTGGCATTAGTCTTAGCTTTATCATTGATTTCATTGCTTGAACAGCTTTCTTTTATGGGAGAAAACAGAAGTTAAAATACTATGCAATGATTCTGTGACTAGATTCAAATTAACTTGTTATTATTTTGAAGGTTGTAAAGCACCAGAAAAACCTTTAATTTGTCATCTGTCATTCTAATTAGTCAATATCCATGGCATATTTCCCGTTAATAAATAGAGAGCATGGTCCCGAAATTCAACTTTAATTTCTACTTCCATCACTACCTTCAGCTGCCATCTTAATACAATTCCAAATACAGTTCAAGAAACCATCTTTCTCCTATGGTTTACATTCATTCTTGTAGCATTCCTTATATTTCAGCACTGCCCTAAACACTGGCTTAGTTTTTTTTTTTTCCAACTTTTATTGTAAGTTCCGGGGTACATGTGCAGGATGTGCAGGTTTGTTACATAGGTAAATGTGTGCCATGGTGGTTTGCTGTATGGATCATCCTATCACCTAGGTATTAAGCTCAGCGTCCATTAGCTATTCTTCCTGAAGCTCTCCCTCTCCCCCACAACCTCGCAACAGGCCCCAATGTGTGTTGTTCCCTTCCGTGTGTCCATGTGTCCATGTGTTCTCATCGTTCAGCTCCCACTTATAAGTGAGAACACACAGTTTTTGGTTTTCTGTTCTTGCATTAGTTTGCTGAGGATGATGGCTTCCAACTCCATCCATGCCCCTGCAAAGGACATAATCTCATTCCTTTTTATGGCTGCACAGTATTCCATTGTGTATACGTACCACATTTTCTTTATTCAGTCTATCATTGATGGGCATTTGGGTTGATTTCATGTCTTTGCTATTGTGAATAGTGCTGCAATGAACATATGTGTGCATGTATATTTATAATAGAATGATTTGTATTCCTTTGGGTATATACCTGGTAACGGCATTGCTGGTTCAAATGGTATTTCTGCCTCTAGGTCTTTGAGGAATTGCCACACTGTCTTCCACGATGGTTGAATTAATTTACACTCCCACCAACAGTGTAAAAGCATTCCTATTAGTCTGCAACCTCACCAGCATCTGTTGTTTCTTGACTTTTTAGTAATTGCCATTCTGATTGGTGTGAGATGGTATCTCATTGTGATTTTGATGTGCATTTCTCTAATGATCAGTGATGTTGAGCTTTTTTTTTCTATGTTTGTTGGCTGCATGAATGTCTTCTTTTGAAAAGTATCTGTTCATGTTCTTAGCCCACTTTTTAATGGGGTTGTTTGGTTTTTTTTTTCTTGTAAATTTGTTTAAGTTCCTTATAGAGTCTGGATATTAGACCTTTGTCGGATGGATAGATTGAAAAAATTTTCTCCCATTTTCTACCATGATAGTTTCTTTTGCTATGCAGAAGCTCTTTAGTTTAATTAGATCCCACTTGTCAATTTTGCTTTTGTTCCAATTACTTTTGGCATTTTTGTCATGATATCTTTGCTTGTGCCTATGTTCTGAATGGTATTGCCTAGATTTTCTTCAAGGTTTTGTTTTTTTTCCTATAGTTTTGGATTTTACATTCAAGTCTTTAATCCATTTTGAGTCAATTTTTGTGTAAAGTGTAAGGAAGGGGTCCAGTTTCAGTTTCCTCATATGGCTAGTCAGTTCTCCCAGCATCATTTGTTAAATAGGCAATCCTTTCCCCATTGCTTGTTTTTATCAGGTTTGTTGAAGATAAGATGGTTGTAGGTGTGCGGTCTTATTTCTGAGTTCTTCTGTTCCATTGGTCTATGTGTCTGTTTTTGTATCAGTACCATACTGTTTTGGTTACTAGAGTCTTGTAGTATAGTTTGAAGTTGGATAGCATGATGCCTGCAGCTTCATTCTTTTTGCTTTGGATTGTCTTGGCTATACAGGCTCCTTTTTGGTTTCATATGAATTTTAAAATAGCTTTTTAAAATTCTGTGAAGAATGTGAATGGTAGTTTAATGGGAATAGCATTGAATCTATAAATTACTTTGGGCAATATGGCCATTTTCATGATATTGATTCTTCCTATCCATGAGCATAGAATGTTTTTCCATTTGTTTGTGTCCTCTCTGATTTCTTGGAGCAGTGGTTTGTAGTTCTGCTTGAAGAGGTCCTTCACATCCCTTGTTAGCTATATTTATTGCTAGGTATTTTCTTTTCTTTCTTTCTTTTTTTTTTTTGAGACAGAGTCTTGCTCTGTCGCCGAGGCTGGAGTGCAGTGGCACAATCTTGGCTCACTGCAAGCTCTGCCTCCTGGGTTCACGCCATTCTCCTGCCTCAGCCTCCCAAGTAGCTGGGACTACAGATGCCCACCTCCACGCCTGGCTAAGTTTTTGTATTTTTAGTAGAGACGGGGTTTCACCATGTTAGCCAGGATGGTCTCGATCTCCTGACCTCATGATCCGCCCGCCTCGGCCTCCCAAAGTGCTGGGATTACAGGCGTGAGCCACTGTGCCCGGCCCAGTATTTTATTTTCTTTGTAGCAATTGTGAATGGAGTTCATTCATAATTTGGCTCTCTGCTTGCCTGTTGTTGGTGCATTGGCTTAGTTTTAGTTCATTTCTTCAGGAAATTTTTTTTGCTCATTTATTCAGTCATTTATTCTTTTGACCTGTATTTACTGAATGTCAAGCATGTATTAGGTACTTTGTCAGGCACCAAGGCTATCATGGTGAACAAGTTTATACAGTCCAGCCCTCTTGTAGTTTACAGTCTAGTGGGGGAAGCCAGACATTAAAATATTAATTCAGAAATAATTAGTTAATTATAATAGTGCTAAATCCTATGAAGGAAAAGCATAAGGTACTTTGAAACTTTATAATAGGGATTACTTAGTTTGGGGGTCAGGAGGACCCTTGCAAGGAAGCAATACTTTAGCTAAAACATGAAAGATGAATAGGTGAGAGATAGGCAAAGGAGCTGGGAAGGGAGATGGGCAGGGAAGAGTTATTGGGCGTTGGGTATAACAGATGCAAAGGCCCTGGGAAGTGAAGGAGAATGGGGCTTGCGTGAGTGGGTCATAACAACGAAGAAGAGAGTGGTAAGAGATGAAGCCAGAGAAGTAAGCAGGAGTCAGATTATTAGGGCTTTGATTTGGACTTTATTCCAAGAGCAATGGAAACTCATAAAAGGGTATACTGTAATATGTGTTTTAAAAAAAATCAGTCTTGGACATGGACAAGTGATTGAAAAGGAGCAATAAAATATTCACGAAGATTAGTTAGGTACCTATTACTGTATTCCAAACAAAAAGTGATGGTGACTTATATTATTAATGCAGAGGTTATAGTGTTGATTAATATGACAGATATTTAGGAGGGATAATTTTTGTTTTTTTTTGAGACAGAGTCTCGCACTGTTGCCCAGGCTGGAGTGCAGTGGTGCGATCTTGGCTCACTGCAATCTCTGCCTTCTGGGTTCCAGCAATTCTTGTGCCTAAGCCTCCTCAGTAGCTGGGACTACAGACATGCACCATCACACCTGGCTAATTTTTGTATTTTTAGTAGAGATGGGGTTTTGCCATTGTCCAGGCTGGTCTCAAACTGCTGGCCTCAAGCAATCCACCCACCTCAGCCTCCCAGTGTGCTGGGATTACAGATGTGAGCCACTGTGCTGAGCCTAGGAGAGAGAATTAATGGGATTTGGTGATTGTTTGGCTGAGGTGGTGGTGAAGTATAGGAAAATGTCAGAGATGATTCTCTGACTTTTGCTTTGAGAAACTGAGTGGTACCATTTCCTGAGATCAGGAATACTGGAAGAGGAGCAGGTTTGAGGGAGGCAGATCATAGATTCAATTTAGTACTTGTGTAATTTTTTTTTTTTTGAGATGGAGTTTCGCTCTTGTCACCCAGGCTGGAGTGCAATGGTGAGATCTCGGCCCAGGCTCCCACGTTCAAGTGATTCTCCTGCGTTAGCCTCCCGAGTAGCTGGGATTACAGGCACCCACCACTATGCCCGGTTAATTTTTTATATTTTTAGTAGAGACGGTTTCAGCATGTTGGCCAGGCTGGTCTCGAACTCGTGACCTCAGGTGATCCACCTGCCTCAGCCTCCCAAAGTGCCGGGATTACAGGCGTGAACCACCGCCCCCGGCCAGTACTTGTCTAATTTAAGATGTTTATAAAACATTTAGTGAAGATGGGAAATAGGCAGTTAAATATATGGACCTGGACTTTGAAGGCGAGGCATGCACGTGGGAGTCATTGGTGTAAATATGATAGTTAAAGCTATCAGAATGGATGAGTGATTGCCTATAAAGTGCATACAGTAAGACGATAAGTGTACTTAAGCCTGAAACCTGAGTGATGCCAACAGTTACAGGTCAGATTAGATGATAATGAGTCTGAGAAGAAGCAGCCACCGAAGTAGAAGAAAAATTGGTAGTGTCATATCACAAAACTCTTCTTTGTCTCATTTATATACATACTACTTTTCTGAAGTTTTGTTCTGTTAGTTCATTTTATTCCTTTTTTTGAGATGGAGTTTTGCTCTTGTTGCCCAGGCTGGAGTGCAGTGGCGTGATCTTGGCTCACCGCAACCTCCGCCTCCCGGGTTCAAGTGATGATCCTGCCTCAGCCCCCTGAGTAGCTGGGATTACAGGCATGTGCTACCATGCCCAGCTAATTTTTTTTTTTTGTATTTTTAGTAGAGATGGGGTTTCTCCATGTTTGTCAGCCTGGTCTGGAACTCCGGACCTCAGGTGATACGCCGGCCTCGGCCTCCCAAAATGCTGGGATTACAGGCGTGAGCCACCACACCCAGCTGATTATTCTTTTTTTGACTTACCGAATCTATTATTCTAGAAATTACACTTAAAATTGTAAGTGAAGTGCTTTAATTTTGACAGATTGGGCTGCCTTTGCATGTTTGAGAAAGTATCCCCACATGCATCCACGTTGCCTGATGATAGGTTATAGAAAAAAATGTCTACGTAAGGATGCCGACTGAAATATTTCTTATATCAAAAAATTGGAAACAATAATAATAGGAAGGAGATAAATTATATTACATTTATGTTAGGGAATATTATGTAGGCACTAAAATCTTTAAAAAATATTTGTTTGTTTATTGATTTTTACAGAGGCAAGGTCTTGCTATGATGCCCAGGCTGGTCTTGAAATCCTGGCTGCAAGTGATCCTCCTGCCTTAGCCTCCCAAAGTGCTGGGATTACAGGCATGAGCCATCATGCCCAGCCAATAATTTTTAATAACAGGAGAAATGCACAGGATATAAATGGTTAGTGAAAAAAGCAGGCTACAAAATTGTATATAGTATACATGCCAATTTTATAAAAATGACCGTTATAAAGGTATTTGGTGTATATTGTTAATAATGGTTATCTCAGGATTGTGGAATTTTTTACTGTTCTGTTTTCTTTAACTTTTTTTTTCATTCCAAATTTGCTTTAGGTATGTTATGTTCTTTAGGAAAAAAGCAGCAACAGTTCTTGTTTGTCCCCTTGCAGTAATATCTGGCAATTCTCTTAGTCTCAGTTTTTTTACCATTTGCGAAATGGAGATAATTATACCTGTGTGTAAATGAAATAATGTATGTAAAGTACTTAATACAGCACATAGTAGATGT
Source organism: Homo sapiens (assembly GCF_000001405.40). Taxonomy (NCBI): domain Eukaryota; kingdom Metazoa; phylum Chordata; class Mammalia; order Primates; family Hominidae; genus Homo; species Homo sapiens. The sequence goes on from NC_000014.9 coordinate 67,832,665, forward strand.
GCAACAGATGTTCATTAGCTTCCTGTCCTTGCCTTTTCCTTACTGTTCATGATTCCTGAATCACAGCAATATCTAAGAGGAGCTGATGTTATTTGCTCCATATCCTAGCATAGTGACTGGACAGTGCCCTGGAGCAGGCAAAACTAAACTGAAATGTAAAGCAGACCATTAACAAAGGGAGGTTGTCAAAAGCCCTTAAAAGAATAAAAGGAACATTAGAAAATAAACATCTTTTAAAAATCAGGTAAAATTTTAATATCCCAGAAGATTAATAAAAGTAATTAAAAAAACAATTTTCCTTATAGAGTATTAACTTTTGTAGTTCTAAATACATCAGAATGATCAAAACCAACAAATGAAATCACCAGAATTCTTTGTATAATTTCTTGTGGACAAACACAACACCAAGGATAAGAAAGGAGAATTTCGGGCCAGGTGCAGTGGCTCACACCTGTAATCCCAGCACTTTGGGAGGCCGAAGTGGTCAGGTCACTTGAGGGCAGGAGTTCGAGACCAGCCTGGCCAACATGGCAAAACCCCGTCTCTACTAAAAATACAAAAATTAGCCGGGTCTGGTGGCAGGCACCTGTAATCCCAGTTACTTGGGAGGCTGAGGCAGGAGAATTGCTTGAACCCAGGAAGTGGAGGTTGTAGTGAGCTGAGATCGCATCACTGCACTCCAGCCTGGGTGACAGAGTGAGACTCTGTCTTGAACAAAAAAAAGGAGAATTTCAGAATTGTATTATATTGGAAAAACTTCAGATATGTAGTGTTTCTCCCCTTGTTCACAGGGAATATGTTTCAAGACCCTCAGTGGATGTTTGAAAATTTGGATAGTACTAAACTCTATGTATACTATGTTTTTTGGATCTGATAACTGAGATGATAACTGAGATACTGACTAATGGGCAGGGAGTGTCTACAGTGTGTATACACTTGGCAAAGGGATGATTCACATCCAGGTGGGATGATGTGAGATTTCACCATGCTACTCAGACCTGTGTGCAATTTAAAACTTATGAATTATTTCTGGAATTATCCATTTAATATTTTCAGATCAATGTTGACCAGGGGTAACTGAAACATGGGAAGTGAAACCGTGGATAAGGGGGACTGTTGTACTGTGTACCTGGGTTTAGATATAGTTGCTAGTACCAAAAGTTTTTATCCCCACTACTATTACCTTCTTCTAGCTACCATTATTTTTCTTTGGAATGACTGTAACGTCTTCCTGACAGATCTCCCAGCTTCAAGCTGTTCTTCACAAACTAATCTGAGTATGTCTTTGAAATTATAATTTGTTGTATTAGTTTCCTGTGGCAGTTCTAATACAAATCACACCCTGGGTGGCTTCAGACAACAGAAATTTATTCTCTTACAGTTTTGGAGTTCAGAGGTTCAAAATTAAGGTGTAGGCAGAGCTGCATTCTCTCCAGAGGTTCTAGGGGATTATCCGTTCCTTGCCTCTTTCAGCTTTTGGTGGCCATTAACATTCCTTGGCTTGTGGCTGCTTCTCTCTCTATACCATCTTCACATAACCTTTTCCTGTGTGTATTGAATTCCCTCTGCCTCTCTTATTAGTGTGGGTATTTAGGGTCCATCTGGATAATCCATGATTATCCCTTCATCTCAAGAGCTTTAACTTAATCACATCTGCAAACACCCATTTTGCAAATAAGGTAATATTCACAGACAGGTTCTGGAGATTTGATTTGGATATCCAGGGGTGGGGGTGGGGGGTCATTTCTCAGCCTACCACACCTTCCTTCACACTGTTCTTCACAAACGAACCCAAGTTTGAAATAACTTGTTCATGTCACTCCTTTTTGCATCTTCAACAGAGCTGTTTATGGTTAGGCCCCTGCTTACTTCTCTAGCCTCATTGCTTGCTGTGCTACACCCACACTCCATCTTTCAACCATTCTAAATGAACTGTATATTTACAGTTTGTGTTAGTCCCTGTTTCCTCTCTTGCTTCTTGACCTTTCTTTGTACATTCTGTCCTCTTTGGCAGGAATAGTCAAATTTCCTTTGCTTACCTAACAGCTCTTTCAGATTTTAGCACGGGCATCCAGCAATTCCATTAAGTTTCCAAAATCTGTATCAGTTATACTTTCCCTATTACAATATCTCTTATTAATTGTGTTGTAATTGCCTGGTTTCTAGTCCTAATTTCATAGTCCCTGGTTGACTTCATAAGACTGTGAGGGCAACGTCTCTCTCTTTCTGTTATGTCATATCCCCATAATCTAGCACAGTCCCTGGCACAGAGTAAATATTTGTTGAACAAATAAATAATAGAAGGGAAAAGGATGGATTAGGGTTAAAATTGCTAAAATTTAGAGAATTAAAGTTGGTTTATGTTTTTGAATATATATAGAGGTTGAAAAAAAACTTAATCATTTTCTTGTTTAGGCTTATGGGATAAAAGCACAAAGGTCTGCTGATTTCTCACCAGCATTCTTATCTACTACCCTTTCTGCTTTGGACGAAGCCCTGCATGGTGGTGTGGCTTGTGGATCCCTCACAGAGGTAAAGGAAAAATTTTTCGTACCTTCTTCCATTGACCTATAACCTTCAGAGCTAGGGAAAAAGTTTAGTTAAAAAACATAAATTATTTCTGGAACGGTAATCTGAATTAAATTATAAGTACTTCAAGGATATGGTTCTCCACTCAGTACTTAGTGTGGTTGTTCTGCAAACAGAGGTGTTAAAAACAAAATCCTTGCTGACTGATTAAAATCTACTTAGGTTGCTGTTTCATTGAGTTAACTTAGAAAGTGATAAATATTGCTGGGTGTGTTTATATATGTGTTATATATATAATGCATACATATATGTTATATATACATACATGCATACATACATTTATATGTACACACGTCACATATATGTAATATATACACATATGTCATATATGTAATATGTATGCACATAAATAACATTATATATTTTATATATATGATTATATCATGCCTGTAATCCCAGCACTTTGAGCAACAAGGCAAGACCCTGTCTTTACCAAAAAAAAAATAAAAAAAACCCAGAAACCATTTAGCCATATGTGGTGGTGCATGCTTATGGTCCTAGCTACTCAGGAGGCTGACCTTGAGCCAGGGAGGTCAAGGCTAGAGTGAGCCATGGTCACACCACTGCATTCCAGCCTGGGTGACAGAGCAAGACCCTGTCTCAAAAAAAAGAAAGTGGTAAATATTATGAAATAATATTATGAAACAATTGGGGGAATTAAAAAAGGATCACTCCTTATAAATTAGGAAGGACAATTTGAAATTTTATTAACATATGGAAAAATTATAGTATTAAACTAAAGTGAGCTGTTTTTACTTTCTGTTATAGATAAAATTTCTTTTAGGAAGTGATAGGTTATTGGATTAGTTAATACTGTTGGATAACAAATTATCCCAAAACTAAGTGGCTTAAAACAATAAACTTTGGTTATTTCTTAGTTTCTTTGTGAGTGGCTTAGCTCAGCATTGTTGGTGAGGGATGCAGTCATCTGAAGCTTGGTAGGGGCTGTAGGATCTGTTTCTGAGGGGCCCACTTACATGACTGGCAAATGGGTGCTGGTGGTTGGCAGGAGGCCACAGTGCCTCACCAGGTAGGCTCTCCACAGGCTTCTTGAGTCTTATGACATGATGGCTGACTTCCCCCAGGTGAGTGGTCTTGAAGAAGGCAAGATGGAAGTGGTGATATCTTTGGCAACCTAGCTTTGGAAGTTACACACCACTACTTCTGCCACTTTTCGTCATTAGAAGTGAGTCATTAAGTCAAGCCTACATTTAAGGAAAGGGAAATTAGCCTCTTTTTTTTTTTTTTTTGAGACAGAGTCTTGCTCTGTTGCCCAGGCTGAAGTGCAGTGGCACAATCTTGGCTTACTGCAACCTCTGCCTCCCAGGTTCAAGTGAGTAGCTGGGATTGCAGGCATGTATCACCATGCCTGGCTAATTTTTTGTATTTTTACTAGAGATGGGGTTTCACCATGTTGTCCAGGCTGGTCTCAAACTCCTGGCCTCAGGTGATCCACCCACCTGGGCCTCCCAAAGTGCTGGGATTACAGGTGTGAGCCACTACACCTGGCCAACCTTTTGGAGGAAGAAGTGTCAGGAATTTGAGGACATTTTAAAACCACTGCAGTTATTTTCCTTGAAAACTGCTTACAATGTGGTGACTTCATAGACAATGTTTATCAATACACTCCTGAGGACTTCTTGCTTGAAAGTTCTAGGGGCATAAATACTTTCAGGAAACTTCTAAACAAGAACAGATTATTTTCTTACATTCTGATAGTCATAATTTAACTGTGGATTTTTTTTCCTTGGAGATAGGGACCCTGTTTTAGATACTATATTTTATTTCCTGTCTTCCAAGAGAGATTTAAAGATTTATATGAGCAACACCTAGCAGATGCCTATTAAATAGTTGGTAAATAAATGCGTGAATTAGTTATTAATAAAAATGCACACACACACATACACACACACACACGCACACACACACACATCCTCTTCTTTTGGAATATACTGCCACCAGGTGGTGCCAGAATCACATGATTTTACATAAACTTTTTGGGCTGAAGTTCCACTTGCTTAAACAAGGTTTATTACAGTGTGATCCACAGTCATAAACTTACTTATTTAAATAGCAAAAACATTGAACTTAAGGAAGATTAACTGGGAAATTCTTTTTACTTTTTAAGTTTTAGAATAATTTTTAATACTTTTTCACTTAGCTTTTATTAATTATTTTTTAAAATCCAAACAGAAGTTACAAGCCTTTTAGGTGTTTTGTTGTTATCTAATTGGCTGACTTGGAATAGGAATATAAATACTTTGACTCCTTAGTAGGGGCAAATTCTCTCCTTTCTGTTCTAGCTACAGGTAGCTTCTTCAATCTTTTTTGTTTTTTGTTTTTCAACTGAGTACAGGGAGTATATCAAATTATCCTCAAACAGAGTTTTTTTTGCTTTTATTACAATTTTTAATTGATACAATAATTGTATATATTTATGGGGTACAGTGTGATATTCTGATATGTGTGTGCAATGTATAATGATCAAATCAGGTAATTGGCATATCCATCACTTCAAGCATTTATCATTTTTTGTGTGTGTTCGGAACATCCAAAAGCCCCTCTTCTAGCTATTTGAAAATATATAATAAATTGTTGTAAATTATAGTTTACCTAAGGTGCTATAGAAAACTAAGACTTATTCCTCCTGTCTTGCTATAATTTTGTAACTGCTAACCAACCTTTGGCTGTCTCCCTCTAACCATCTCAGCCTCTAATAACCACTATTCTACTCTCCACTTCTATGAGATCAATTTTTTTAGCTTCTACATGTGAGTGAGAACATGCAAGGTTTGTCTTTCTGTGTCTGACATTTTACTCAACATAATGACCTTGAGTTCCATCCATGTTGTTAGAGATGACAGAATCTCATTCTTTTTTATGGCTGAAATAGTACTCCATTGCATGTATGTACCACATATTTATCCATTTGTCTGCTGATGGACACTTAGGTTGATTCCATCTCTTGGGTACTGTGAATAGTGCTGCAATAAAAATGGGAGCGTAGATTGACATACTGATTTCATACTGTGTATCATACATGCGCATGCACATACACACATGTGGAGGTAAGAGAGAGCTAGCAAAACGATAAAGTAAATTGGGCAAAATGTTAACGGTGGGTGGATGTGGGAAAAGAATGCATATATATATTCTGTATTGTTTTTATTTATTTTTAATTTATTTTTATTTTAAATTAAAAAAAAAGATACATGGTCTAGCTGTGTCACCTAGGCTGGAGTGCAGTGGCACAACCATAGCTCACTGCAGCTTCAAACTCCTGGGCTGAAATGATCCTCCTTCCTCAGCCTCCCAAGTAGCTAGGACTACAGGTGTGCACCACCATGCCTGGCTAATTTTTTAAAATGTTTTGTAGAGATGAGGGCTTGCTATGTTGCCCAGACTGGTCTTGAACTCCTGACCTCAAGTGATCCTTTCTGCCCTGGCCTCCCAACGTGTTGGGATTACAGGTGTGAGCTACTGCGCCTGGCCTTCTGTTTTTATTAATACCATTTTCCTGTAAGTTTAAAATTATTTCTAGATAAAAAAGTAAAAAAAAAAAAACCTGTGATGTTTGCTGTAAGTAGATATCCTTGATCAGAAATAAAGAACTTTCCTCCATTTCCTAGCTAAAATACTAATTTGGTGTTACATTTTATCAAAAACTTTTTTTTCTGCATTGATTGAAATGATTGTATTATTTTTCATCTTTGGTCTAATAGCATGGTGAGAAACATTTAATAGATTTTTCTGATGTTAAACTACTATTGCATTTTTGGGACAAGTTCAACTTGGTCATGATATATTATCTTTTTTTATAAACTGTTGGATTCAGTTTGCTAATATTTAAGATTTTTCAATATTTAGGATGGATATTCAGCTGTAATTTTCCTTTTAGTAGTGTCTTTGTCTGAATTAGTATTTATCTTATACTAGTTTGGTAGAATGGATTATGGAATATCTCTTTTTTTAATATTCTGCAATAGTTTGCCTATGATGGGAATTATTTGTTCCTTGAAGATTTGGTAGAACTTGTCTGAAAAATTGTCTGATCTTGATATTTTTCCTTCTGAGAAGATTTTTTAAAAATTCAATTCCTTTAATGATTATAGGACTACTCAGATTTTCTATTTCTTCTTGATTAGTTACAGTGAATGAGATTTTTAGGAATTTGTCCATTTTCTTTATGTTTTCAAATTTATTATAATAAAGTTATTCATTACAATCTTCCAGCTCTTAAATCTGGTTTTACATGTGGTTTTTGTCCCCCTTTCCATTTCTGATATTACTTACTTTGTTTTATTTCTCCCTCTCTTTTAAAAAAAATCTTGTCAGAAGTTTGAGTATGTATGTCATCATTTTAAAGAACTCTGCATTTTGTTGTTCTTTGTTGGTCTTCTCTATTATTTCTTCATCTTCTACCTCCTTTATTTCTGCCATTTTCTTATTATCTCCTTTTATTTAATTTTTTTGTGGGGTTATTCTTTGCTTCTAACTTCTTAAATTAGATATTTAATCTATTAATTTTCAGTTTTTCTTTTTACTCTGACCTTTTAAGACTGAATTTTTCTTGAAGCATTCTATTTTGAGATATAGTATTTCCATTTTCATTCTGTTCTAGAAGTATTTAAACATTCCCATCACAATTGCTTCTTTGACTCATGTATCATTTGGAATTTTAAAATATCTAAATTACTTAATTAAAAAAATTTATTTTAATTACATTATTAATCTAATTGCATTTTTGTCAGATAACTTTGCATGATATTGATTTTTTGAAGTTCCCTGAGACATCTTTTAAGGTTAAATATGTGATGAACTTTGATAAATGTTGCACGTGTGCTTGAAAAGAATGATTATTCTCTAATAATTGGGTGCCCTATTTTATTTTAGGTTCAGGGGGTATATGTACAGGTTTGTTACATTGGTATATTGCGTGATGCTGAGGTTTGGGGTACGATTTATACCATCTCTCAGCTACTGAACATAGTCCCCAATAAGTAGTTTTTTTAGCCTTTTTCCCTGCTCCCTTCTTCCTCCTTCTAATAATCTCCAGTGTTGATTGTTCCCATCTTTGTGTCCATGTATACCCAATGTTTAGCTCCCACTTATAAGTGAGAACATGCAGTCTTTGGTTTTCTGTTCCTGTGTTAATTCACTTAGGATAATGACCAAGAGCTGCATCCATGTTGCTGCAAAGGACATGATTTTGTTCTTTTTATGGCTGTGTAGTAGTCCATGGTATATATTTACCACATTTTCTTTATCTACTCTACCATGGATGGGCACTTAGGTTGATTCCATGTCTTTGCTATTGTGGATACTGTGGCAGTGAACATACGAGTGCATATGTCTTTTTGGTAGAGTGATTTATTTTCCTTTGGGTATATATCCAGCAATGAGATTGCTGGCTCAAATGGTAGCTCTGTTTTAAGTTCTTTGGGAGATCTCCAAACTCCTTTGCACAGTGATTGAACTAATTTATATTTCCACCTACAGTGTATAAGCATTCCATTTTCTCTGCACCCTTTCCAGCATCTATTATTTTTTGACTTTTTTTTTTTTTTTGGGACAGAGTCTCATTCTGTTGCCCAGCCCGGAGGGCAGTGGCACTTTTGGCTCACTGCAACCTCTGCCTCCCAGGTTCAAGTGATTCTCGTGCCTCAGCCTCCTGAGTAGCTGGGATTACAGGTGTGTGCTACCATGCCCAGCTAATTTTATTTTTTAGTAGAGATGGGGTTTCACCATGTTGGCCAGGCTGGTCTCAAACTCCTGGCCTCAAGTGATCCGCCCACCTCAGCCTCCCAAATTGCTGAGATTATAGGCATGAGCCACTGTGCCTGGCCATTTTGACTTCTTAATAATAGCCATTCTGGCTGGTGTGAGATGGTATCTCATTGTGGTTTTGATTTGCATTTCTCTAATGATTAGGGATGTTGAGCATTTTATATTTGATGGCCACATGTATGTCTTCTTTTGAGAAGTGTCTGTTCATGTCCTTTACCCACTTTTAATGGGGTCATTTTTTGCTTGTTGATTTGTTTAAGTTCCTTATAGAATCTGGATATTAGACCTTTGTCACATGCCTAGTTTGTGAATATTTTCTCCTATTCTGTAGGGCGTCCATTTATTCTGTTGATAGTTTCTTTTGCTGTGCAGAAGCTCTTTAGTTAGGTACCACTTGTCAATTTTTGTTTTTGTTACAATATTTTTGAGGTCTTAGCCATTAGTTCTTTGCCAAGGCTGATGTCCAGAATGGATTTTCCTTGGTTTTCTTCTAGGATTTTTATGGGTTGGGTCTTAGATTTAAATTGTTGATCCATCTTGAGTTAATTTTTGTAAATGGTAAAAGGTAGGGGTCCAGTTTAATTATTCTGCATATGGCTAGCTGGTAATCTCAGCAGCATTTATTGAATAGGAAGTCCTTTCCCCATTTTTTTATTTTCGTTGACTTTGTCAAAGATCAGAGGTTGTAAGTGTGTGGTTTCATTTCTGGGTTCTCTATTCTGTTCCATTGATCACTATGTCTGTTTTTGTACCAGTACCATGCCGTTTTGGTTGCTATAGTTTGAAGTCAGGTAGTGTGATGCCTCTAGCTTTGTTCTCTTTGCTTAGGATTCCCTTGGCTTTTCAGACTCTTAACTTCCCATATGAATGTTAGAATAGTTTTTTCTAATTCTGTGAAAAATGACATTGGTAATTTGAATCTGTACATTGCTTTGGGAAATATGCCATTTTAACGGTATTGATTCTTCAAATCCATGAGTATGGAATGTTTTTTCATTTGTTTGTATCATCTATGATTTCTTGTAGCAGTGTTTTGTAGTTCTCCTTCCAAAGATCGTTCACCTCCTTGGTTAGATGTATTCCTAGATATTTTATTTTTTTTGTGTAGCTATTGTAAATGGGATTGTATTCTTGACTTGGCTCTCAGCTGGAATGTTATTGGTGTATAGAAAAGCTACTGATTTTTGTGCATTGATTTTGTAGCCTTCAACTTTACTAAAGTCATTTATCAGTTCTGGGAGCCTTTTGGAGCAGCAGTCTTTAGGGTTTTCTAGGTATAGAATCATATTGTCAGTGAAGAGAGATGATTTTGCTTTTTCTTTTCTATTTTGATGCCTTTTATTTCTTTCCCTTTTTGAGATGGAGTCTCACTCTGTCGCCTAGGCTGGAGTGCAGTGGCACAATCTTGGTTCACTGCAACCTCACCTCCTCACCTTCTCTTGCCTCAGCCTTTCAAGTAGCTGGGACTATAGGCGTGCACTACCACTCCCAGCTAATTTTTATATTTTTAGTAGAGATGGGGTTTCACCATATTGGCCAAGCTGGTCTTGAACTCCTGACCTCAAGTGATCTGCCTGTCTAGGCCTCCCAAAATTCTGGGATTACAGGCATGTGCCACCGTGCCCAGCCTTATTTCTTTCTCTTGCCTGATTGCTCTGGCTAGGACTTCCTGTACTATGTTGAATAGGAGTGGTGAGACTGGGCATCCTTATCTTGTTCTAGTTCTCCCAAATTTTGCCTGTTTAGAATGATGTTGGCTGTGGGTTTGTCATAAATGGGTCTTAGTATTTTGAGGTATGTTCATTTCGATGCCTAGTCTGTTGAGGGTTTTTATCATGAAGGGGTGTTGGATTATGTTGACAGCTTTTTCTGTGTCTATGGAGATGATCATATGGTTTTTACTTTAAATCTGTTTATGTTGTGAATAACATTTATTGATTTACATATGTTGAACTAGCCCTGCGTCTCAGGAATAAAGCTTACTTAATCATGATGTATTAACTTTTTGATGTGTTGCTGGATTCAGTTTGCTCATATTTTCTTGCAGATTTTTGCATCCATGTTCATCAGGGATATTGACCTGATGCTTTCTTTTTTTTTTTCTTTTTTTAAAATTTTATTATTATTATACTTTAAGTTTTAGGGTACATGTGCACAACATGCAGGTTTGTTACATATGTATACATGTGCCATGTTGGTGTGCTGCACCAACTGGTCATTTTGCATTAGGTATATCTCCTAATGCTGTCCCTCCCCCCCTCCCCCACAATGCTGTCTTTTACATTGTGTCTCTGCCAGATTTTGGTGTCAGGCTGATACTGGTCTTATAGAATGAGTTATTGAGGAGTCCCTCTTCCTCAGTTTTTTGGAACATTGTCAGTAGGAATGGTATAAGTGCTTCTTTGTACATCTGGTAGAATTAGGCCGTGAACATGTCTGGTCCTGGGATTTTTCTGCTTGGTAGGCTTTTTGTTACTTAATTCAATTTCGGACCTCATTATTGGTCTGTTCATTAGTTTAATTTCTTTCTGGTTCAATTTTGGGAGGTTGCATGTTTCCAGGAATTTATGCATTTCTTCTAGGTTTTCTAGTTAGTGTACATAGAGGCGTTTGTAGTAGTTCTCTGAGGGTTTTTTGTATTTCTGTGGGGTCGATGGAATATCACCTTTGTCATTTCTGATTGTTTATTTGGATCTTTTTTTTTCTTATTAGTCTAGCTAGCAGTTTATCTTATATATTCTTTCAAGGAACAAACTCCTTGATTCTTTGATCTTTTTAATTATTTTTTTTTTTGCATCTCAATTTTGTTCAGTTCAGCTCTGATTTTGGTTATTTCTTATCTTCTGCTAGCTTTGGGGTTGGTTTGCTCTTGCTTCTCTGTTTCCTCTAGGTTAGATGTTAGGTTATTTACTTGAGAACTTCTGAACTTTCTGATATGGGCTTTTAACAGTATAAACTTTCCTCTTAACACTGTTGTAGCTGTGTCCCAGAGATTCTGGTATGTTGTATCTTTATTCTCATTAGTTTCAAAGAATTTCTTGATTTCTGCCTTAATTTCATTGTTTACCCAAAAGTCACTCAGGAGCAGGTTGTTTATTTCCATGTAATTGTATGGTTTTAAGTGATTTTCTTAGTATTGATTTCTATTTTTATTGTGTTATGGTCCAAGAGTGTGATTGGTATGATTGCAGTTTTTTTTTTTAATTTGTTGACTATTGTTTTATGGTTGATTGTGTGGTCAGTGTTAGAACATGTACCCTGTACAGATGAAAATAATGTATATTCTGCTGTTTTTGGGTGGGGAGTTCTGTAGATGTCTATTAGGTTCATTTGGTCAAGTGTTGAGTTCAGGTCTTGAATTTATTAGTTTTCTGTCTTAATGATCTGTCTTATAATGTCAGTGGGGTGTTGAAGTCTCACACTATTATTATGCAGTCTCTTCATAAGTCTTTAAGAACTTGCTTTATGAACCTGGGTGCTCCTATGTTTGCTGCATATATAGGATAATTAGGTCTTTTTGTTGAATTGAATGCTTTACCATTATGTAGTGCCCTTGTCTTTTATATATATATTATATATATATATTTTTTTTATTATAGTTTAAGTTCTAGGGTACATGTGCACAGCGTGCAGGTTTGTTACATATGTATACATGTGCCATGTTGGTGTGCTGCACCCATTAACTCGTCATTTACATTAGGTATATCTACTAATGCTATCCTTCCCCGCTCCCCCCACCCCACAACAGGCCCCAGTGTGTGATGTTCCCCTTCAAAAATGATGAGTTCATGTCCTTTGTAGGGACGTGGATGAAGCTGGAAACCATTTTTGTCTTTTTTTATCTTTAGTGGTTTAAAGTCGGCTTTGTCTGTTATAATAGCAACCCCTACTTTTTTCTATTTTCTGTTTGCTTGGTAGATTTTTCTCTATCCCTTTATTTTGAGCTTATGGGTGTCATTGCATGTGAGGTGGGTCTCTTGAAGATGGCACACCATTGGGTCTTGACTCTTTGTCCAACTTGCCACTCTGTGCCTTATAATTGGGGCATTTAGCTTGTTTACATTCAACGTTAATATTGACATGTGGATTTGATATTGTCATCATGTTGTTAGCCGGTTATTATGCAGACTTGTTTGTGTTGTTGCTTTATAGTGGCAATGGTCTATGTACTTAAGTGTGTTTTTGTAGTGGCTGGTGATGGTCTTTCCTTTTTATATTTAACACTCCCTTCAGGACCTCTCGTAAGGCAGGTCTAATGGTAACAAATTCCCTTAGCATTTGTTTGTCTGAAAAGGATCTTATTTCTCCTTTGCTTAGTTTGGCTGCATATGAAATTCTTGGTTGGGGCTGGGTGTGGTGGCTCACGCCTGTAATCCTAGCACTTTGGGAGGCTGAGGCAGGTGGATTGCTTGAGCCCAGGAGTTTGAGACCAGCCGGGGCAATATGATGAAACCCTGTCTCTACAAAAAATGCTAAAATTAGCCGGGTGTGGTGGCATGTGCCTGTAGTCCCAGCTACTCAGGAGGCTGAGGTGGGAGGACTGCTTGGGCCCAGGAGGTCATTGCTGCAGTGAGCCATGATCATGCCACTGCACTCCAGCCTGGGTGACAGAGTGAAACCCTGTCACATATACACACACACAAAAAAACACACACACGAAATTCATGATTGGAATTTCTTTACCTTAAGAATGTTGAATATAGTCCTCCAATCTCTTCCAGCTTGCAGAGTTTCTGCTGAAAGGTTCACTGTTCGCCTGATGGAGTTTCTTTTGTAGGTGACTTGCCCCTTCCCTCTAGCTGCCTTTAACATTTTTTTCCTTCATTTTGACTTTGATGAATCTGATGACTGTGTCCTGGGGATGATCATTTTGGATAGTATCTCACAGAAGTTCTCTGCATTTCTTGAATTTGAATTCAGGCCCCCAGCTTTGTTCTCTGGGCCCTTCAGGTTAGGAACCTTCTGTGCTGGAGGAGCCCAGGTGTTCTTGGATCTCTGGCCACAACACTGATGTGTGGTGCCAGCCAAATTGCGTTGTTGGGGTGGTGGCAGTGGGATCTGTGCTTGTTCACATGTACCAACAGCAGCTGCGTTATGGTGGGATGCACACTCCATGGCTTGGATGGGGTGCTGGTGGGTGCGGCGCTGCCAGCCTCTGTGTGCATATTCATACTGGTGGTGGTGTTGGCGCATGGGGTAGTGCGGTGCTGGCAGGTACAGGGCTGCCAGTCTCCATGTGTGTGTTCGTGCTGGTGGCAGTGTGGGGGGTGGCGTGTGGGTTGCTGTCCTCCGTATGCGCGTTTGCAGTGGCAATGGCCACGCAGTGGTGGGGTTACACTCTACACCACAGCTGTGGCATAGTGGGATGCATATGCACATGGGTGCCAGCGATGGAGGGGAGGTGAGGTCTACCCACACGTGTGCCAGCAAAACGGTAGGGCAGGTGGGGGCGTGGCCGAGTGCATGTTCCTGCTGGCAAAGCAGCACAGAGGAGGCTGCAGTCAGTGGTGGTCTGGTGTGCCTCAGTGGAGGCTGCTCTACTGGAGCTCTTGATGGTCAGCATTATCTGCCAGTGAAGGAGCTATGATGTAGGCCCCCTGGAGGCACCTCAGTTGGGCATCCGAGGGTACACTGCAAGTGTGCTCCACCAGGTTGGGACCCTGGGAGAGGCCAGCAGACAAGGGGTGCTTTGATTGGACTGGCTCCATTTCACATGCAAGACCACCATGATCTGTTCAGATTTGACAGTTCTCCTAAGGCTAAAGTCTCCTAGGAGAGCATGGTGAGCCTTGGGAGATGGACAACCCTGGTTGTGCTCCACTGCAGACATTACTGCACCAAACCCTCTGGGTTCCACACTGCATTCCTACCCCTACCACCTCTCTAAGCACCTCTCCCAGCCAGCTCAGGTGTCCACACCCTGGGGTCGTGGGGTCTCCTGCTGCTAGGATTTCAGAGGTCTGTGGTGAGAGGGGTTTGTTTTTCACCTCTTCAACTCACCCCTTCCTCAGGAGTCCTTGAGGGCCAGAAGTAAGTCTTGGTGTGTGATAGCCCAATGCAGGGTTCCCAGTTTCTTCTTTCTTCAGCCCAGCATCTATATCCTCCCTCCATCCATTCTCATTGCCTTCCCTCCAAAGATCTCAGAATGTGCCAGTCTTCCCAAAGTCCCAGTCACTTGGTGGCATGTGTTCCTCCTGGCTGCGTCTAGTTGGCCATCTTGCCCCAGGGTCTTCTCTCTAATTTTAGGCATTTATTTTCTTCTGCTAGTTTTGGGGTTGGTTTGTTCTTTTTTTTTTTTTTTTTTTTTTCTAATTCCATTAGGTGCAAAGTTAAATTGTTAATTTGAAATCTTTCTAACCTCTTGATGAAGAAATTTAGTGTTATAAACTTTCCTCTTAATACTGCTTTAGCTGCCTCCCAGAGATTTTGGGAAGTTGTGTTCCTATTTTCATTAATATCAAATAATTTTTTGACTTCCGCCTTAATTTCTTGTTCACCCAGGAGTTATTCAGGAGCAAGTTGTGTCCTTTCTATATTTGCGTAGTTTTGAGAGATCTTCTTGATATTCATTTTAATTTTTTTGGCACTGTGGTCTGATAGTGTGCTTGATGTGATTTCGATTTTTAAAAAAATTTATTGACACTTACTTTATGACCAAACATGTGGTTGCTCTTAGAGTATGTTTCTTGTACAGTTGAGAAGAATGTATATTCTGTGGTTGGTGTGTGGATCGTTCTATAGATATCTGTTAGGTTTAATTGGTCAAGTGTCAAGTTTAAGTCCAGAGTTTCTTTGTTATTTTTCTGCCTTGATGATCTTTCTGTCACTGTCAGTGGGGTGTTGAAGCCCCCCCCCATTTTTGTGTGGTTGTCTAAGTCTTTTTATCAGTCAAGAAGAACTTGTTTTATGAATCTGGGTGCTCCAATGTTTGATGGGTATATATTTAGGATAGTTAAATCTTCCTGTTGGATTGTACACTTTTTTGTTGTTGTTGTTAAGATGGAGTCTCAGTCTGTCACCAGGCTGGAGTGCAGTGGCACGATCTCTGCTCACTCCAAACTCCGACTCCTTGGTTCAAGTGATTCTTCTGCCTCAGCCTCCCGAGTAGCTGGGATTACAGGCACGTGCCACCACAACCCAACTAATTTTTGTATTTTTAGTAGAGATGGGGTTTCACCATGTCGGCCAGGATGGTCTCAATCTCCTGACCTCATGATCTCCCTGCTTTGGCCTCCCAAAGTGCTGGGATTACAGGCGTGAGCCACCACGCCTGGCTGGATTGTACCCTTTATCACTGTGTAATACCCTTCTACGTCTTTCTTAGTCGTTATGGTTTAAAGTCTGTTTTATCTGGTATAAGAATAGTGACTTCTGCTTGTTTTCCATTTGCCTGCTAGCTCTTTCTTCATCCCTTTTTACTTTGAGCCTGTGGGATTACATGTGAGATGGGTCTCTTGAAGACAGCAGATGGTTGAGTCTTGTCTTTTTTTTTCTAGCTTACCATTCTGTGTCTTTTAAGTGGGGTGTTTAGAACACTTAACATTGAAGTTTAGTAATGACATATGAGACTTTGATCCTGTCATTGTGTTGTTGGCTGGTTGTTATGTAGACTTGATTGCGTAGTTACTTTATAGTGTCTGTGGGCTATGTACTTAAGTGTGTTTTTGTGGTAGCAGGTGTCGTTCTTACCATTCCATGTTTAGCATTTCCTGAAGGACCTCTTATAAGGCTGTTCTAGTTGAAACAAATTCCCTCAGTGTTTTCTTGTCTGAGAAGACGAGATAAATTTATTTATTTTTCACTTATGAAGCTTAGTTTGTGGGATATGAAATTATTTGTTGGTATTTCTTTTCTACACTGAAAATAGGTCCCCACTCTCTTCTGGCTTGCAGTTTCTGCTGAGATGTCTGGTGCTAGCCTGATGGGGTTCCTTCTGTCCATGCATTACCATTCTCTCTTGCTTCCTTCAAGACTTTTTTCTTTTGCATTGACCTCGTTGAATGTCTGTGTGCCTTTGGGATGGCCATTATGTTGTCTGGATTTCTTGTACCTGGATATCTACATCTCTAGCAATATTAGGGAAATTTTCTTGAATTATTCCATCAAGTATGTTTTCCAGGTTGTCAACTTTTTCTCCTCTCTCAGGAATGCCAGTAATTCATAGGTTTGGTTGCTTTACGTAATCCCACACTTCTCAAAGACTTTGTTCATTTTATAAAATTCTTTATTCTTTCTTTCTTTTTTTTTCTTTTTCCTTTGAGATGGAGTTTTGCTCTTGTTGCCCCAGCTGGAGTGCAATGGCGCAAACTCGACTCACTGCAACCTTCACCTCCCGGGTTCAAGCAATTCTCCTGCCTCAGCCTCCCAAGTAGCTGGGATTACAGGCATGCGCCACCACACCCAGCTAATTTTATATTATTTTAGTAGAGATGGGTTTTCACCATGTTGGTCAGGCTGATCTCAAACTCCTGATCTCAGGTGATCCTCCCACCTCAGCCTCCCAAAGCACTGGGATTACAGGCGTGAGCCACTGCACCTGGCCTAAAATTGTTTTTTCTTGACTTTTGTCTATATGTGTTAGTTTGAAATATCAGTTGTAATTATTTTTTTCTGCTTGGTCTAGTCTGTTGATAAAATTTTCAACAGCTTGGCAATCATAAAGTGAAGTTTTCAGTTCCAGAAGCTCTAATTGATTCCTTTTTAAGATGTTTATCTCCTTTTTCATTTCCTGGATTGTTTTATTAGATTCTTTGTGTTGATTTTCAGTCTTTTCTTTTATATCTTTGAGTTTCTTCCAATCCATGCTTTGAATTATTTATCTGACATTTCTGAGTTTCCATTTTGGTTGGGGACCTTTCCTAGAGAGCTACTGTGATTCTTTGGTGGTGTTACAAAAATTGGATTTTTCTGGTGCCAGCATTCTTATGTTGCTTCCTTCTCATTTGTAGGTGTTGGCACTTCTAAATTTTTGTTTTTTGAGACAGGTTCTCACTCTTTTGCACAGGCTGAAGTACAGTGAATCATGTCCCACTGTAGCCTCGACCTCCCAGGCTGAAGCAATCCTCCCACCTCAGCCTTCCAAGTAGCTGGGACTATAGGCGTGTGCCATCATGCCTGGCTAATTTTTTAATTATTTGTATAGACAGTGTCCCACCGTCGTCTTGAACTCCTGGGCTCAAGCAATCCTCCTGCTTTGGCCTCCAGGGTTGGAGTGCTGGGATGGATTACAGACATGAGTCACCGTGCCTGGCTGGCACTTCAAATTTTTGTAGATATTTTCATGCAGGTAGGGTTTTCTTTCCCTTTCTTTTCTTGTATTATTATTGTTTTTTCCCCCTTTCCTTCCCCCACTCACTAAAGGGTGTGACTTAAGAGTATGTCGAGTAGGGTCTTTTGTCTTTGTTTCCATGGCCTTCTGTTCTGGCAGCAGGTTGTATATTGGGCTGTGGAGTTCAACCTACGGGCCAGTAGATGATGCTTACGGGTGAGAGTCAGCTGTGGTGGAAGCAGACAGTTATGTACTTGGTATTTGTTTACTGTGAAGAACTCTCTGTTGTTCCAGGTGATAGGCTAGACTGTGGAGGGCTGCATACCATGTACTTCCTATTTTACGGGAGTGCTGGGGACATAGCTGGGTAGAGTGGATAACCTGGCTTGTCCACAAATACCCCTATGTCAAATGTAGAAGTGTAGTCCCCAACCCTGATGAGGGTGGCTAGGAAAAGCTCCCAGTGAATTGTGCCACAGTCTCTGTGGGGGTTTGGGGTGCTACACAAGCCCCTTCTAGATAGACTGGAATGTAGATTGTTGCCCAGTCACACCCTTGTTCTAGAGCTCTTGACTCCTGGATCAGACACACACTGCAGCCTATCTCCAGACCACCATGTGGTTGAGAGCCTTAGGAAATGTCTAATTTTTGACTCTCCAGGGGAGTGGTTTTTGGGGCAGAACTTCATCACTTAGCTTAATATAGGTAGCTGTGTGGCTCCTCTGCTCTCCAATGTGATGACTCTTCTTCATTTAAGAGCGGGGTTGGGGGACTCCTTCTTTGGGCCTCTGCAGGGGTGTGTTGGTTTTGGTGGTGTTGGCTGGTTGCGTCGGTTCAACCTCAGGCAATGGGAGATGTGGTAAAGTACTAGCAAAATTGGAATAGGGTAGGGAGATCTGTAAGTCCCTAGTTAGTCCCTAGATGGCTGGCTGGACTTCCTCTATGAGTCTTGATGGGGCTGGATTGTTGGGGAGCCTCAGGTCCTGGCTGTGATGGGAAGGGGTGAGGGCTGATATCTGGGTGAGGGGCTAAACTCTCAGGCAGGGCACTTAGGCGGTGGGAGCCCTAGGGAAGATCACAGGTCTATGGGGGTAAGGTTTTCGACAGGGCTTTGGGCCATGACTGAAATGCTCATGTAGGGGTCGGCTATGTGCAGTAGAAGCCAGAAGGCAGCAGTCCTGGTTGGGGAGTGGGCAGTGGAGGAAGGGGGTCATGTGGAAAGCATTCTGGCCACCTCTCTGAAGGGTAGCTGCTGGCACTGGAGTTTCTCTCCCCAGCCTGGGGGCAGCAGGGGTGGCCACGGCAGAGGACCTGTTCAGTTGCCTTTGGGAGTGATGGTGATGGGGGGTGTACCTGGGAAGAGGGAATGGGGAGCAGGTTGGGTACTCCTCTCTGCTGATGGAGGTGCTTGAAAGCACCTTTGTTCCCTCCCTAGCCTAGAAGTAGCAAGGATGGGTACTGCAGCAGCTGCAGTGGCAGAGGGCCTGTCAGTTGCCTTTGGAAGCTCCACCCTAGAGAAACAGAGCTGCTACTCACTGAAGTGATTATGTGGGGGTAGGGGTGCCTGTGCTGGCGGCCCAAGTCAGGAGGCCCTGCCCTGTAAGGAGCAGCAGGGGCTGGGCCTCTGAGAGCAAAGAGTCTGGCCACCTTTCCTGAAGGCAGCTGCATCCTGCTGGAGGTCTACTTACTCTCAAGGCAGCTGCATCCTGCTGGAGGTCTACTTACTCTCAGGCTCTTCACTCCCTCCCCAGCCTGAGAGCAGCAGGAGCAAGGACCTGACAGAGGCAGTTGCAGTGGGCCTGTCAGTTACCTCCGGGAGCTCTGACCCAGTGAAATACAGAGCCAGAGCCGTGACCGACTGACCAGAGTGCTCAGTTGGTGGTGGAGTGGGCGTGCTGGGGGCCCAGGCCAGTGGCCTTGCCTGGCAAGGAACAGCAGAGGCAGGGCCTGCAGTCTGACTGCTCCTAAACTCCATGGATATGGCTTCTATCCTAGAGCTACGCGAAAAAACCTGGCCTCCCTTGGTGGGACTATAACAGCTGGCACCAGGGAACTCGGGGATCCAAGGTTGGTGGGGATCCCCGACTCCATGTGGGGTTGAGCTTCCAAGAAGTCTTCCTTACATGGCTTATATGGCTGGGAAGTTGGTCCTGGCTGTTGGCAGTTCTTTGCGATGTGAACCTTTCCATAGGACTGCTTGAGTGTCTTCATGACACAACAGCTGACTTTCTGCAGAGTATGTGATCCAAGAGTACAGGGTAGAAATGACAATTTCTTTTTAAGACAAAGCCTTGGAAGTTACATACCATCATTTCTGCAGTATTCTATTAGTCACAGACAAACCTGATACAATGTGGGAGGAGACTACAGAAAGGCATGGATAACAAAGGTGAGCATCATTGAGTCTTAGAGGCCGCCTACCACTGATATATGCATGTGTGTAAACATATGTACGCATGCATGTGTGTATGTGTATAATTAAAAAAAAAACTTTATGACCATTCTGTTCTCAGAAATGTTGTAGTAGGCAGAATTTCTTAAATGGCCTCTCAAAGATGTTCTGCCCTAATCCCTGGAACCTTTGAATATGATGAGATGTCACTCCCATGATTATTATATGTTATATGGTATAGTTGACTTTAAGATGGGGAGATTATTTGGATCTAATCATATGAGCCCTTAGAAGTAGTGAGCTTTCTCTGGCTGTTAAAAAGGGGAAGGAAGAAAAGCTTAAAACCCAAGAAGGACTCAGGATGCCATTGCTGCCTTGAAGGTGGAGGGGCCATGATTAAAGGAATGTAGGCAGCCTCTAGAAGCAGTGAGTGGCCCTGAGATAAGAGCAAGAAAGGAACCTCAGACCTAGAGCTGCAGAGAAATAGATTTTTGCCAACAGCTTGAATGAACTTGGAAGTTGATTCTTACTCCCAACCTCCAGATAAGAGTCCAGCTCAGCTGAGATCTTGATTTCAACCTTGTAAGACCTTAAGCAGAGAACCTAGCCAACCCTATCTGGACTTCTGACCTGATTGTCTCTGATTTATCCTCTGCTGCTTCTGCTTTAGGAATGAATAGCACTTCTCTACTTCCACTTTTCATCTTGGTGTTGTAACTGAATATATAAGTATACCCAGATTCAGTGACATTCACATAAGTCAAAACTGACTTGCAGTGACATAATAAATGGATGCTGTTCAAGCTGCCAAGTTTGTGGTAATTTGTTATGAAGCAGTAGAGAACTAATAAAATACAGGTGTCAGTGAAGGTGCCTAATTAACTGCATTGCACAGTCTTTGTTTCTGGTTAAAAGGTCAAGCCTAGTGTCCTAGATAGATGTCAGATAGATCTGGTGGGTGGGTGGGGTAAGGCAACTGATTGAATGAACTTAGAGTGGATCTGGAGATTGAGAGAGTAAGAATCAATCTGGAAATATTTTGCTGTCATTTTTATAGTTTCTCTTTCCTGACTTTAACTTAAAAATTTCCTAGGTTATTTATCATCAGTTTTGACTTACGTGAATGTCACTGAATCTGTGTATGCTTACATATTCAGTTACAACACCAACATGAAAAGTGGAAGTAGAGAAGTGCTATTCATTCTTAAAGCAGAAGCAGCAGAGGAGAAATCAGAGACACCAACTCTGCGGACCTGCTGAAGGAAGTGAACTACAGGGCATTGTTCCATTCCCTGAGAACAGCAAACACCTTAAAGTTTGTATTATGTGGAGATCAAATCAGTTCGGTAGCCTTCTCATATGAGATAATATAGATCAGTGTTCCTCATTCATTTTTTCATTATTGTCTCCTAAGAAGCCTTTTTAACAATTTTTTCTTAACCACACCCTCCAATGAAGTTTTTCTACCACACATATACTGTATATCTGTTTTTGTACTGTATAAATATCTGTGCTTTATACATAAAAGAGTAAAATCTTCCCCTTCCTCCAAAACAACTTTTACCCTTGGGGTTAATATTACCCATGCTGAGAATGCATAAGATAGATGCTATTGTGAATAGGTAAAATTAAAGTTATATTTAAAGATACAGGTGAGGTGCAGTGGCTCACGCCTGTAATCCCAGCACTTTGGGAGGCCGAGATGGGCAGATCACTTGAGGCCAGGAGTTTGAGACCAGCCTGCCCAACATGGTAAAACCCCATCTTTACCAAAAATACAAAAATTAGCTGGGTGTGGTGGCATGCGCCTGTTGTGCCAGCTACTTGGGAGGCTGAGGCATGAGAATCATTTGAATCCAGGAGGCAGAAGTTGCAGTGAGCTGAGATTGCACTACTGCACTCCAGCCTGGGCAACAGAGTAAGGCTCCGTCTCAAAAAAAAAAAAAAGTATTCAGAGATATCATCAAAAAAGGTATTTTCAGCTAGGTGTGGTGGCTCATGCCTGTAATCCCAGCACTTTGGGAGGCTGAAGCAGAAGGATCGCTTGAGGCCAGGAGTTTGAGACCAGCCTGAGTAACATAGCAAGACCCTAGCTCTACAAAAAGTAAAAAAAAAAAAAATTAGGTGTGGTGGTGCATGCCTATAGTCCCAGCTACTTAGGAGACTGAGGCAGGAGGATCACTTGAGCCAGGAGTTCAAACCTGCAGTGGGCTATGCTTGTGCCACTGCACTTCAGCCTGGGGTGAGATCCTGTATCTTAAAAAACTATTATTTTCATACTGTAATATAATCTAGAGTACAGGACCAGAGAACTCAGTTCAACACAGAGAGATGTAATATCTGCATAGTTATTATGCCTGGCAAAGTTTTTGTATTTTTAGTAGAGATGGGGTTTCACCATGTTAGCCAGGATGGTCTCGATCTCCTGACCTCATGATCCACCTGCCTTGGCCTCCCAAAGTGCTGGGATTACAGGCATGAACCACCGCGCCTGGCCAGCATCTTAGTTTTTTCTTGGAACAATTACTATTATAGTTCTTTTTTTTTTGAGACAGAGTCTTGCTCTGTTGCACAGGCTGGAGTGCAGTGGTGCGATCTCGGCTCAATGTAAGCTCCGCCTCCCGGGTTCATGCCATTCTCCTGCCTCAGCCTCCCCAGCAGCTGGGATTACAGGTGCCCGCCACCACGCTTGGCTAATTTTTTTTTTTTTGTATTTTTAGTAGAGACGGGGTTTCACTGTGTTAGTAGCCAGGATGGTCTGGATCTCCTGACCTCGTGATTCGCCCACCTTGGCCTCCCAAAGTGCTGGGATTATAGGCTTGAGCCACCGCACCCGGCCTATTATAGTTCTTTTTATAATTGGCAGGATTAGCTGTGGCCTACATGATCACAGGAAATAATAAGGCAGGGGTTGTAAACTCAAATGCCTATAAGCACGAGCCATGTAACAGAAGTACATGAAACAGTTAAGTGTAAGACATAGATATTTATTAGTTGATTTTAGCTGCTGACAACAGCAGCAAACATTTATTTTTTTGCTCATGGGTCTCCATGTCTGCAAAGGTGGATCCTGTCTTCTTCAGGCTGCAGTGAGGTTCAGATGTGCCCCACAAGTTGTAACAGCAGCAGGAAAACCAGAGAGAGATTTCAAATGGATGTTCCTTGAGTACAGTCTGCTGACATTCATTTATCCTGCCCTATGTTTTGAAAGGCAGATAACTAGGCCTCTGTTCTAATACAGACATTTAGCATATGCGGTTGATTGGACCATTGTTCCCAATTCTTCACTTACTCTCTAATTTAGAAATAAACATTCTGCTCTGTAATGGTTTACTAGAGTCTTTTATGTGGCACATGTTCAATAACTGCTGTTAAATGAATGATTATATCCCTTAATACTGTTTGATTTTTGTTAATGGTGGAACTTGGGGTACTTGTCATTTCCATTCCCTCCTGCTTTTTCTGCTCTTTTCCCATCCCTACTCTTCCTCTCTCCCTTCCCATTTACTTCCAAAACGGCAGCTGTCAATATGAAAAAGGAGGGAGTGGTAGAGAGAATCCAAGACATAAACTCTTCCACATGTTGGTGTAAAGTAATTTAAGATCAAGGTTTCTTTCACAAGGCAAAATGCAATGCAACCTGGCCTTTCTGAGATTCTTTTTTTTTTTCCTTTTTTATGGTTTTGGCTTTAGGATTTAGAATGTTAGTTATTTTAAAAATGAATTTTGTAGGTCTGAAGACCTACTCATATTTCTACATAATTGTTGAGCAAACGGAGACAAGTAGTTAGATGCTGGAGGTCATTAAAAAATATTTTTTAATGAAGCTTTTTTAAAACATGCTCACTGGTTTCAGATCAGAGCCAGGCATCCTTAAATTGTCTTCTGCCAGGTATTGGCTTGGCAGATTACCCTGTCCAGTTGCCCTCATCTTGAATGTGAGGAGAGTTAACTTGATAAGATTTTAGGTCCTAACTGGACCAGATTTTACATTCCTCTCAGCCATGAAAAGTTTAAGATGAGCAGGCTTCATTTTTACTTTAGTACAATTAGACCTTTTCTTGGGAACAATTCTCTTTCCTCTTCAAACCAATTATTAACATTTTCTTCCTTGCTGATATTTGAGTGATATTCACTACTGACTTTTTTTTTTTTTAGTTCTTTTACATTTCTCAAGCAGGTTGTTGAAACTTTGGCTCTAACTATATGAAGTGAATTGTTTTTTTACTGGTGTTTTCGCTGTGTAAATATTGTATTCAGTCTGAGTTTACAAGAAGCAAATAACTTAGCCTATTCTGGTTTGGCATGTTTTCTCTTTCTAACCACCATTGGGGCTGAAGCTGGGAACTGAACACAACTTGAAATTTTGTGGTTTGGGTGCTAGAATTCAGAGCTAGACTATCTGAAGCTAAAAATTATTAATGTTGAAATGTTTTCACCCACTAAATAAACCTGAAAAAAAATGAAATGTAACTCCAGGCAGCCCATAAAATCGCATATGGTATAATTTTTTTGAGTCTAGGAAGAGATGAAAAAAATTTGTGAGCAGGATCTGAGATTGTTAAAAAAAATTAGAAATTGTTTATTATGGTTTAAAGTAAATGCTACTATCCAAACTCTAATCCAAACTCAACAAACAAACCCAGAAATCTCTTACTGTTATTCACATGATGTTTTATTTTCTCCAAGACTATACTGAATCAGTACATAAAAATAATGAAGTAGGGAAAATGCCAGTTGCCCTTGTTTAACTTTTCAGCTATTTTTTACATGTTTTCTTTAAAGATAGAATAGTAAAGTAATACTTTACATTTTCAAGGTACTTGATACTTCACTGAATATTTCCAAATATATCATCTTAATTAAAATAATGGCTTGTTTCACCCTTTTAAAAATCACAAAGCATTGAACAGTTTTCAGCTCATTAAATCTGAGAACATATCCAAAACTTGGCACATGGATAGTATGTATAGAAAGGCTAGTCCTTTTTCCTCTGCTAGTTAGCACTCTAATGATATTAATGATGGAAGATTTTTCTCAGCCCCTTTGCTGGACTTATGACAGGGGTATCCCATTTACTCGGCCCACCATGCTCAACCTCTTGCGGGAGGGAGCACGTGAGTGAGTGAGTGCGGGATCTGGCTGGCTGTTCCAGGCACTTGCAGGAGCAAGCTTCATGTGCTGGTATGAGTGAGCAAGTGCGGGATCTGGCCAGCACAGCTCGGAGTGCCAGCAGGAGCAAGCTCTGTGTGGGATCCGCGGCCAGACCAGGCATGAGCTAGCGAGTGTGGGATCCGGCCAGCCACTCTGGGAGCTGCCAGGAGCAAACTCCATGAAGGGCCCGTGGAGGCACCCAGGTAAGGGTGCCTGTGACCCCGAATCCCCAGAGTGGGTGTTACAGTACTCTCTTAGTTCTGCCCTCTGCGGACGGTGGTGTGTTAGCAGCTCAGTTGGCCCCTTACCTCGTTATGTGGGGCAGTTGCCCTCTGCTGGTGAGGGCAAAGGGCCAGCGTGACAGCCTTCTGGGTACCCGCACTTGGTGGGTCCCTGTCTGGCATCCAAGAAGAATGAGGTCAGTTGGACAATTGACGGATGGTGAAGGCAGATAATTTTATTGAGCGATGAAAATGACTCTCCGTGGAGAGGATAGCTAGAGAGGGGACAGGAAGGGCAGGTCATCTTCCCTAAAGTTGGGTCATCTCTTCCCCGAAGTCCAGCTGTCTTACCCAAAGTCTGGCCATCTCCCTTAAATTCCGGCTGTCTCCGGTATTGATTGAGTTTGGGTTCTTTATAGGTACAGAATGGGGAGTGCATGCTGATTGGTTTGCAATTATGCAAAAAATTTTAAAGCAAAGACACCACTCAAAGGTGGGCGAGACAGTGTGGAAAACGAATTAGGAAAGGGTAGGTATACGTAAAATAGGTGAAGGGTGAGGATCAGTCCAGAGGAAAGCGTGCCAAACAGGAAGACAAGTTCTCACTCTGGTCCAGGGATTTAACATATAGCTTGGCTTTCAGGCTTTGAACTGTATCCGGCTTGGAGGTGGGGTTTCACCGGATACCTGGCCCTACCCTATCTGCCTAGGCATTTCACTGCCTCCTGTCGCTATCATTAGTAAGCATAAGCATTTCTTTATTTCAAGATCCACTTTCAACTTTTACTGACAGAAGTTTCCCTTGCCCTGATATCTGGTGACTAATTTGATCCATGTTGTTTTTGAAAATGAAGAAAGTTCCATAAAAATGTTTAGAGCTCTGAATTTAGACTAGCATTCTCCAAAGCAGGGTATGTAAAATGTTTCATTAGGTTGTGGGAAGAAAATATTAAAACTTTTATTGTTTCAATCTAACAAATGAAATTTACCTTAATTAACATTTAATCAATGGATCAACACTGACATCCTCACTTGGTCTGGGTGTCAGACTGTTGGGTATCAGTTATAGTGCATGAGGAAAGCATGCAGGGGTTGACAGAGGCCCCTTGCTTGTTATTTTCAACATACTGGGATGAATTATAAGTCTGCATATATCTAGTTAGGTGGATTTATGGATTTAACAAAATCAAAGTTCACAAAACAGATAAATGGCAAGAAAGATTCCTGCAAAGAAACTAAATTGTGTGCAATACTAATAATGAGAGTGGAAGTGAGCCACACACATGTATAGGTCAGAGCGGATGCTTCTCCTATGAGACATTAATGTTGAAGTAAAAATCAACAACAATCTAATCTCAGCTGAGAAGATGTCCAGAAAAAGTGAAATTATAAGCAAGACAATTTGATAGATGGAATTGTATCCACTATTGTTAACAAAGAAACACTTTCTGATATTTTATTCCCTTGAAATACTGGCTAACAATAGTAGGAAGCCATCATAATTAATGAACATGTGGGACAGGAAGTTAAACTGACAAAAGTTTTTCCATGACATTTAAAGTTATGTGACACATAACTCAGTATCTAGAAAAATGTCATTAAAATAAATAATAGATATTTAAAAGCATCTTTTGTGTTTTCTTAACAGCAAAAGACCAAATACAGTACATTATTAGTAACATTAGGGACACACTTGTTCATAAAATGGATGAAATAAAACATAGGAAACAATATGGCAACAAGTTAAATGAATTTTTTTTTTTGAGCGAAGTTTTGCTCTTGTTGCCCAGGCTGGAGTGCAATGACGCGATCTCGGCTCACTGCAACCTCCACCTCCCAGGTTCGTGCGATTCTCCTGTCTCAGCCTCCCGAGGAGCTGGGATTACAGGCATGCACCACCACGCCTGGCTAATTTTTTGTATTTTTAGTAGAGACGAGGTTTCTCCATGTTGGTCAGACTGGTCTCGAACTTCCGACCTCAGGTGATCTGCCCACCTCGGCCTCCCAAAGTGCTGGGATTACAAGCATGAGTCACCGCACCCGGCCTTAAATGAACTCTTTCATGAACAAATACTTTGAGAAGTTGCATAGAAATCTTTGAAGATGATTTGAATCATTGAGAACTTAAATTATTTAATGTGAGAGGATGCTATATATTTGAAGTACAGATGTTTCTAACAAGGCTCAGATTATCATAGTAGCTATATTTTGTTTCAATAATGAAATACATGAAGAACTAATTTCATTTTGTGCCATTAAAATAAAGATGTATCAGGGAAGATATATTCTTGAAAATAAGTGACTTTATGAATACAAAACAATGTATATGAGAGAATTTCCTGGGATAACGATAGTGTTTTGACTTTGTAAGAGTTTAGGTTGCATACATGTATGCACTTGTTCAAGTTTATGAAATGGTAGACTTATAATTTGCACATTTCATTGCATGTAGAATTTACTGCAAAAGGAAAAAAAGGAATAATACATGTTAAATTCTAGTTAATGCTATGCATGCTGGACTGTTGGGGGAAACTATATTAATGTGTTTGACTTACTTTGAAATGCATTAAAAAAACCCTAAGATGGATTGGTGAATGGATTAATCATACAGAAAGCATACAGTATAGTCATAGTATAGTATAACAAATACAGTAAAAATTTTAAATGCAGAGTCTAAGTGGTGGGTATATGGATGGTCCCTGTAAAAGTCTTTCAACTTTTCTGTTGCATCATCCTTAGGTAATCTATAGCAACACATAGGTTGATGTCAGATATGCAAAGAGAGTATTTCAGTATGGTATTAATGTTGTTAATTTTTCTTAAAATCTGACTGTTAGGCTGGGCATGTTGGCTCATGCCTGTAATCCTAGTACTTTGGGAGGCCAAGGTGAGAGGATTACTTTAGCTCAGGAGTTCAAGACCATCCTGGGCAACATAGTGAGACCTTGCCACTACAAAAAATAAAAAATTACCTGGGTATGGTGATGTGTGCCTGTAGTTCCAGCCGCTTGAGTGGTGGAGGTGGGAGGATTGCTTGAGCCCTGAAGGCAGAGGCTGCAGTGAGCCGTGATCATGGCACTGCACTCCAGCCTGGGTGACAGAGCGAGACCCTGTCACAAACCAAAACAAAAAAACAAAAAATCCTAACTGTTGTATAGAATCCCTAGTGTACTCTATAATGAGATGAGAAGTGACCATGAGAATCATTTGAATCACAAGAGCATCTCTGATTATCTTACAGCAAAGACTGTAAAAGAATCATTGAACTTAAAAGATGGGTTAGCTGGGCATGGTGGCTCATGCCTGTAATCTCAGCACTTTGAGAGGCTGAGGTGGGTGGATGGCTTGAGTCCTGGAGTTCAAGACCAGCCTGGGCAACATGGTGAAACCCAGTCTCTATGAAAAAAAAAGCTGGGCATGTGTGAATTTGAGGCCACTTGCAGTAAGTTATGTTCATGCCACTGCACTCCAGCCTGGGCAACAGAGTGAGAACCTGTCTTTAAAAAAAAAAAAAAAAAGATGGGTGAAGCA
Organism: Homo sapiens; assembly: GCF_000001405.40. NCBI lineage: Eukaryota > Metazoa > Chordata > Mammalia > Primates > Hominidae > Homo > Homo sapiens. The sequence continues at coordinate 67,861,607 of NC_000014.9, forward strand.
TGTTTTTTTAAATGAAAAGACAAGAGATGTCAAATTTGCTGACCCTTTTTTGTATGACAAGTGACTATGTAATCTGCATTGCAGATTAAACACCAAGCAACCAACCAATCAATGCAACACTGTTACTTCATTTCTTCAAGGTAAAGGTAATGTTTTAACAAGGAGTGAAAATGTAACTGCCTTTTCTAAAGGCTGGGATAAAAACACAGAATGTTTTTAAAATCACTGTTTGGAATATTTCTTTTATCATGTGATTTTTGTTGTCAAAGATATGTGTGTCTTATGAAAATTTATCTGCACTCTTAAAAAATACTTGGAAAAATATTTTGTATACTCTTCAAAAATGTTACAAATAGAGTTTCAGTCAGTGGGGGGGAAGGGGGAATAGGGGAAGGAGAGATGTTGGTAAAAGGGTCTCAAGTTTGTTAGACAGTAGGAATAAATTTTGGTGATTTATTTTACAGCATGGTAACTATAGTTAGTAATAATGTTGTATATTTCAAATTGCTAGAAGAGTAGATTTTAAATGTTCCCACCAAAAAAAAGATAAGTATATGAAGTGATAGATATGTTAATTAGCTTGATTTAACCATTCTACAGTGTACTATAAACATATTTCAAAATATCATCATATTGAACTCCATAAATATATATTATTATTTATCAATTAAAAATATTAAAACAAGCAAAACCCATGATACATATCTGGTGGCAAATGAGTATCGTGGTAGAAATTCATCAAACTGCTCAGATGTGATTTGTGTACTTTTCTGGCTGATGGTCATACTTCAGTAAAACTAAATAAATGTAAGCAAAAAAAAAAAAAAGTTTCAGTGGGTTTTTAAACCAGTTGTTAAAAATGTTAAAATGTGACATGTTTTGATTCGTCTGCAAGAACAATCAATTGACGTGAAGGAAGATCAATAAAAACTTTTGCATAATTGATGGAAGGTATTGAAAAATGCAAGTAGTAATTTAGTTAAGTCCAACAAATGATGTATTTCTTTAATTTCAATCCTTGCATCTTTGTAATTATCCCCTTCTCAGCTTACAATTAAGTACTGAAATAAGTGGAACTTAGGACCTGACATTTCAATCACCGAATCACAAAATATTTACATTATTATTTTTTAAAGATACAATTTGGCTTATTATTTTCATTATTATCATTGCTCTACTTAAAATGGTAAGCTTTTATGAGAGCAAACAGATCTTTTATATAAGTAATAAATATTATAAAATGATTTTTAATGTTTATAATTTTTAATTCATACTTTGTGTGTGTTTTATACTCTATAGGACATATTAGTAAAATAGTATGTTCATAATAAATATGCATATATTGGAGGGCTGTACTAAATTTTGTTTTGATTGCTTTTTTTGGCTGGTTTGTTGGGGTATGTGGTCAAATAAGTTTGGAGAACTCTCTTTACTGATCTCTCATAATCTGGCAAGCTATTATTGACAGGAGTAATTATTTATTCTTAAAGTCTAAATGATCATTGTAAAGATTATAAACCAGCATATAGTTTTAAATATGGGAATTTTTTTTTTTTTTTTTTTTTTTTGAGACATGGTCTTGCTTTGTTGCTCTGGCTGGTCTAGAACTCCTGGGCTCAAGTGATTCTCTTGCCTCAGCCTCTGGGATTACAGGCGTGTGCTAAACATTTGTGTTTTAAGGTTGAACTTTGATAAATGAAGTTTACCTTTAGACCAAATTCTGAAACAGTGGTTCTCAAAGTATATAATAACATCAGCATTACCTGGGAACTTACTAGCGATGTAAATTCTCAGGCCATGACCCAGACCTACTGAACCAGAAATGCTGGTTAACAAGCTTTCCAGGTGATTCTGATGCTCACTCAAATCTGAGAACCACATATCTAGATGATTTAGACTCATGAATCACTCCTACTTATTTCTTCCTACTTCATAATGTATCTGAGACAGTTTCTTTATTGTATGTCTTAGTTTTAGCCCAGACTTTTTTCCCTCTCTTAGATTTTTTTTTCTTTTCCCTTCCTCTCCTCTCCCCTTCCTCTCAATGTTAAAAAAAAAGTTCTTTAGTGTTATTTTCACAAAGAAATAGTGCATTGGTTCTAAAAATTTGGGCGCCACAACTAATGTGACAAATAGCATGTGTTTAAAGGAGATATTTCTAAACATTTTCAAATTAATTTTGTTAACTACTGTATTAGTTCATTCTCACATTGCTATAAAGAACTACCTGAGACTGGGTAATTTATGAAGAAGAGAGGTGTAATCGACTCACAGTTCTGCAGGCTTAACAGGAGGCATGGTTGGGAGGCCTCAGGAAACTTACAGGGGAAGCAAGCACATCTTATTATGGCAGAACAGGAGAGAGAGAGAGACAGACAGAGACATCTTACTATGGCGGAACAGGAGAGAGAGAGACATCTTACTATGGCAGAACAGGAGAGAGAGAGAGAGAGAAAGAGAAAGTGCCACACACATTTAAACCATCAGATCTTGTGAGAACTCACTATCATGAGAACAGCAAGAGGGAAACTGCCACCATGATCTAATCACCTCCCACCAGGCCCCCTCCTCCAGTACTGGGGATTACAATTCAACCTGAGATTTGGATGGGGACACAGAGCCAAACTACTTCTAGTTACACTTGAATATGGATATAATTAATTTCCTATTATTTCCTGTCTATACTCTTTTGATTTCAACTTTTATAATCTCAAAATAGTTTTCTGCCAATGAAGATTTCAAAACAGACATTTCAAAGTAGGAATCACCTAAACTCAACAGTTGTTTATAAAGCAATAAATTTGCTTTATTTCTCTTTCTACACACATATATGCACACACATACACATTTTTATTTGCTGAACTGTTTGAAAATAAATTGTGTACATCAGTACCCTTCACCCCTAAATACTCTTAAAAATATGGATTAAAGTAGCCCTTAATGGGACTAGTGCAACATTGTTTTGAAATGCTAATTTTTAACAAATGCTCAACCATTTATTAAAGACTCTTAAATATTTTAAGGTCCTATTATAAATATCTTCATGAGGAAAAGGTATAGAATGCCAAGTTATGATGGTATAAATGAGTGAATGTTTCAGCCTTTCTCAACTAGAAGTTTCTCATCTGAACTACAAAATACAGTGGATGATTTGAGTGACTATTTTCTCAATTCCTCCAAGGATGGTACATAACTAGTGCCAATTCAGATGCAGAGGGGAGAAGTTAATTCATTCCATACAATGGATGTCTTGGGCTTAATTCTCTCCTGGGAACCCAGGTTAGTTGGACTGCATATATGGCAAAGTCTTAAAAGGATTTTGCTTTGACTGGCTTGTGATGTTTATCTAAAAAACTTTTTTTTTTTTTTTTTTTTTTTTTTTTTTTTTTTTTTTAGATTACAGGTCCACCAGGTTGTGGAAAAACTCAGTTTTGTATAATGATGAGCATTTTGGCTACATTACCCACCAACATGGGAGGATTAGAAGGAGCTGTGGTGTACATTGACACAGAGTCTGCATTTAGTGCTGAAAGGTATGAGATTTTATTTTCTATTATAATGTTTTACTTTTGTAACTTATATACAGCATGAAACATTTACACATAGGTTAACATTTACCACCCCTCCCCCTTGCCTTTTTTTTTTTTTTGAGATGGAGTCTTGCTCTGTTGCCGGGCTGGAGTGCAGTGGCACGATCTGGGCTCATGGCAATCTCCACCTCTTGGGTTCAAGCGATTCTCCTGCCTCAGCCTCCCGAGTAGCTGAGACTACAGGTATGCACCACCACACCTGGCTAATTATTCTATTTTTAGTAGAGACAGGGTTTCACCATGTTGGCCAAGCTGGTATTGAACTTCTGGCCTCAAGTGATCTGCCCACCTTGGCCTCCCAAAGTGCTGGGATTATAGGCGTGAGCCACTGTGCCTGGCTTTTTTTTTTTTTTTTTTTTTGAGATGGAGTCTCTCTCTGTCGCCCAGGTTGGAGTTCAGTGGCAGGATCTCAGCTCACTGCAACCTCCGCCTCCCGGGTTCAAGCGATTCTCCTGTCTCAGCCTCCTGAGTAGCTGGGATTACAGGCGCCCTACCACCAGGCCTAGCTAATTTTTGTATTTTTAGTAGAGACAGTGTTTCACCTTATTGGCCAGACTGCTCTTGAACTCCTGACCTTGTGATCCGCCTGCCTTGGCCTCCCAAAGTGCCGGGATTACAGGTGTGAGCCACTGCGCCTGGCCTAAATTGGTCTTTTTATAAATGTATCCCAGTAGTAAATGAATAAGGAATGATAGAATATCACCAAATTACAAACTCTGACAATCTAATGGATCTAGGCATTTAACATCACAAAAAGATGACGAGTCACTGGGGTACTTTCTGATGGAAGAACAATCAAATTTGAATGTGATCAAGGCTTCAGATCCAGCCACCAATTTACAACCTAGCTAGAGAAGAGAGGAACACATCAAACTGCTCTAGAAAATGCAATTAGCAGAATCCAAACTGTGGGAAATAACAGAACAAACAACTTGGTTTCTGTAACAAATAAATTGTAAGATTAAAAAATAGTTGGAAGGGGAACCTTTGGATTAAAACAGATTTAAAAGCCTTATTGATCAATTGCTGTGTGATTAACTTATTTGGATCTTGACTTAAATAAATGGTTAAAAAAAAGAACAGAAGAATAAACATTGAGACTACTGGAAATTTGAACATGAAAATATATTTGAGATTAAAGCTGGTAAAGACTGGTTCACTCAAATTGTCCAAGTACTCTTTAAAATGCCAATGACTAGCCTTCGACTAACAAGCCAAGTAGGTATTAAATAGCCAGTTATGTCATAAATAGCTAATGTTCAAATAGCTCTTACAAAGGTCCTGGGGAATTTGGGTAAAGAATTCAAAGATTAAGATTATTTTTATAACAGCAGTTCAGTTCACTGTAATGGATTTCTGCTTTCTTTGCACCACATACAAAACAGAGTTTAGGATGTCTTCTTAAGGAGGAAACTGTTGCATGTTATTTTATTACCAGTATTACAGTTCAGAGCAGTGTAAAAACCTTATCAATGAATTGGGTGATATCAGCATACATACAGAAGACTAGCAGGTGACTTGTCTGCATTTTCCAAATGAATTTGTGGAGAGTCTTATGTTTTTTGTCTTTGCATAGAGCCTTAATTATTTACTTTTTGAATCCCCCATATTTACTTATTTCTCCTTCATATCTTTTTCTGCCAATGTGCATGTTGGTATTTACATCAGAGGCAGGTTGGAAAATGAAGAGGTAATATTTTAGCTCCTTTGTTGGAATTACGTTGCATAGTTCACAAGGAGCTCTTATGAAGGTCATTTGAGAATAGGGGTTGAACTTTATATTGTATTTGGTTTTTTATTCCATTCTCCACAAGGCTTAAAATGAGTGATCATCTGGCTCACACATGGAATGGATTTTGAGGTCTGGTGATAGGGCCAAGTAGAATAAAAAATATGAATGCTCTCCGATATATATGCCAGATTTGGCATTCTTATACTACCTTCTAGTTTGTCATGGTGGGTCATAGAATGGAACTGGCCCTGTAGTGTCTGATCACATTTCATTCATTCTGTTACAGGACAGCTTAACCCCTATTTGGAATTATCAGGAAAGGTTGGCCAATCGGTTAGGAAAGCTTACTGCTGCAGATAACTGAGTATCCAAAGAACAGTAGCTTAAACAAAAAGAGGTTTATTTCTCTCATATAACAAGACCTGAGTAGGTGGTTGCTGGCACTGGGTCACTCAGGTCTCAGTGATGACAGAGAGACCTAGGGCATGCACATTTTCAGACATCGGATTCATTCTGTGCTCAAGTCAGTGTGAAGAAAAAGGGCCAGCTATATCTTTTATCAGGAAAGTGTACTTTTATTCATAATATCTGCCTCCTCCCATCTGTGGATTTCCTTTTTGTTGCCTGTAGTCCTCTTGTAGATTTCTCACTGAGTCACCTCTATATGTAAAAAGAGGCTGGGAAAGTGAGGGGAGAAGATCGTCGTAACAATCATGATGAGTTGTCTGGTTAATATTGCTGCCTGAATAAAACTGGGGCTCTCATAGCGAGGAAGAAGTGGAAATGGATATTGGATTGGTAATTAACAGTTTCTGTCCCAGCCCCAGCTGTTTCTGGACTTAGAGAAGAGGTAAGGCAGGGAAATATGAGACGCAAAAAGGACTATGTTGTAGCTCTGTATGTGTTCACATTGTCTCCACTTTGTGCTTGCAAAGCTAGCCGGCTAACCAGCACAAATGAGAAAGTGTTTAAAGGATTAATATGATGAAGGATTAAAGGATTCACATATATAGAATTTAGGGTACGTGAGAAAAAGTTGAAAATAATTTCTTCCTATAAATATCTAGATATCTTTTTACTAAGAAGGAGAGAGAAATCAAAGGAGGAATAAATACAAACTACTTAGGTTTAAAATGTATTAAAGAGGGAGGAGCCAAGATGGCCGAATAGGAACAGCTCTGGTCTACAGCTCCCAGCATGAGCGACGCAGAAGATGGGTGATTTCTGCATTTCCATCTGAGGTACCGGGTTCATCTCACTAGGGAGTGCCAAACAGTGGGCGCAGGTCAGTGGGTGCCCGCACCACATGCAAGCCGAAGCAGGGCGAGGCATTGCCTCACTCGGGAAGCGCAAGGGGTCAGGGAGTTCCCTTTCCGAGTCAAAGAAAGGGGTGACAGACGGCACCTGGAAAATCGGGTCACTCCCACCCGAATACTGTGCTTTTCCGACGGGCTTAAAAAACAGAGCATCAGGAGATTATATCCCGCACCTGGCTCAGAGGGTCCTACGCCCATGGAGTCTCACTGATTGCTAGCACAGCAGTCTGAGATCAAACTGCAAGGCGGCAGCGAGGCTCAGGGAGGGGCACCCGCCATTGCCCAGGCTTGCTTAGGTAAACAAAGCAGCCAGGAAGCTCGAACTGGGTGGAGCCCACCACAGCTCAAGGAGGCCTGCCTGCCTCTGTAGGCTCCACCTCTGGGGGCAGGGCACAGACAAACAAAAAGACAGCAGTAACCTCTGCAGACATAAATGTCCCTGTCTGACAGCTTTGAAGAGAGCAGTGGTTCTCCCAGCACGCAGCTGGAGATCTGAGAACGGGCAGACTGCCTCCTCAAGTGGGTCCCTGACCCCTGACCCCCGAGCAGCCTAACTGGGAGGCATCCCTCAGCAGGGGCAGACTGACACCTCACACGGCCGGGTACTCCAGCAGACCTGCAGCTGAGGGTCCTGTCTGTTAGAAGGAAAACTAACAAACAGAAAGGACATCCACACCAAAAACCCATCTGTACATCACCATCATCAAAGACCAAAAGTAGATAAAACCACAAAGATGGGGAAAAAACAGAGCAGAAAAACTGGAAACTCTGAAAAGCAGAGCGACTTTCCTCCTCCAAAGGAACGCAGTTCCTCACCAGCAACGGAACAAAGCTGGATGGAGAATGACTTTGACGAGCTGAGAGAAGAAGGCTTCAGATGATCAAATTACTCCGAGCTACGGGAGGACATTCAAACCAAAGGCAAAGAAGTTGAAAACTTTGAAAAAAATTTAGAAGAATGTATAACTAGAATAACCAAGACAGGGAAGTGCTTAAAGGAGCTGATGGAGCTGAAAACCAAGGCTCGAGAACTATGTGAAGAATGCAGAAGCCTCAGGAGCCGATGCAATCAACTGGAAGAAAGGGTATCAGCGATGGAAGATGAAAGGAATGAAATGAAGCAAGAAGGGAAGTTTAGAGAAAAAAGAATAAAAAGAAATGAGCAAAGCCTCCAAGAAATATGGGACTATGTGAAAAGACCAAATCTACGTCTGATTGGTGTACCTGAAAGTGACGGGGAGAATGGAACCAAGTTGGAAAACACTCTGCAGGATATTATCCAGGAGAACTTCCCCAATCTAGCAAGGCAAGCCAACATTCAGATTCAGGAAATACAGAGAACGCCACAAAGATACTCCTCAAGAAGAGCAACTCCAAGACACATAATTGTCAGATTCACCAAAGTTGAAATGAAGGAAAAAATGTTAAGCGCAGCCAGAGAGAAAGGTCGGGTTACCCTCAAAGGGAAGCCCATCAGACTAACAGCAGATCTCTTGGCAGAAACTCTACAAGCCAGAAGAGAGTGGGGGCCAACATTCAACATTCTTAAAGAAAAGAATTTTCAACCCAGAATTTCATATCCAGCCAAACAAGCTTCATAAGTGAAGGAGAAATAAAATACTTTACAGACAAGCAAATGCTGAGAGATTTTGTCACCACCAGGTCTGCCCTAAAAGAGCTCCTGAAGGAAGCGCTAAACATGGAAAGGAACAACCGGTACCAGCCGCTGCAAAATCATGCCAAAATGTAAAGACCATCGAGACTAGGAAGAAACTGCATCAACTAATGAGCAAAATAACCAGCTAACATCATAATGACAGGATCAAATTCACACATAACAATATTAACTTTAAATGTAAATGGACTAAATGCTCCAATTAAAAGACACAGACTGGCAAATTGGATAAAGAGTCAAGACCCATCAGTGTGCTGTATTCAGGAAACCCATCTCACGTGCAGAGACACACATAGGCTCAAAATAAAAGGTTGGAGGAAGATCTACCAAGCAAATGGAAAACAAAAAAAGGCAGGGGTTGCAATCCGAATCTCTGATAAAACAGACTTTAAACCAACAAAGATCAAAAGAGACAAAGAAGGCCGTTACATAATGGTAAAGGGATCAATTCAACAAGAAGAGCTAACTATCCTAAATATATATGCACCCAATACAGGAGCACCCAGATTCATAATGCAAGTCCTGAGTGACCTACAAAGAGACTTAGACTCCCACACATTAATAATGGGAGACTTTAACACCCCACTGTCAACATTAGACAGATCAACGAGACAGAAAGTCAACAAGGATACCCAGGAATTGAACTCAGCTCTGCACCAAGCAGACCTAATAGACATCTACAGAACTCTCCACCCCAAATCAACAGAATATACATTTTTTTCAGCACCACACCACACCTATTCCAAAATTGACCACATACTTGGAAGTAAAGCTCTCCTCAGCAAATGTAAAAGAACAGAAATTATAACAAACTATCTCTCAGACCACAGTGCAATCAAACTAGAACTCAGGATTAAGAATCTCACTCAAAACCGCTCAACTACATGGAAACTGAACAACCTGCTCCTGAGTGACTACTGGGTACATAACGAAATGAAGGCAGAAATAAAGATGTTCTTTGAAACCAACGAGAACAAAGACACAACATACCAGAATCTCTGGGACGCATTTAAAGCAGTGTGTAGAGGGAAATTTATAGCACTAAATGCCCACAAGAGAAAGCAGGAAAGATCCAAAATTGACAGCCTAACATCACAATTAAAGGAACTAGAAAAGCAAGAGCAAACACATTCAAAAGCTAGCAGAAGGCAGGAAATAACTAAAATCAGAGCAGAACTGAAGGAAATAGAGACACAAAAAACCCTTCAAAAAATTGATGAATCCAGGAGCTGGTTTTTTGAAAGGATCAGCAAAATTGATAGACCGCTAGCAAGACTAATAAAGAAAAAAAGAGAGAAGAATCAAATAGATGCAATAAAAAATGATAAAGGGGATATCATCACCGATCCCACAGAAATACAAACTACCATCAGAGAATACTACAAACACCTCTATGCAAATAAACTAGAAAATCTAGAAGAAATGGATAAACTTCTGGACACATACACTCTCCCAAGACTAAACCAGGAAGAAGCTGAATCTCTGAATAGACCAATAACAGGGTCTGAAATTGTGGCAGTAATCAATAGCTTACCAACCAAAAAGAGTCCAGGACTAAATGGATTCACAGCCGAATTCTACCAGAGGTACAAGGAGGAACTGGTACCATTCCTTCTGAAACTATTCCAATCAATAGAAAAAGAGGGAATCCTCCCTAACTGATTTTATGAGGCCAGCATCATCCTGATACCAAAGCCGGGCAGAGACACAACCAAAAAAGAGAATTTTAGACCAATATCCTTGATGAACATTGATGCAAAAATCCTCAATAAAATACTGGCAAACCGAATCCAGCAACACATCAAAAAGCTTATCCACCATGATCAAGTGGGCTTCATCCCTGGGATGCAAGGCTGGTTCAATATATGCAAATCAATAAATGTAATCCAGCATATAAACAGAACCAAAGACAAAAACCACATGATTATCTCAATAGATGCAGAAGAGGCCTTTGACAAAATTCAACAGCCCTTCATGCTAAAAACTCTCAATAAATTAGGTATTGATGGGACGTATTTCAAAATAATAAGAGCTATCTATGACAAACCCACAGCCAATATCATACTGAATGGGCAAAAACTGGAAGCATTCCCTTTGAAAACTGGCACAAGACAGGGATGCCCTCTCTCACCACTTCTATTTAACATAGTGTTGGAAGTTCTGGTCAGGGCAATTAGGCAGGAGAAGGAAATAAAGGGTATTCAATTAGGAAAAGAGGAAGTCAAATTGTCCCTGTTTGCAGACGACATGATTGTATATCTAGAAAACCCCATTGTCTCAGCCGAAAATCTCCTTAAGCTGATAAGCAACTTCAGCAAAGTCTCAGGATACAAAATCAATGTACAAAAATCACAAGCATTCTTATACACCAACAACAGACAAACAGAGAGCCAAATCATGAGTGAACTCCCATTCACAATTGCTTCAAAGAGAATAAAATACCTAGGAATCCAACTTACAAGGGATGTGAAGGACCTCTTCAAGGAGAACTACAAACCACTGCTCAAGGAAATAAAAGAGGATACAAACAAATGGAAGAACATTCCATGCTCACGGGTAGGAAGAATCAATATCGTGAAAATGGCCATACTGCCCAAGGTAATTTACAGATTCAATGCCATCCCCATCAAGCTACCAATGACTTTCTTCACAGAATTGGAAAAAACTACTTTAAAGTTCATATGGAACCAAAAAAGAGCCCGCATCGCCAAGTCAATCCTGAGCCAAAAGAACAAGGCTGGAGGCATCACACTACCTGACTTCAAACTATACTACAAGGCTACAGTAACCAAAACAGCATGGTACTGGTACCAAAACAGAGATATAGATCAATGGAACAGAACAGAGCCCTCAGAAATAATGCCGCATATCTACAACTATCTGATCTTTGACAAACCTGAGAAAAACAAGCAATGGGGAAAGGATTCCCTATTTAATAAATGGTGCTGGGAAAACTGGCTAGCCATATATAGAAAGCTGAAACTGGATGCCTTCCTTACACCTTATACAAAAATCAATTCAAGATGGATTAAAGACTTAAATGTAAGACCTAAAACCATAAAAACCCTAGAAGAAAACCTAGGCATTACCATTCAGGACATAGGCATGGGCAAGGACTTCATGTCTAAAACACTTAAAGCAATGGCAACAAAAGCCAAAATTGACAAATGGGATCTAATTAAACTAAAGAGCTTCTGCACAGCAAAAGAAACTACCATCAGAGTGAACAGGCAACCTAAAAAATGGGAGAAAATTTTCGCAACCTACTCGTCTGACAAAGGGCTAATATCCAGAATCTACAATGAACTCAAACAATTTACAAGAAAAAAACAAACAACCCCATCAAAAAGTGGGCGAAGGACATGAACAGACACTTCTCAAAAGAAGACATTTATGCAGCCAAAAACACATGAAAAAATGCTCACCATCACTGGCCATCAGAGAAATGCAACTCAAAACCACAATGAGATACCATCTCACACCAGTTAGAATGGCAATCATTAAAAAGTCAGGAAACAACAGGTGCTGGAGAGGATGTGGAGAAATAGGAACACTTTTACACTGTTGGTGGGACTGTAAACTAGTTCAACCATTGTGGAAGTCAGTGTGGCGATTCCTCAGGGATCTAGAACTAGAAATACCATTTGACCCAGCCATCCAATTACTGGGTATATACCCAAGGGACTATAAATCATGCTGCTATAAAGACACATGCACACGTATGTTTATTGTGGCATTATTCACAATAGCAAAGACTTGGAACCAACCCAAATGTCCAACAATGATAGACTGGATTAAGAAAGCGTGGCACATATACACCATGGAATACTATGCAGCCATAAAAAATGATGAGTTCATGTCCTTTGTAGGGACATGGATGAAATTGGAAATCATCATTCTCAGTAAACTATCACAAGAACAAAAAACCAGACACTGCATATTCTCACTCATAGGTGGGAATTGAACAATGAGAACACATGGACACAGGAAGGGGAACATCACACTCTGGGGACTGTTGTGGGGTAGGGGGAGGGGGGAGGGATAGCATTGGGAGATATACCTAATGCTAGATGACGAGTTAGTGGGTGCAGCGCAGCAGCATGGCACATGTATACATATGTAACTAACCTGCACATTGTGCACATATACCCTAAAACTTAAAGTATAATAATAATAAATTAATTAATTAAAAAAATGTATTAAAGAAAACAAGAAGAAAACCCAGGAGATGATATACTTAAAAGCACTTTGGAAAGGTCAGTTCTATTTTTAGAAGCAATGCACTAACCAATTTATTTTACATGTCTTTTAGAAGATAGTAATCTAAAATAGTTGTTAATCATGCTTGTTCATCATAGACTGCAATTGTATCTCCAGACTATTTAACAATTTTAACAGGTTTGTTGAACCCACAGCCCGTGGGCCGCATACAGCCCAGGATGGCTTTGAATGTGGCCCAACAAATTCATAAACTTTCTTAAAGCGTTATGACTTTTTTTGTGATTTTTTTTTTTAAAGCCCATCAGCTATCATTAGTGTTAGTGTATTTTATATGTGGCCCTAGACAATTCTTTTTCTTCCTCTGGGGCCCAAGGATATCAAAGTTGGACACCCTTGAATTAGATAATTGTGTAGCCTGGCGCTAACCAGACTGAGTTACAGGGACTGCCTTGGGGAGAGGGGAATGCTATTCAGGCAAAGATCTAGATCCTCTTCTGATTGATCCAGAGAAGATCTGCTGTTTTTTTGTTGTTTTTTTTTAACCTACTGGACTTCTGCTTAAGATCTCATATAGTCTTAGGCACCATATGCTTGTATATACCTTGAGAATGTAGATAAATAGATTAATCCAGTGACCCATCCCCATATTCTAGTCTATGAAAATTTTGGCAACCATGAGAATTCCAGTTTACATGAACTGAATTAACAATATATTGTCCGTATTAGAGACAGTTACAAAAAGATGGAACTGTGGGTTAAGAATAAAAAATGAAGGTAATATGGATGGCAAATAGTAATAGAAGTATTGAAATAATGTTTTTGGAGAAATAAAATGGATAAAGGAAAGTAAAGTTGGGTCTTAGAACTGCAAATTGAAGGGGATCAATAAGCATGTGAGAAAAACTGAGGGATGTAGGGAAGTAAGAGATGAGAGCCAGGACTCTGGAAGGTGGGAACCTGAGGAGGTAGGATATAGGACTGGAATTTTAGGAGGTAGAAGTGGATATTCCTGAGTTGTAATGAAATCAGAAAAGCTTTGAAAATTGGGAAGACAATTAGTCCAGCAAGGGAGGAAGACATTAATCAAATAATCACTAAAATGTGAAATTGTAAATATTATAACTTAGTATACAAAGGAGAGGTACTTGTATTGGTAGTGTGTGGGAGCAATGGCTAAGCTTAGATCTGAGGAAGCTGCTGTATTTGGTGTGCATGTCACCTCTCAGGGTGCCAAGTTCCCCACAGATAGTTATCTTTAACACCTAGCAAACTACAGTCATGTGCTACATAACAACATTTCAGTCGAGGATGGATTGCATATAAGATGGTGGTTGCATAAGATTATAATACCATAATTTTTCTGTATCTTATTAAAGTTTAGATACAAAGATATTTGTCACTGTGTTACAATTGCCTACAATATTCAGTACAGTAACACTCTGCACAGGTTTGTAGCCTAGGAGCAATAGGCTATACCATATAGCCTCAGTGTGTAGTAGGCTATACTATCTAGGTTTGTAGAAGTACACTTTATGATGTTCGCACAATAGTGAAATTGCCTAATGACACATTTCTCAGTACATATCCCCATTATTATGCGCCATACAGCTGTATTTAGAGTGTCATTCTTTCTGGATTTGTATATAAAATTGGAGGCATAGCAGGGAGTGGTAGTGGCCAGCCATGACTCAGGCTGATTCTGAAGGTAATACCAGTGTGGTCTTAAGACCATTGACATATTGACATATTTGCTTGTTGGTATAAATTTGGAATCTTTGACCCAGAAAGAAACAATAGGGGAGATAAATTCCCTCTTAATCATTTTTTTGAGATAGTTTCATGACACTGGGTAGGTTTTCCTCAGTTCAGTTCCAGCTGCCTTATCATTTGTGAATCTAGGTGAATTAGTGGGGAGGGAGATCCTGAAAAGTTTCTCAGATAGAAAGTAGAATTAGTCATAAGTACTTATTACTGTAACAAAGGTTTGGAATATTCTGGAATCTGTAATGAATTAATAGATTCATATCATTATATTCAGTAATATATATTGAATGATGAATGAACAGAGATATAGTACGTATGTACAAGAAGCTTTGAGAAGCAATAAGCCTACATTTTAGCATATTTATGATGCTACATTTTAACTAAGATTTTGGAAAACTTTTTACATTAAGCGTATGTTTTATTTCAAGTTGGCATGTGGTCACTAATGAAAAGCTTTTATTTTTCCTTTTATATAAGAGCTATGAAGTCACATAGGGAACTAATAATTTTGTACAGGGTTTTGCTCCTTAATTGACATATGCCTTTTGATTCTGGAACTGATTACGAAAGAAGTCTATCTGTATCCATGAGCAGTTAACTCTTTCCAGAATTGGAATCTTTAAAGTGCATTGTAGCTATCAGGTCCAAATTAAGGCATAGATAGTCACTTGCCAGGTGAGATTTGATGGCAAAAGAAAAACTAAAATGTGGCCTAGAACTTCTTTTTCTTTTAAAAGAGGAGCACTTCTAACCATTTTCTGAGGCATTCTACCACAGTAAATCCTTTGATTGTGGGATTGATAGTTAGCATTATTTGTGTATCAGAAATGAGTCGTTCTGGCAGTGGGACATTGAGAGTGGATGTAGGGTTAGGCTAAGTTAGATGATATGGAAGGGGAAGTTGGGAAGTCGGTGGTGTTTTACCTCAGGACATCTCCACTAGCAATTGATATGCAAATGATTCATCCAGGGAGGGAGGAGATTTTAGAAATAAAGCTCTTAATAGGTTTTCAGGGATATTGTTTTGGGGTTTGATGGACTAAGAGTATAAAGGTAGCTTTTCTGACAGCATGGCCCTTTAGAATGGTACTACCTCCATTTTATGAATTAGTAGTTATCAGTTGAGGGAGTAAGGCAGACAGTTTCCCCTTTAGTAGGTATTTTGGGAATTTGTAGGGGGGTGCAAGAAGAAATTTTTTTTTTACAGTAATAAATAGATGTGGTCCAGGGATGCTAGCCATTCTGTAATGTGAGGGTCATTAAGACTGATAATGCTATAAATAATATTTTATAAATTAGAGCATTTTGCAGCATGATATAATTGACATTCATCTCAGTTGATGCATACAGCAGCACTGTCAGGTAAGGAGCGGGGTATTATGATCTTCATTTTAGAAATAAGCAAAATGGGACTCAGAAACCATGTGATTTGCCCAAGATCATATGGCTAATAAGATAGCTGAGAGGTGAACTCATATCCTCTTTCCACTGAACTGTGGTTGGAAAAAATGATTGACTCCGAGAAAAGATCCAAGTAGTGTTTTCATTCATTCATTCAGTAATGCCTGTTTGACATTTGGGCTTTCTGTCTATGAATCTATCTTTATCCCATTTCCCATTGGGCTTCTAGTCTTTTTATTCTTGATTTGCAGAAGCTTTTTGTGTGTCTTCTAGATATTGTTTGTCAGTTTTACACATTGAAAATATCTCCTCCTGCTCTGTTATCTGTCATCTTTGTAGTGTCCTTTATTGAAGAGAAATTTATAATTTAAAAAAATTTATTAGAGACGAGGTTTCACTCAGGCTAGAGTGCAGTGGCACAATCATAGCTCACTGCTGTCTCGACTTACTGGGTACAAGGGATCCCCTTGCTTTAGCCTCCCAAATAGCTGGGACTGTAGACGTGTGCTACCACGCCTGGCTAATTAAAAAAATTTTTTTGTAGAGCTGGGGTCTCACCATCTTGCCCAAACTGGTCTCAAACTCCTGGGCTCAAGCAGCCCTCCTGCTTCCGCCTCCCAAACTGCTTGAATTCCAAGCATAAGCCGCCATGCCTGGCCAGAAATTTGTAAATTTGAAGTTGTTGCCTAATGGTATTGGTTTTCAGATCTTAATTAACAAGTTTTCCCCCACTATTAGTTATCAAGATATTGTCTTACAGTTTTTTCCTAATATAGTTATAGTTTTATCTTTTATGTCAATATCTTTAATCCATCAGAAATCCATTAAGGATATATTTTAAATTTTTGTATAAACTGCCACATTCTCCTCTAGAAATATTTTACATAATTGTATCTCAACCAATAGTACTTTGAGAGCCTTCATCACTGTTTTTAGTTTCTTTAATTTTGTCATACTTGCGGGAAAAAAGTGATAGCTCATTGTTTTAACTATTGTGAACCAACATCTTTTCATATATTCATTGTCCATTTATATTTCTTTGGCAAATTACCTAGAAATACACTTTGTCCATTTTTTCTTATTGATATATATAAATACTTTGTGTATTATGGATATTTATGTTTATATGATTTTTTTCCTGGGCTATAATTCTATAATTTATCTTTCAACTTTGGTTATGCTATCTTTTGTTATCTATGATTTCTTTGGTGGTTGATCTTTCAGATTTTGCTTTATGGCTGTAGTTTTTAAAGTTTTAATTTTCAGGGCCCTTAAACTCTAGGTGGATTATATCAATTGATATTTATCATATTAGGAATTTAAACTGGAAAATTTAAAGAATATTTAACTATTATCTATTATGCAGTAAGTCCATTACATGGTATGTGTTTTTTTGTGTGTTTGTTTTTGTTTTTGAGATGGAGTCTCACTGTCGCCGGGCTTGAGTGCAGTGGTGTGATCTTGGTTCACTATAACCTCCACTTCCTGGGTTCAAGCGATTCTCCTTACTCAGCCTCCCGAATAGTTGCAATTACAGGTGCCCACCAGTGCGCCTGCCACCATGCCTGGCTAATTTTTGAATTTTTAAATTAAAGACGGGGTTTCGCCATGTTGGCCAGGCTGGTCTCGAACTCCTGACCTCAAGTGATCTGTTCATCTCAGCCTCCCAAAGTCCTGGGATTACAGGCGTGAGCCACTGTGCCTGGCCATTACATGTTAGCATATTGTACCAAACAGGGCTCCATTAGGAAAATAGAACCAGTAGAACATATATTAAGAGAGTTATTGCAAAGAATTGGCATATGCAGATGTGGAGTTGTCTGAAATCCATAGGGCAGGCTGTTGGAAAGGGCAGGCTAGAACTCTCAGGCAAGGGCCTAAGCTGTAGTCCATAGGTGGAATTTCATCTTTTTAAAGGAAGTCTCAGCTCTGCTGTTAAGGCTTTTCAAGTGATTGAATTAGCCCACCCAGATTATGTAGGATAATCTCTAGTACTTAAAGTCATCTGTTTATGGACATTAATGACATCTACAAAATCCTTTCATAACAATGCATAGATTAGTGTTTGATTGAATAACAGGAGACTGTGGACTAGCCAAGTTGACACAAAACTGACTGTCATATATTTTTTGTTTGTTTTTTGTTTTTTTTTTAAGAGACAGGGCCTCGCTCTGTCACCCAGGCTGGAGTGCAGTGACATGATCATAGTTCACTGTAACCTCCAGCTCCCGGACTTAAGAGAGCCTCCTGCCTCAGCCTCCTGAGTAGCTGGGACTACAGATGTGAGCCACTGCACCTGGACTTTACATGTATTTTTTATGGAAAATAAATACATTTTTGACTAAAAAAAGTGAAAAAAGAGTGGCGTTGTTTTATGTTTTTGCAAATCTCTTTAGTGTCTGACTTAATAGAAGACAGCCTGATTCTAATATCTGCTTCTGCATTCAGTCTGTTGCACTCTGTTGTTTTGGTTGAGATATGAAGATCTGGCCTTATACTGGTTATAGTTGGAAAGGGAGGAATATTTTAATAGTCTCTTCAGATAATTAAAGATATGCTTCTTTGATACTACACCAGGAATTGAGTAATAGTTGCTTAGAGGTTAGTTGTGATATAGAATCTGAAACCATATTATTGCATTTTTTCTACAGTTACATTAAAATCTATTCATCTGTCTTAGGCTCTTAATGGATATTTACCTATGCATGATTTTGTAATATTATGCATTTATCACTCAGAAAATATTGGTTCACTGTCTTATGGAGTTCTAAATGTTGACACATTTTATTACTCAATATAAAAAAATTTCATTAGTATCTCCACTGATCTGAACAAAAAGTATTTAAGTATTGGGATGCAGTCAAACTCATGGTAGCAGATGTAAGTTTTTTAGGAATCTGATTTTTCATTAAAAGCTTGAATTTTATCATTGGCAATAAATATTGCCACTTGTTTTTCTTGAAGTGTCGGGCTTACTTTGCTCATTTTGAGAAAACGTCTACCAAATACTTAAGTCAGAAAAACCATAACTTATCTATCAATCATTCTTTCAAGTAAAAATGGTCTCCCATGGAAAAAGTGACTTCTTAGTCTGAGAACCCAATTGTACAGATGTTTTTCCTTGAGACAATGGTTGTACTTCAGAATGTAGTAGAAGTGCTTCTATTTTGTCAAACAGAATATTAAAAATATGTCTGTGTTCTAATAAAACTCTATTGACAAAAACAGGCAATGGGCCATAGTGCACAGTTTGACAACCCCTGCTTTATTTAACTCCTTGAGCAAATGTAGAAGATTAATAATAGCCGTTTTGAGGTTTTTATCCATGAATGCCATCATATATATAATTTTTTAAATCTGTTTTTATTGACTGATTTTTCTCCTGGTAATGGATCTTTTCCTCTTCCTTTACTTGTCTGGTAATTTTTCAATTCGATGTTAAACATTGTAAATTTTACGTTGTTGGTGGGTGCTGGATTTTAACATATGTTTTTCAAGAGTGTTAGGTTTTGTTTTAAGGTACATTTTAGTATTAGTTTGATCCTTTTGCAGGTTGCTTTTCTATGTTGTTATGGAAAAATCCCAGGTACAGTCATGCTTCGCTTAACAATTGGGATATGTTCTGAGAAATGCATTGTTAGGCAATTTCATTGTTGTATGAACACCCTACAGTGTACTTACATGCACCTAGATGGTATAGCCTACTGCGCACCTAGACTATATGGTATAGCCTATTGCTTCTAGGCTATGAACCTGTACAGCATGTTACTGTATTGAATAGGCAATTACAACACAATGGTAAGTATTTGTGTATCTAAACAAAGGAAAGGTATTGTAAAAATATACTATATAAGCTTATGGGACCACTGTTGTATAAGTGATGCATCATTGACTGAAATGTCGTTATGCAGCACATGACTGTGGTTTTTTATTCTGAAACTTATTTAGCTTCACTACTAAGGTAAAATCCTTCTGAAAATTCTGCCCAATGCCCAGTGTATAATAAGGTCTCTTTATTCTTCACCTTGTGTAAACCCGAACTGTTCTCACCCTGTGTGGGCACTAGGAAGTGTTCAGTCTGATACTTTCTGGTGGTTCTTTCCTCAACCTCAAGTAGTTTCCCTTCACACATGTGCAGATTAGTTCTCAAGTGGCCCTCTCTGCAGATCTTTGCAGTGCTCACTCTGCACACCTGCTTCCTCTCTGGTACTCTGCCCCATAAGTTCTAGCCACCTTAGCTTTCCCAAACTCCGATCCCCATCTCCTCAACTCAGGTTGTCTACCAGGCTCTGTTTACTTTCCCTTTCTTGTGTTGCAGCCTGGAAACTGCCTCTGGAGCAAACTGAGGTGATTGTAAGCTCATTGTGTTTGTTTCCTTTCTCTCAAGGATTACAGTCTCAAGCTTTCTATTGTTCAGTACCTGAAAACTCTTATTTCATGTATTCTGTCTGATTTTCTACTTATTATTTTAGTGCAATTCATGTACCAGTTAATCCTTTGTGGGCTAAAGTGGAAATCCCTTCTTTCATTCTCTCTTGAGTTCACTCTATCCAGGCTTAAGTTTCCAGCTCTATAATGCAACTGATTTAAAAAATTTTATCCAACCCAATAGCAGCATTCGAAAGAGTTGATCACTCACTTTTTCTTGAAAAGCTCTCTTCCCTTGACTTTTTATTTTTTTAGACAGGTTCTCACCTAACTCTGTCACCCAGGCTGGAGTACAGTGGTGCTATCATGGTTCACTGCAGCTTTGACCCCTCAGACTCAAGCAATCCTCTCACCTCAGCCTCTCGAGTAGCTGGGACCACAGGCATATGCCACCATGCCCAGCTAATTTTTTAATTTTTAGTACAGATAAGGTTTTGGTATGTTGCCCTGGTTGGTCTTAAACTTCTGGGCTCAAGAGATCCTCCTGCCTTGGCCTCCTAAAGTGTTGGGATTATAGGCATGAGCCACCATGCCCAGCCCACTTGGCTTCTTGGAACTATTCTCTCTTCTTTTACACCTACCTTCTTGGTCACCTCCTCCTCTCAGTCCCTTTTGCTGGATCCTCCTCATCATTTTAACTTCTAGGCTTTGGGGAATCCCAGAACTCAGTCCTAGGACCTTTTCTCTTCTATATCTGTACTCAATCCCTAATATCATCTGGTCTTATGATCTTTAAAATCTTTTATAGGCTGTAACTCCTATTGATATCTGAATTCTGAGCTTTCCCATGAACTTCAGATTCATATTCATTTGCGTAATGACATGGAACTTGGATAGGTTTACATACATGGATTTCCTGATATGTCCAAAACTGCATTTTTGTTTCCCCCATGAAGGAAATAAAACATGCAAATAACACCAATAACCAAAACCTTTATGTGAATCTTGTCTTTTCTGCTTCAATAAAGTTGTGATTCCATTCTTCTAGACACTCACCCAATTAGTCAAGAAATTCTTTCTTTTTTTTTTTGAGACGGAGCCTCACTCTGTTGCCTAGGCTGAGTGCAGTGGCGTGATCTTGGCTCACTGCAACCTCCATCTCCCAGATTCAAGCGATTCTCTTGCTTCAGCCTCCCGAGTAGCTGGGATTACAGGCGCCCGTCACCACACCTGGCTAATTTTTGTATTTTTAGTAGAGACGGGGTTTTGCCATGTTGGCCAGGCTGGTCTTGAACTCCTGACCTCAGGTGATCCGCCTGCCTTGGCCTCCCAGGGTGCTGGGATTGCAGGCGTGAGCCACCGTGCCCGGCCAAGAAATTCTTTCAGCTCCTCTTTTGAACTATATCTTGAGTCTAGTTACTTCTCATCACTTGACCTGTTACTTCCCTGGGTGAGGTCACTACCAGCTCTTAACTGGTCACTACCAGCTCTTATCTGTGCTAGCTGATCTCCTTGCTTTCATTCTTGCCCAAGCCTCTTCTCCATTGGGCAGTTAGAGCAGTCCTTTTAAAAAAAGAAGTCAGATCATGTTGTTCCTGCTTCTAGGCTTCCTATTTTGCTAAATAAAAGCTAAAAAAAAAAAATACCACTTTAGCAAAAAAAAAAAAAACAAAAACCACAGACCTAAAGGTCTTATGTGATCTTGGCCTTGGCTAGCTCTTTGTTTTCTTTTATTCTCCCTCTTACTCTCTGTGTTCCAGATACTTTAGTCTCTTTGTTGTTTCTCAGACACACCAGGCATCTTTCCACATGTAAGCTTTTGCACTTGTTATAATTCTCTATTCTTGTGTGCTGTTTCACTGGGTATCCACATGGTTCATTTTCTTATCTCTTTTAAGCTTTTGCTCAAATGTCACCTTATTAATAAGGCTTTGTCAGTTCACCTGACATAAAATATAAAATAGCGCTAGCCCCACCTGTCACATTCTATTCTCTCATCCTGCTTCATTTTCCTCTACAGCCTTATTACCTCATATATAATATATATTTATTTGTTTGTCTTCCTCAGTAGAATTTAAACCCTATGAGGTAAGGGCTTTTCTTTTTCTTTTGGTAGTGGTGGTTGTTCATTGCCATATTCTCAGCACCCAGAACAGTGCCTGGCATATAGTAGGTCCTCAATAAATATTTGTTGAATGAATGGATCTTAGTGCTCATTTTGAAAAGAATGCTTTTTATAAACAGATATCCACTAGATGGCATTATTTTCAAACTTTATGTAATTAATGTCTGGGAGCAAATGATAGGTTATTTTCTGTTTTTTGCCCTAAACAAAAAAGATCTTTGCAATGAAGATTGTCACAAGAAGTTACTAGGATGAATGTGAGGCATGTCGAATATTGCATTTATATTTGGTTTTTGATTTATATATTTTTAGATGTTTATTATAAAATAAAAAACATTTAGAGAAACAAAATTACAGCATATTGGTGTGTAAATGATCCATTTAATACAGTTATTTAGCATGGTAACTGTGAACAAAGGTTGTTCATGTCTATCCATTGACCACCATTCCTTTTGTGAGGCCTTCAGCAATGGCAAAGCAGCAGTAAGTTCCAGAGCCTTTCATTACTGAAGCCACTAGTGGAAATCCAGAAAATTGTCAGCTGTTCAGTTCTTGTTGCTAATGAGCTAGGTACTCTCAATCTGGTTCCTAATCAACTGGGCATTCAAATTTTGAAAAATTTCCATGTTTCTAGAAGATGTTGCCAGACCTATCCTGTTAAAAACTGGTAGGTTCTAAGTGCCAGAGATTTTTAGCTGACTTCTCTGACCAGCACTAAACTCAGCAAATAGTTTCCCTAATCAAAAATTTACACTTTTCCCCCAAACCCTCAGGATTTGGCTGCTCTGCCTGTGCCAATGCCATCTCATTTCTTGATTTCCTCCCTTACCTCATTTCCTTCTTCCATTTCAATCCCTGTGCCTCTCTTAAGCTCTTTTCCTGGATGGTTATTTGATCCATTTTATTCTCACTCTTCACACCTCTTTTGGTACTATTCCTTATTCATGAAGTATTTTTTCCTCTTCCTGTTCAACTTAGCTATGTATATTTTTCTTTTCAAATTGTTCAAAAATACACTTAAAAACAGTTGTTGAAGTTCTCTCTTCTCTTTTCCTGTTTTGGGCTTTTCTCTTTTATTTCTGATCATAGCAAATGTAAGGACTTGTTTTGGTTATGTTTTTAAAGTTCCCAGCTTCTTCTCAGAACTCTAACTATTTAGAAATGAAAACACTGTTCTTTTGTACTTTTGAGTCTCTAAATGGAAAACAAAATATAGGATGCTTTTTGAGTTTACAGCCTCTCCTCCCAGTTCCCCTGGGATGGCTAAGTACTAGGGCTGATAAAATGTCATTTCATTTAAAATGAAATGTGATGGTTAAACTCAAAACATTTAAAATGAAATGAGATGGTTAAACTCAAAGACTTATATTTTTAACATTTTTAACCATAAATATGAGAAATTTCTAGTAATGCTTTCCATATCTTATAATATGAATGATGGCATTTTAACTTGTCACTCTCTTGTGTTTGGCCTACTGCATGTATTAAACTGGCTTTGAGGCCAGAATTCAGTGTTTAGAAAATCATGTTTTGTTTACTAAGAAAGTATTGGAACATTAATTTATTTGGGCCATAATTTAAAGGAATTATTGCATAGCATTAATTTGCATGAATTGTTTCAATTGAGAAAGTGTATTTTTCTGGAATGAGACATGAAGACTTACTGATATCTATTATAATACAATATACCATATTTGTTCAAATATACTTATTTCATTCAAGAAAATGAAAGCATTCTTATTTAGTAAACATATCTTATAGCTGCTACTCTAAATATCACTTACAAAAAACATATTTAATCCCAGAAAGATAAATCTCAAGAGACATTGTTGTTTGCTCAAGATTAGATGAGATCCAACAGCCCTTGCTGGTTGCATGCTCTGACTGCTAACCTCTGTTAGTGCTTACAAAAGAGAGCTTAATTCTAAATCTGTATATTAAGCCATTTTGCTTATACCTGCTCTATTGATAAGGCTTAGGAGTTTCTCAAGTAAAATTAATTAGAGATTCAGCAATGTGGCTTTAAGTAGAATTGACTGTTTTCGTTTGTGCTATTTTTTTCACCCACAGACTGGTTGAAATAGCAGAATCCCGTTTTCCCAGATATTTTAACACTGAAGAAAAGTTACTTTTGACAAGTAGTAAAGTTCATCTTTATCGGGAACTCACCTGTGATGAAGTTCTACAAAGGTATGCTGCTTTAGATTTTGATTTTTTAGTAATGCGTTGAAGGTTTATGTTTTATCTTTTATGTTTCAGCTTCTAAGTGAAAAAAGTCTTTATAGGTTAGAATTATGTGGAGTAACTTTTTCAGTGTTCTTCTTTGTTATAGCCTTTTGGTTGAAGTCTTTCTTGAAAAACAAAAAAAATTAAATGAATAAAATGTTCTGTATTTAATTAATTAAGTGGTGTATTATTTATCTATTGTTTCATTAACAAATTGTCTCACAGTTTAGTAGCTTAAAACAGCAAATACATATTATTTCACATAGTTTCTGAGGGTTAAGTGTCTGGGAGTAGCTTAGCTGGGTGTTTCTGGCTCAATGTCGCTCAAGAGGTTATAGTCAAGCTGGTGGCCAGGGCTGCAGTTATCTTAAGGCTTGACTGGAGCTGGAGTACCTGCTTCCAAGCTCCCTAATATAGTTGTTGGAAGCCCTCTGTTTCTTGCTGGCAGTGGGCAAGAGACCTTTGTTCCTTACCGTCTGGGCCTCTCCATAAATCACAACATAGCAAGTTGCTTTCCTCAGAGTAAGTGACCTGAGAGACTGGGCAAGTGAAAGAGTACCCAAGATGGAAGCTGTAGTCTTTTATAACCCACACTCAGAAATAAGGTACCATGATCTTGTCATATGCTTGTGGTCATACAGATCAAGTCTGGCACACTGTGGGAGGGACCTATACAAGGATGCAAAATACCAAGAGGAGGGAGTAAGTGTGGGCCATTTTGCAGACTGGCTACCACAAGTAGTTTTACCCCAGAATTGGAGCGTTAACATTATCTTAGGAGAATCAAGGAATTCTGAAACTACACAGAAACAGTTTGCTCTGTTTCCAGAAAAGTATGATATGTCTACAAGTTAGGTTTACTGAATTCTTGCAAATCATTACTGTAACTTAGGAAAGAATAGTTTATTGTTTTTAAGTTGCTTAGCCTTTGCAATACCTTTATTTATTTATTTTATCTTAAATTTATTGACTATTTTATAAATTCTTCTTTTATAGGATTGAATCTTTGGAAGAAGAAATTATCTCAAAAGGAATTAAACTTGTGATTCTTGACTCTGTTGCTTCTGTGGTCAGAAAGGAGTTTGATGCACAACTTCAAGGCAATCTCAAAGAAAGAAACAAGTTCTTGGCAAGAGAGGCATCCTCCTTGAAGTATTTGGCTGAGGAGTTTTCAATCCCAGTAAGTTTTTCTTTTTTTCTCTTTTTTCTTTTCCTTTCTTTTGTTTCTTTTATATTACATTCACTGACTTATGGTATCAAATAATAAAATTAGAGGAAAATGTAAAACAGATGACTTTTTAAAGGTAGTACAGTCTAATTGCTATAGCAAACATCGCCATCATCTTAAATTAGCTCATCTGCTGAGATTATTTTATTATTTTAATAATTTGAGTCTGGAGTAGATTTAAACGATGTTTTTAAAAGTTCCTATAGTCCCTCCTTTTCTTCCTTCTCATTGTTTACTCTTTGTGTGTGCTTTGTATCACATTTCTCACACTGCAGTAAATATAAAGTAGTAAAACTTCATGAAATTGCCTAGATCTATTTCTATATAATTAAAAAAAATACTGCAGTTGTTGTTAGTTTTGTTTTAAGTATTTTAGGTTTAGATACTGTGTTATTGTGTTCAGCGCTGTTTTGTGTACAATAGGATTTGGTTTGCTTCAAATGGTCAGAGGTCAACCATTAAGAGATGTTGGAATGATAGTAATGAAAGTGTCAGTAAGAAAACCTTGAAAGATTATTTGTGGCATGGCTTTTTGTAGCGGGCATTGTGATCAGAAATCTGAAGATGACAGGCTATTACAAGGGCTTGTGATGTGTAACCTGCAAGACGTAAGTGTGTACTAAGTTACACTCCCATCTGCAGTGTGTCAGGGAGTTTTAGTCGTTGTTCCACAGCCTCATCAACATTCAGGCTTCTCAATTTTAGTCATGCTTCATCTCAAGAAAAGATAGTTCCTTAAACTGAGATAAAATTTGGTTATGATTTTATAATTTTTAGATTTGTTTTTGGAAAATTAAAATCTTGGATCTTTGCAACATAAAGAATATGTATAAATAATATAAACTATCACACAGCCTTTGAGGTTTATAAAACCAAGGAAGAAGTCAAGGGAGAAAATATGACATTCAAAAAGTTCTGCATACTTTAATGGCTTTTTAGTTTATATTTTGAATTAAAGTCAAGTGCTGTTAAGTTTGTCTTGGGTGATGTTCATCTTTTACATTTTATTGTAGTTGGTTAAAATGATAAATTCAAATTTATATTTTTCCTGATCAAGGAGAATAAGGGAACTTTGAAATACTGTATAAAGATACTTGATTGAATAGAAAGTTATGTATATAGTTGGCCCTCTGTATCTGTGGGTTCTGCATCCATGGATTCAACCAACTAAAGATAGGAGATATTTGAAAAAGCAATGGGTGTGGTAGTGTGCCCCTGCAGTCTCAGCTACTCAAGAGGCTGAGGTGGGAGGATCACTTAGGCGCAGGAGGTTGAGGTTGCATTGAGCCATGTTCATGTCACTGCACTTCAGCCTGGGAGACAGAGTGAGACCCTCTCTCTAAAAATATATATATATATTTGAAAGAAAAGAAAAGGATAGTTGTCTTTGTACTGAACATGTACAGACTTTTTTCTTGTCATGATTCCCTATAGTTAAGCAGAGATTTACATAGCATGTACATTGTATTGGGTATTATAAGTAATGTAAAGTTGATTTAAAGTATACCAGAGAATGTACATAGATTATGTGCAAACACTGCACCATTTTATATGAGGGACTTGAGCATCCGTGGATTATGGTATCTGCAGAGGAGTCCTGGAACCAATCCCCCATGGATACAGGGGGATGACTATATATTCTTATTTTATTATTAATTCATACTGTTGCTTGACTTAATTCCGTGCAAAATAAAATTCACTTTTTAAATGTTGTGTTTGTTTGCTTTTAAGTAGTAACTGTAGGCTAATGCTTTTCAGTTTTTCCTAAGGTGATTTATTTTCCCAAGTGAGAAAGGGGCACTGCTTTTCTTTGTTTTTAATAGAACCCTCTGAAAAAATAGGTACTGAATATCCCATTTCTATGCCTTTGGCTTTGTTTCTCTATTTAGAAATAAATGCAGATTATACTATGTACTTATATAACTGTGATATCTGTTTTTTGTGACAATTAAGATTGTAAGATTGGTTTTAAAAGGATTTTGAAAAATATTTCCTTTAGAAAATGTTGGAATTTTCCTAGCTAAATTGATACATTTAAATGGAAAATCTCTCACACAGGTCCGAGATTTAATTAAAAAAAAAAAAAGGAAATCATGAACTTTTACACATTTATACTGTACTTTGAACAGGCACCATAGTACTGTTCAAATTAATTATGTCAATTTAATATGTTATATATGATAATTTGCTAAATTAAATTATTGCTTGCTATATATATAAGCTTACCTCACAGATTGTCTTGAAATATGTATATAAATATAAATATATAAAAATAAAAAATATATATAATAAAAATATATAAATATATAAAATGTGATTATTCAGCTTTTCCCCCCCTTTCTCTATTTGAACTAGTACTAGAAAACCTCGTCTTTTGGGAAGGGTGACATCATTTGGCCCTTATGTGCGCATGAATGCATTTAAGTTTTAAGTATGCTGTTGCTTTTTTCTACGTTAGTCCCTGAGAATTAAAGAGGAATTAATCGATATCACTTGATTGAAAACAGATGTATTAATATCTTTCAGAAGTTTTCAATTATAAGATGGCTTTACTAATATTTTGAGGCTATCACTGAAATGAAAACATAAAATTAAAAAATTTTCACAGAGAATTTTATAGACCTTTGAGTATGTTCAGACTGCAGTTTTGAGAAACAGTTGTAGAAGTCTGGTAGAATCTTTTCTCCTGAAGTTTATGGAGGAGGTGTAAGTGATACTCTGCCATTGGGATGGAAGATGCGGAACCTTTGTCTTTTTAAAGTGTTCACACTAGTATTGAAAAAACAGTAGGCTCTGAAGCTGTTTAGAGATACTGGATAAAAGTAACCGAAAAAAATTTAAATACTGCTTTATAAAATAAATTGTGGTTATGGCTATTTATGTTGACTTTATCATTGACTTCTAATTACCACGTACAGAATAGTTATTATACGTATTGTAAATTATGTATCAGATTAAAATAATAGGATGTTTTTGCCAGAAAGGACCTTAAAGAAAATTTAGTTTGGCCCCTTCATTTTACAGATGACAATGAATCCGAAAAGTGACCTGATTTGCTCCAGGACACTCAACATAGGAAAGGACAAACAGTGGGTAGAATGAGAGATCTTTTAGCTGCCAGTTTGGGGATTTTTTTTTTTCCACAGCAGAATTTTCTTTTTTTCTGAGACATACAGAATTACGGTGGACTGTAAACTTCTTTTTATTTATTTATTATTATTATTATACTTTAAGTTTTAGGGTACATGTGCACAATGTGCAGGTTAGTTACATATGTATACATGTGCCATGCTGGTGCGCTGCACCCACTAACTCGTCATCTAGCATTAGGTATATCTCCCAGTGCTATCCCTCCCCCCTCCCCCCACCCCACAACAGTCCCCAGAGTGTAAACTTCTTAATGACAGGATTATATTTTCTGTTTCTCTGATTTCCAGGACCTAGCACTGTGGATAACTAATATTTAGGAGGTAACAGCTAATGAAAGTACAATTAAGGTTTATGAAAATAGTCTTACCATATGTATGTCATATTTACATTCATTGGAATATTTTTCTTTATCTTTTAAAACATAATTTGAATTTTTTTATGCTTGCTGCTGAAATTCTTATGTTTTTGTTTTTAAATTGACCTTTGTAGTATGCCATCTTAGTTGTATTCTTTTTATTTATTTTCCATTCCAGAGTTTTATAAGTTGTTGGAATAAAAGAAAATGAAAATGCATTGCTTAGATAACAGGACTTTCACCTTTTGAAAATTCTTTGGAAATGCTTTTTACTGGTATTTCCAAGGTCTACATTTTTACTTTTTCAGAGAATTCAACAAATCAATTTCAGTTGTTATATGAATAATATTGAACTTTTTTGTCTCCCCTTAATCTTCTTCTACTTCCTTCATTTCTTGATATTGTACAAATGTTTTCTGGTGTAAGGGGAGGAGTACCAGTTAACACTATTTACAAAAGAGGTTTATGGAGATAAATTTGGATATATTATTAAATATTCTAAGAGGGAAATGCCTTATTTTCATTGAAAGTTGTTGTTAAAATCCAAATTATTTTACTAAGATGTGCTTATAATCCGTTTTTCTGTGGCCATCTGTGTTCTTGATTACATGCCTTTTGAGAATATCCATTGCTCTAATTTATTGCTTATCAAGGTTTTTGGAATATTAGTGATTATTTTTATGTTTAAAGCTGCTTAGACAAATGAATCAAAATATGTGCATTTTAAATTTTGCTATTTTAAAGACAGTTTTAAATCATTAACAAATGGAAAGAATTTGTTCTGGTTTTAAAGTGGACATATAACAAGGTTAAATTTTTTATTATTATTTGAGACAAGCACAAATTTTTTTTTCCTCTTTTTAATGGTGAACTTCATGTGGGCCTGGATTTATTTATTTATTTATTTATTTTACACCATGAGCTGTTCCATTATGCCAAGTGGGTTTAATTTATGCAGGATTATACCTTGTCTTAGATACTAATAAATATTCAAAATAGAAAAATAAGAAACTAGGCCACTTCATTTAAAATAATTAAGGTTTTATTAATTATAAATTGGGAATATTGTGTTTATAACTGGTGAGATAAGAGGAAAAAGAATGTATGTACCCAAATTCGACATTTATTTTTATCTTAAACATAAATATTCAGAACTGTCACTTTTGTGAAAGCCTGATGAAGTCACTCTGATTGTAAAGTAGGAATCCTAGACCCTTGATGTAGACATAGATATGCCATTAAAACTGCAGTCCTGTTTTGCTGTGTGTAACATTGTTGTATCACTTTTCTAGAAATGTAATTTTTGGTTTACTCTTATTACTTTCATATTTTTACTGAAAACAAGCACCACAGGACTTCTGAGGTAAGAAAAGTCCTTTACAGGATTTTTCTTTTCCATAAATGCTTACTGTTGGCTCACTCACATTTGAAATCAGATTGTTCTTAAACCTATCCTATGTTCATTCAGGTCCCTGAAACTCACAGTCTAGACTAAACCTTTATCAGTTAGTGAAAATAATTCTAGAAAAAGTGTATCTTTCTTTTATGTAGCTCTTTATGACTTCTGAAACTTTGTTTTTATTGTTTCTAGCAAAAACCTAGAAACAACTTAAAAGTTAGTAAGTAGGTGATTGGCTAAATTAATGTTGACATATCCATACAATATTATATTGTGCCACTGTTACAATGAATGGTTTAGCCCAGAAATGGATTCATAGGTTATGCAGGCAAGGGTTAATTCAGCTAGCATGGGTTACTCATATCCAGCCATTCCCAAAAAAGGCCTCTTTTCAGGACTGCCCTTGCCTGGCTCCTGGGAGATGAGTGCTGGGCCCTGGGAATACTCTGCCTAGTAAGGGTGTTATATGCCTGAGGACTTGAGCCACAGGTACTGGTTTGATCAGATTGTTTATGCAAACAGTGTGATTTATGGTGAAGCCTATTTTTCTCTGGGGATCTGGGGACTACAATCTAAATAGCTGAGGTCATCTGCATGCAGGCATTGCATGCCTAGTGACTGACCCTCAATAGAAATGCTGGACATTAAGGCTTGAGTGAACTTTCCTGGTTGACATTACTTTGCATGTGTTGTCACACATTGTTGCTAGGACAATTAAGCACATGCATGCGACTCCACTGGGAGAGGACACCTGGAATCTTGCACCTGGTTTCTCCTGGACTTTGCTTATGCTCCTTTTCTGTTTGCTCATTTTGATCTGTATCCTTTTTCTGTAATAAGCCATAACTGTGAATATAACAGCTTTTGAGTCCTGTGAGTCCTTCTAGTAAATCATTGAGCCAGAAGGTAATCATGGGGAACCTTGACATGCAGGGGTGCTAATAGATATGTACAAGAGTATCTATGGCAGCTTAATTTGTAATTGCTCAAAACTGGCAAGATGTATTGTAGTTAATAGTATTGGCATCAGTCTTAATACATTGGCTTTGATAATTATGGTTTGTAAGATGGTGATATTAGGAGAAGCTGGGTGAAGGGCATTTGGGAACTCTACCCTTTCTGCAACTTTTTGGTAAATCTAAAATTGTTTCAAAATAAAAAGTTAAAAAAAGAAAAGGAGGTCAGGTGTGCTGGATCACACCTGAAATCCCAGCATTTGGGAAGCTAAGGCAGGAGGATCACTTGGCCAGGAGCTAGAGACCAGACTGTGCAACATAGCAAGACCTCATCTTCTCACACACACAGACACAGACACACACACACACACACACACACACACACACACACACACACAAAAAAAAACAATTAGCTGGGTGTGGTGCTACACACCTGTAGTCACAGCTACTTGGGAGGCTGGGGCGGGAGGATGGCTTGAACCCAGGAGTTCAAGGCTGCAATGAGCTATGAACATGCCACTGCATTCCAGCCTGGGCGACAGAGCAAGACCCTGTCTCAAAATAAATAAATAAATAGAAATAAATAAATAAATGAAAAGGAGAGTAGGGCGGGTTTTATGAGTAGAAGTTGGCTCTGGGTAGTCATAAAGAAATGGCACTGGCTGTATTTGGAGAAGGGGACTTGATTTTGATGCACTGGTTCTCTTCTATTTAGTCATCTGGTCCCATACATATTATCTAATACCTCTTCAATTTAAACCCTGCTCTTCATCTTTCAGCACATCCTCTTGGCTCCGCTTTCGAAATACATTCAGTATCTGATTACTTTCTACCACCTTCATTGCCATCATCTTGGTTCCTGGAGGCTAAAAGTACTGGCTTTGGAGTTAGACGTTGGTTTGAATCTTAGCTCCACTATTTGCTAATTTTATGACCTTGAATAAGTATTTATCCCAGCTCTAACCTTTCGTTTCCATGTTTGAAAAATGAGGATAACAATATCTGACTCATAGGGCTGTGAGTATTAAATGAGATAATGTCTGTAATGTTCTTCACAATGTTTGGCATATTCAGTAAAAAGTAGCCTTTAATTATTAATTTTACTAGTTACCTCGTTCCAGATGCCTGGTGTATTTTATCTCTTTCCTCCTAAAATATTTTTTAACAAGGCTGCAAGTGCCTCAGAAGGAAGAATCATGTCTTATTCACTATTGTATCCCCCTCTGTCTGTCTTACTGGTGGATGCTGTTACTGCCTGAACCCTCCTTTATCTGGTTAACTTACACTTATTTTTTGGATCTCAGACTCTTTTTGTCTTTCCTTTTCGATTCCACCTACAGCACTTGTGTCCAAAACTCCATGCTAGGAACAATGGGATAATAAAGATGAATAAAACATAGTATTTGCCCTTAAGGCTTCTACAAATAAGGTAATTGTAGAGGCAAATCGCTCTCTGTGATATAATGGAGAATAAAATAAGTATCTTGTCTACTGTTCCTTTCCTGTTTCTTAAAATATGTAAGTAGCTTGTAAGTAACTTCTCTGTCTGTCCTTTGTTTGGGACTATAGATTACACAGAGGGAATTAAAGGGAGGTAGTAGAGACCTTCATAGTCTCTCGGGTAAACCCTTTATCATGTCTAGCTTTGGTCCTTAAATGTCCCATTCTTTTTTTCTTTTTATTTTTTGAGACAAGGTCTCTCTCTTTCCCAGGCAGGAGTGCAATGGCGTGGTCATAGCTTACTGCAGCTATGCCGAGTTCTAGTGATCCTCCTGCCTCAACCTCCCAAATATCTGGGACTAGAGGCATGTACCACCATGCCTAGCTAATTTTTTTGATTTTTAGTAGAGACAGGTCTTGCTATGTTGCCCAGGCTGGTCTTGAACTCCTGGGCTGAAGCAGTCTGCCCACTGTGGCCTCCTAAAGTTCTAGGATTATAGGCATGAGCCACTGTGCCTGGCCAGGGTTCCATTCTTATTTAGAAAGTCAGTGCTCTTTTGGAGACTGATAGGTAGTGGTTAAATTCATAAAGCACATGCATAATTCTAAAGTTGTATGCTAAGAAAACATTGGAAATGAAGGCCAGTTGTAGCTCTTAGTCTTTAGCGTTACTTTACGTATGTTACACAGTACCTTGATTTGTTGTAGAATTTTCTAACTGAAGATCTTAAGGTTGTAGCTGAGTGGCAATCTTGTTTTCCAGTGAGTACAGGGATGCAGAGAATGAGGTGATTTATGTAAGATTGCTTAAGGAGTCATTTGGATAATTGAATAATATCACTTGCCGCTTCCATCCTGGGTTGTTATTGTAGTATCTTAATGGGTCTGCTTCTCTCTTTTCTGTATCGGTAATAGTACATATGGGTACATACCATTGCTACATCATTTTCCCAAAGTGTATTTCTGATCACATCCCTCCTATGCTCAGAAGCATTGTATGGTACCATGATGCTTATAGAATTAAGCCACTAGACTATAAGCAGTATGGGGGCAGAGAAACTATTTGTTTTGTCCACAGTTGTATCCTTTGAAGCTAGGACAATGTATGGCACATAATATATGCTCTAATTAATATTTATTGAATGATTAAGTCTTAGTTTAGGATATGATATAATATTTAAAGTTCTCTTCCTTCTGGCTCCAACCTACTCCTCCCATGTTGTCATTTCTCTTCTGTGCAGGCTGCTGGTATACTACCCCGAGACCTCTCTATGGCTTTTTAGCTGTGGATGTCCTCTTCTTTCATCTCTTCCTTTCTAAATTTTTTTCTTTCCTATCTGAGCTCTCAAGTTCTGTCTCTCCTCTGAGATTTTTGTATCACTGTTTTAGCCCCAGTTAATTCTACCTTCTTTTGTAGTACACATGGTCTTAACTTCTAATTGGAACTTTAATTATGTATTTGCCTTGCAGTGTCACTTAAATATTTGCATGTATATATCTGAGCTCCTCAGTTATATTATAAAGCCCCCTGAAAACAGAATTATGTTCTTATGCATCCTCCATAGCTGCCTATATTGAATAGTGTCATATATTGAGTAGGTGTCCAATATATATTTGTAGAATGATGTATCACACTTTTTCTAGTTAGGCAATTTTTGAAATGCATGTCTAATTAGATGCCTACTTCAATTCTTACACTACTTAAAGGGAAAACATTCTAACATTCATTCTAAAAATTGAAAAGATACTGGGAAACTAAAACTTAAGTGTCTCCCCTGCACCCCTTTAAAACTGAATGTAGAAGATTTGTTGATAATTTGACAGCTCTGTACCTTTAATTTAGTATGATGCATGAACTTCTGTGAGACATCAACCAAGATTTTATACGAAGAGCTGTGATCATCAAGGTGGGAATTTAACATCAGTGCTCTGTACACATAGTATTACTGTAATGCCTTCTTTAGAAGTTTAACAACGTCAGGTGATATTCTATGTTATGATTTTTAACTTATCAAAGGAAAGCATTGTAGAGAAATTAGATCATCTCTTGAATAGAATCTGATAACTGCTCACTGTTTAATTAAATTCAAATAAACAGTTTGAAATAGAATATTGGCTGTATGAGAGTTTGGTCAAAGGATATTTTCTTGAGTTTTTCAAAGACAAAATTTGTTTTTTTGGTTGATATTTTTACATATCCTTTGCGTTTCTTGAATGTAGTTCACTTAGTTAATACAGTACAGTTAATACAGTTACCTTCCAAGTAAAGCTGGAGGGAAAATACTTTCTGATAAGAAAATATATTTCAAATAATAAAACAGTATGATACTAGCATAAAACAGATATATAGACCAATGGAACAGAATAGAGAGCCCAGAAATAAACCTGCGCATGTGTGGTCAATTGATCTTTGACACAGGTATCAAGAATACACAAGGGGGAAAGGACAGCCTCTTCAATAAACGGTGTCAGGAAAACTCGATATTCACATGCACAAGAATGAGATTGGGCCCTTATTTTATACCATACACAAAAAATAAATTCAAATGGACTAAAGACTTAAACATAAGACCTAAAAACTAAAAACTCTTAGAAGAGAACATAGAGGAAAAGCTTTGTGACAGCAGCCTTGGCAATGATTTATTGGATATGACAACAAATGCACAGGTAACAAAAGCAAAAATAGACAAATGGAACTATGCCAAACTTAAAAGCTTCTGCATAGCAAAGGAAATAAGAAAAGGAACAAACAACTCACGAAATAGGAGAAAATATTTGGAAACCACAAATCTGATGATAAAGGGTTAATATCCAAAATATATAAATAACTCCAAAACTCAATAGTAAAACAAGAACAAGCAAGCAAACAAGAGACAATACAATTAAAAAATGGGCAAAAGAACTGAATAGAAATTTCTCAAAAGAAGACATACATATGGTTCACAGGTATAAGATTCACAAAGTTACTAATCATAAGGGAAATGGAAATCAAAACCACAATAAGATAACACTCACATCGCTTAATACGGTTATTATTTAAAAACCCACAAAAGATAGTAGGAGTGGGCAGGATGTGAAGAAAAGAGAACCCTTGTTCACTTTTTTTTTTTTTTTGAGATGGAGTTTCGCTCTTGCTACCCAGTCTGGAGTGCAATGGCGCCATCTCAGCTCACTGCAACCTCTGCCTCCTGGGTTCAAGTGATTTTCCTGTCTCAGTCTCCCAAGTACCTGGGATTACAGGCATGTGCCACCACGCCCAGCTAATTTTTTTGTATTTTTAGTAGAGATGAGGTTTCACCATGTTGGTCAGGCTGATCTCGAACTCCTGACCTCAGGTGATCCATCCACCTCAGCCTCCCAAAGTGCTGGGATTATAGGCATGAGCCACCATGCCTGGTCCCTTGTTCACTTTTGGTGGGAATGTAAATTGGTGTAGCTACCTGCTATGGAAAACAGTTTGGAGGTTTCTCAAAACATTAAAGATAGGACTACCATATGATCCAGCAGTCTTATTTCTGGCCATATATCCAAAGGAATTAAAATCAGGATCTCAAGTAAATATCTGAATTCCTATGTTCATTGTAGGATTATTCCCAATAGCTAAGTCATGGAAGCAATCTAAATGTCCATCCATGGATGAATGGAAAAAGAAAATGTCATATACACACACAATGATATATTATTTAGCCTTAAATAAAAAAGAAGGAAATACTACTATCTGTGACAACATGGATGAACCTGGAAGACATTACGCTAAATGAGATAAGCCAGACAGAGAAGAACAAAGAATACATGATCCCACTTTTACTAGTATATGGAATCTAAAATAGTCAAACTCATAGAGCAAAGAGTAGAATGGTGATTGCCAGGGGCTGAGAGGAGGAGGAAACAGGGAGGTATTGGTGAAAGGGTAAAAGTTTTAGTTACACAAGATGATAAGTCCTGGAGACACAGTGCCTATAGTGAACAGTAATGTATACTTAAGCATTTGTTGAAAGGTAGATCTTACATTGTGTTCTTATCCCATACACTGTATAAATAAAGAGCACAGGTGGAAACTTTTAGAAGTAATGGATGTGTTTATGGCATTGACCGTAGTGATGGTTTCACAGTGTACATTCTCCAAGTTGTATGCATTAAACATACACAGTTTTGTATATGTCAAACAAATAAAAAGCCAGAAAACAACTTTAATTTTCCTAGTTAGAATGTTTTCCCTTTATTGAATATAAGAATTCAAGAGGCACTTAATTAACTTTGTAAGATTAAAAATATTTCCCAAACATTTAAGAATCTATGTAAAACATAACAGCTGTGGTTTAAAGGTTTTATTATCTTCCAATACAAGTAACAAAATGTAAATTAGAGGATATTAAAAATTATGTATTTTTCACTTGAACATTGTTTCCTACCCCTTTTTTGACTTCTGTTTATCTTTGATATTGAAAGATAAATATTCTTGTTGATTTTACATCTCTATTAATTTAGATTCTTTTTTTTCTTTTTTTGAGTCAGAGTTTTGCTCTGTTGCCCAGGCTGGAGTGCAGTGGCATGATCTTGGCTCACTGCAACCTCCGCCTCCCGGGCTCATGCTATTCTCCTGCCTCAGCCTCCCGAGTAGCTGGGACTATAGGCACCCGCCACCACGCCCGGCTAATTTTTTTTTTTTTATATTTTTAGTAGAGACGGGGTTTCACCATGTTAGCCAGGATGGTCTTGATCTCCTGACCTCGTGATCTGCCCACCTTGGCCTCCCAAAGTGCTGGGATTACAGGTGTGAGCCACCACACCCGGCCTAGATTATTTTAATGTTGACTCAGTTTCTGCTGGGAAATATCTTCT
Source organism: Homo sapiens (assembly GCF_000001405.40). Classification (NCBI taxonomy): domain Eukaryota; kingdom Metazoa; phylum Chordata; class Mammalia; order Primates; family Hominidae; genus Homo; species Homo sapiens. The sequence continues at coordinate 67,899,395 of NC_000014.9, forward strand.
TAAAAGTGAAACATTTGCATTAGATTATAGCTTTTTTAACCTTAAGGCTATTTTGATGGTTATAGGAGAGAAAAGTATGTATGGCTAGACAGAGAGCAATAGTTCTTTTTGTATTACCATTAATGGTTTGAACCTAAGCTCCTTTTAAAATTAAATTTTGATTATAAACATTTGGGCTTTGAAGTCCCTTTTAAGATCAGGGTCCTTATTTATTGTCTCAGAGTTTGTGTTAATTGTTTTACTGGAAAAAATAAGTAGTCATTGACATTGAAAAAATTTCTACAGGTTTGAAATGCTGTTAAGAAGAAATAGCTACATCTTATTGATAACTACTTTTTTTGTTTCGGGTTCTGTAGTGAGTACATTTTAAACATTTTCCATTTCATATTCTAAATAAGTTTGTGAGGTAGGTTATACTATTCCCTTTTTATAGTTGAAGAAATTGAGGCTTATAGAGGTTAAATAACTTTACCAGAGTCACTTGGCTAGTAAGTGGAAGGGCTTGAGTTTGAATCCAGATATGTGTGATTACAATGCATGTGTTCTTATTCATAATGGAACACTGCCTCCTAATGCAGTAGTCAAAATTATTCTATTCCCTTGCTGCTTATCATACTAAAAACTTTTCAATACTTATTGTTTCCTCTAAGCCTTTTTCAATGGAAAGTCTCTAATTTTGCTTTATGCTTTGATTGCTGCTTGTAAGTGTAACCACAGTGTTGCTTCTGTATTAGTGTTATCAGTATTTAAAGTAAGAGAAATATTTGATTATTTGCAGCTTTGATTGCTTTTTCACAAACATGCAAATCACACATGTAATGTTAAGAGTATAATTAATGCCTTTTATGTGCCAGTGAATATACTGAAGACTTGTAGGTTTTCTGAACAATATTCTCAGAATTGGCAAACTTGTAGCTTAAGTCTTGTAATAAGGATGCTGTCTTAGGAAAATAATTTCAAAATACTTGCACTTTAGACCTCTCTTGGGGAACACATGAAGTAAGGCTGCTTCCTAAGATTCTGCTTTGAGGTTTTATGAAGACACAATACATGCTGTTACTGGACAGAAGACATTTTAGTTTCATGACATTGCCAAATGTATCTCGTAAAATTCACTGTTCATGAATTTAATTAAAAGTTCTTAGGAGCTTAAAACTTAAAGTAGGTATTTTAGACTCATGACTCAAAGGATCTTCTTTCAGTTTGTGTGTGTGTGTGTGTGTGTGTGTGTCATACACACACACACACACACATAAATATATATATTTGAAGGAGTTACAGTTCTAAACTAAACTGGAATAAAGTAATGCCCATAGTTATTAAGTACTAAAGTACAGTATTTTAAAGAAATGTTGAAATTGTTATAATATGAAGTTTCTTAGTGCCCCTAGCTTACAGCCACTAAAGTTAGTTTTATATCTGATACCATATTGTAATGAATTTACTTTTTTGTTCTGTATGATCTTTAGCTTAGTTTACTGGGTTGCCCAATAACATGGGATTGACCTGCCTGCTAACCTTGTGTTGGAGTCTGCTTAGTCCCTAGTTCAGCTAGGTCCAAGTTTTTGTCTCATGACCAAGAAGAATAAGGCTTGCAGCCACTGGAGAGTAAATAGAGTAGAATTTATTAAGCGAAAGGAAAGCTCTTAGCAAAGAGAGGGGACCTGAAAGCAGGTTGCCAGAAATAGGACTGAGTTCTGGGTCTTTTATGTGGCAAGAGCAAGGAAGCCTTCTGTGGGTTCTGCCCAAAATGGGAGGGCTAAAGTTCCCTCCTAAGGATGTTGCATCTGTGCATGCCTGGGGTTGACTCCATCTTAGTTATTACCCGTGAGTGCCTAAGCGAAAGCCACAGGGGTACTAAAACCACAATGCGAATGTCATGTTAATGGCATTATAATGAGTTGGGCCAAGTTAAGGACATTTAGGTTGACTTATTGCGCCTGTGCCTAAGTTGGGATGGTCCCTTCTGAGCAACATCCTGGCATGAGGGTAAGTTCTTAATCATATTTCTTCTCATTAGCTACAGGGACAGTGCAGGTGCAGTCCTGTGGGTATTTTTCCACTCCGAAGACCCTCCCTCTCTATCTGCCTAAACTGCCTCCTCTGTCACTTGGAAATGGCAGTTTACTGTTGAACAATAGACCTCTCCTTATGCTTTTCTCTTCCAGTCTTTGGGAATCACACTCTGAAGATTAAACATTTCACTGAGACAGCATGACGCAGTAGAAGGTACCCAGAATCACAATACAGTTCACAGTAACAAAGATATGGAATCAACCAAAGTGGATGATTGGATGAGGAAAGTGTAGTATATATACACAATGGAATACTATTCAGCCATAAAAAGAATGAAATAATGTCTTTTGCAGCAACATGGATCAAACTGGAGGCCATTATCTTATGTGAAATAAGCTAGACACAAAAAGACAAATACCACATATAAGTGGGAGTGAAATAATGTGTACCCATGGATGTAGAGTGTGGAATGATAGACAGTGGAGACTGGGAAGGGTGGGAGGGGGTTGGATGATGAGAAATTACTTAATTGGTACAATGTATGTTATTCCAGTGATGGATACCTGGAAAGTCCTGACTTCATCACTATGCAATATATCCATGTAACAAAATTACACTGTATCCCATACATTTATATAAATGAAATGAAAAATGAAAGAAAATAGGAGTTTAAGTACCATATGTGTTACAACTAGCTGTGCAATCCTGGACGAGTCAGTTCTCATTTCTGAGCCTCAGTATCCCTATCTGTAGAAAGTGGCTAAAAGTTGCTACCTCATAAGGCTTAATATTATTACTAATAATATTAATAGATGAATAGTAATATATTTCCGATTACTAAACTTTATAGAGGTTTTTATAATTTATAAGCACTTTCATATATAATAATTTTATAGGGATGTATATTTATCTATATTTCTGAAAGGACTTTGTAAATTCTGAAGCACTACGTAACTTGTTAGTTGATAGTTCCATAACCAGCTAAATCTGATTTAGTGACTGTTTTTATCCTTAGTTATTTGAACAATGAATCAGAATTTTCTAAGCTCAGATAATGCACTTAACTCAATTTGTTCAGCTAAAATAAAAGTTTTGGAATGTTTTTTAACTAGTGTTAAGATTTGTTTTAAAATTAGATTGTAACGACATCTGGCTTTTATATTATTATTTAAAGATGTAGAAATGGTGATGTAGTAAAAATCATGAGTGGTTAGTAGTTGGGGGCTAGTGTCATTTTTAGGAGTTGCAGTGATGAACTCTATCCACTAAATTTAGTGATGGATCAGTGTAGTTCTTTTAAAATAAATATTTAGTACTTTATGTTTACAGAGGACCCTGCAATTATTAGTTAGCTTATACCAATATTTATTGCTATATAAAGGGCTGGGCAAGTGCCTATAATGGCCACCTTTGGAGAGGATTTACAGGCACCTTTGAGAAAACTTCTTTTTTTTTTGAAGATGGAGTCTTGCTCTGTCACCCAGGCTGGAGTGCAGTGGTGTGATCTCGGCTCACTGTGACCTCCACCTCCTGGATTCAGGCAATTCTCTTGCCTAAGCCTCCTGAGTAGCTGGGATTACAGGCTCCCACCACCATGCCCTTTTTAACAGCTAATTTTTGTATTTTTAGGAGAGATAGGGTTTCACCATGTTGACCAGGCTGGTTTTAAACTCCTGACCTCAAATGATCTGCCCACCTCTGCCTCCCAAAGTGCTGGGATTACAGGCGTGAGCCACCGCGCCTGGCCTGAGAAAACTTCTAACTCTGAGTTTAGTTGGTTTGTCTGTATACTGTCAGGAATCTGCAAAGCTTATTTGATCGTTTATTTGTACCAGCATTTTCCCTGAGAAGTTATTCTGAAAAATACTCTCTCTCAAAATGATAAAAACCTTTTCTGTGCATTTGTTTCAGAATCTTACCGCTTCTAGGACCTAGAACTTCTTTCTGAAGTGTAACCTAAATATTTGCCTTAAGAAGTTAAATAACTAATATTTTTAGTGTAACCACCATTTAAGGCATTTAAAAAAAATGAAATAGTCTGCTTTCAAGACTCTTGTTTCTATTATGGATATAAAACATATTTTTAAAAAGATCAACATTATAAGGTAGTAGATAGTAAGTATTAATTAGGTGTTTGTGGCAGATACTGTTAGTTGCCTACCCAAAACTTATTTCCATTTTCACCTTGTTAATAGAACCCTAATCGTGTTTTGGTAGCTGTGTGCCCAGCCTCAGTTCATGACAGTCATGTTTTCTGATTTCCCAACTTCTTCTACAACTGAGGATAGCCATGTGATCGAGTTCTGGACAGTGTTACCTGTTTAGCTCTCCATTTTTTTTCTTTCCAACTTTTATTTAAGGTTCAGGGGGTACATGTGCAGGTTTGTTATGTGGGTAAATTGCATGTTGTGGGGGTTTGGTGTTCAGATTATTTCATTACCCAGGTAATAAGCATAGTACCCAGTAGGTAGTTTTTCAGTGCATACCCTCCTCCCACCAGCCACCCTCAAGTAGGCCCCCGTATCTATGGTTTCCTTCTTTGTATTCATGAGGACTCAGTGTTGAGCTTCTACTTACAAGTGAGGACATGCAGTATTTGGTTTTCTGTTCCTGCATTAATTAGCCTAGGATAATGGCCTCCAGCTCCATCCATGTTGCTGCAAAGGACATGATTTATTCTTTTTTAATGGCTGCATAGTATTTCATGGTATATATGTACCACATTTTCTTTATCTCGTTCACCGTTAGTGGGCATTTAGGTTGATTCCATGTCTTTGCTATTGTGAATAGTGCTGTGATGGACATATGTGTGCTTGTGTCTTTATGGTAGAATCCTTATATTCCTTTGGTTATATACCTAGTAGTAGGATTGCTAGGTTGAACGATAGTTCTAAGTTCTTCGAAAGATTGCCAAACTACTTTCCACAATGGCTAAACTTATTAACATTCCTACCAACAGTGTATAAGCATTCCCTTTTCTCTGCAACCTTGCTAGCATCTATTATTTTTTGAGTTTTTAATAATAGCTATTCTGACTGGTGTGAGATGGTATCTCATTTTGATTTTAGTATACATTTCTCTAATGATTAGGAATGTTGACTTTTTTTTTTTTTTTTTTTGAGATGGAGTCTTGCTCTGTTGCCAGGCTGGTGTGCAGAGGTGCGATCTCGGCTCACTGCAATCTCTGCCTCCCAGGTTCAAGTGATTCTCCTGCCTCAGGCTCCCACGTAGCTGCTAAGCATGCCACCACACCCAGCTAATTTTTGTATTTTTTTCATATGCCTTTTGATTGTGTGTTTGTCTTCTTTTGAGAAATGTCTGTTTATGTCCTTTGCCCATTTTTAATGGATCTGTTTGTTTTTACTTGTTAATTTCCTCAAATTCTCTATAGATTCTGGATATTAGATCTCTGTTAAGATACATAGTTTGCAAATATTTTCTCCCTTTAGGTTATCTGTTTATTCTGTTTATAGTTTCTTTTGTTGTAACAGATCTCTTTCATTTAACTAGATCCTATTTGTCAGTTTTTTTTTTTTTCAATTGCTTTTGGAGCCTTTGTCATGAAATCTTTGCCATCACCTATGTCCAGAATAGTGTTTCCTAGGTTTTCTTCTATGGTTTTTGTAGTTTTAAGTTTTATATTTAAGTCTTTAGGCCATCTTGAGTTGGTTTCTGTATATGGTAAAAGGAAGGAATCTAATTTCAGTCTTCTGCATATGGCTAGCCAGTTATCCCAGCACCATTTATTTAATAGAGAATTCAGTAAATGCTGCTGGGATTACTTGTTTTCATAAACTTTATCAAAGATCAGATGGTTGTAGGTATGTGGCTTTATTTCTGGGTTTTCTAACCTGTTCTGTTGTTCTGTGTGTCTGCTTTGGACCAGTACCATGCTGTTTTGGTTACTGTAGTCTTGTAATATACTTTGAAGTTGGGTAGTGTGATGCTTCTGGCTGTGTTATAATATTTTTGCTTAGGATTGCTTTGGCTTTTCAGGTTCTATATGAATTTTAGAATAGGTTTTTTTCCAATTCTGTGAAAAATGTTGGTAGTTTGATAGAAATAGCATTGAATCTGTAAATTGCTTTGGGCAGTATAGCCATTTTAACAATATTGATTCTTTCAATCCATGAGCATGGAATGTTTTTCCATTTGTTTGTGTCATCTCTGACTTCTTTCAGCAGTGTTTTGTAATTCTTGTTGTAGAGATTTTTCACCTCCCTGGTTAGCTGTGTTCCTAGGTACTTTTTTTGTGTGTGTGGCTATTGTGAATAGGATTGCATTATTGATTTGACTCTCAGCTTGGCTGTTGTTGGTGTATAGAAATGCTACTGATTTTTGTACATTGATTTTGTTTTCTGAAACTTTGCTCAAGTCATTTATCAGATCTAGGAACATTTGGGCAGAGATTATAAGGCTTTCTAGGTATAAAATCATATCACCTGCAAAGAGAGATTTCCTCTCTTCCTGTCTGGATGCCGTTTATTTCTTTATCTTGTCTAATTGCTCTGGCTAGAACTTCCAGTATAGGAGTGGTAAGTGTGGGCATCCTTGCCTTGTTCCAGGTCTCAAGGGGAATGCTTCAAGCTTTTGATTATTTGGTAGGATATTAGCTGTGGGTTTGTCATAGATGAGTCTTCTTATTCTGCGGTATGTTTCTTCAGTACCTAGTTTATTGAGGGTTTTTAGCACAAAAGGATGTTGAATTTTATTGAAAGCCTTTTCTGTGTCTGTTGAGTTGATCATGTGGTTTTTGTTTTTAGTTTTGTTTATGTGATGAACCACGTTTATTGATTTGCATGTTGAGCCAACCTTGCATCTCAGGAATAAAGCCTGGTTGATTAGGTAGATGAGCTTTTTGATTTGCTGCTGGATTTGGTTTGCTTGTATTTTGTTGAGGATTTTTGCATCTATGTTTATCAGGGATATTGGCCTGAAGCTTTCTTTTTTCATTGTGTCTCTGCCAAGTATTGGTATCAGCATGATCCTGGCCTCATACAGTGAGTTAGGAGGGAGTCCTTCCTTCTGGATTTTTGGGAATAGTTTCAGTAGGATTGGTATCAGCTTATTTTTTTACATCAGGTGGGCTTTGGATTTGAATCAATCTGGTCCAGGGTTTTTTCTGGCTGGTAGGCTTTTTATTACTGATTCAATTTCACAATTTGTTAGTTGTCTGTTTAGGGTTTCAATTTCTTCCTGGTTCAATCTTGGGTTGTTTTATATTTTCAGGAAATTATCCATTTCTTCTAGGTTTTTTAGTTTGTGCACATAGTGATATTTGTAATAATCTCTGAGGGTTTTGTGTATTTCTGTGGGGTTGCTGGTAATGTCCCCTTTGTGTGTTGTGATTGTGTTTATTTGAATATTCTCTCTTCTTTCCCTTCCTTCCTTCCTTCTTTCTTTCTTTTTTTCTTTTTTGACGAAATTTCAGTCTTGTTGCCCAGGCTGGAGTGCAATGGCACCATCTCAGCTCACCACAACCTCTGCCTCCTGGGTTCAAGCGATTCTCCTGCCTCAGCCTCCTGAGTAGCTGGGATTACAGGCATGTGCTACCATACCCGGCTAATTTTGTATTTTTAGTAAAGACAGGGTTTCTCCATGTTGGTCAGGCTGGTCTTGAAGTCCCGACCTGAGGTGATCTGCCCATCTTGGCCTCCCAAAGTTCTGGGATTACAGGTGTGAGCCACTGTGCCTGGCCCTGGATCTTCTCTCTTTTACTTATTAGTCTACCTAGTGGTCTATCAATCTTATTCATTTTTTTCAAAGGGCCAGCTTTTGGTTTTGTTGATCTTTTGTATGGTTTTTCGTGACTCAATTTCATTCAATTCAGCTCTGATTTCAGTTATTTCTTGTCTTCTGCTAGCTTCGGAGTTGGTATGCTCTTGTTTTTTTGGTTTCTCTAGGTGTGATGTTAGGTTGTTAATTTGAGATTTTTCTATGCTTTAGTTCTCTACTGCTGCTTAATATTTTGTTATAAAATATAGTACCTTAAAACAACAATTATAATTTATTATATCTCATGGTTTGTGTGGGTGAGTAATTCAGATAAGGACTTGTTTCTGCTCCATGATGTCTGAGGCCTCAGCTAGAAGACTCAAAGACTGAGGCTGGAGTCATATGAAAGCTTGTTCATGCCATTTTTTAGTTAATGCTTGTACCTGCTGGGGGTCCAGCTGGAACATTCACATGTGGTTTTAATATTATCACTGGGTTTTTTTATGACCCTGCCTCCGGAGTTATTTAGCATCACTTCTGCTGTACTCTATTAGACAAGACTGTTAAAAATCTCCTCCTAGACTTACAGGGAGAGAATATGTCCCCTTCTGTCAGTTGGAGGAGCATGTATCATGTTGTAGAAAGAAAGTATTAAACAGAATAAATATATTGAGGTGGTCATCTTTAGAAAATACAGCTTACTACAGCATTTAAGGGAAGGTTTATTGTTGGGGGGCTGTGGCGCTGTTGGGCAGTGATGTTTTAGGCATGATCCTTTGTTGCTTATTCCTTCTTCATGCCTCAAAGGAGCAGCAACCATCTTGTGCCCATAAGGTGATAAATCAACCGCTAAGGATTTTGACATCATTGGAAGTCAGTCCTGGATGATCCATTTCCAGGCTTCTTTTTTTCCTGTGTGGAAAAAAATACCTATTTGTTTAAATTACTATATTAAGGATTTTGTTTTTTAAAACCAATCATAATCCCCAAATGTCATGGTTGTCAACTTTGAGGATACATAGGAATCACCTGTGGGGCTTGTTAAGATACAGATTGCTTGGCCCCATGTTAGAGTTTCTGATTCACTAGGTCTGGCATAGGCTCAAGAAGCTGGATTTGTAACAGGCTCTCTGGTGTTGTCAATGCTGTGGTCTTGGGACTGAGGTATGGGCTTTGAGACTTCAGAGAAGAGTGGGTGGCTAGGGCTGACCTTAAGGGAAAGGTGGAACTTGGGAAAAATAGATGAGATTTAGACAGGATTAGGGAAGCAATTCCAAGTATTACAAATGGTATCAACAAAAAACATGATAGCAGAAAAAGTGTACTTTTTTGTTTTTTAGGATTTCTGTGAGTAAATTAGCTTACTTGGAGCAGGAGTTTTGTTTTTTTTTTTTTAACTGAGGATGGGAGATTAGGTTAAAGGGAAAATAAGGACTGGATTAAGGTCCTTGGAAGCCAGAGAGACATTTGTTTTTTTATTTTGTAGCTAGTTAGGAACTGCTAGAAGTTTTCATAGAGAGTAGTGTGGCCACAGCAGTATGCTAGCAGACACCTATGTTTGGTGGTGGTAGTGGAGTGCATTTAGTTATTAAACAAATTTAAACAAATGGTTCTTGAGCATTTGTGATGTCTTGGACTCAGTTCTATGAACTGGGAATACAAAGGTAAATAAGACGTGGATCCTGCCATCAAAGAGCACGGTCTAGTGCAGGAATTCTCAGAGTGTGGGTGAGTACCCCTGGGGGTCCCTGAGACCTTTTCAAGGAGAAAAGATTAAAAGTATTTTCATAATAATATTAATAATTCTAAGAATTCTGAGACACTGTTTACTTTTTTGTCATTCTCTTTCATTAGTGTACAAGTTTTTCAGAGGCTTTGTAACATAGGATGTCATCATTGCTCATATAGCTAATGGAATACAAGCTTGTGTATTAAAACTTTTGTTTTAATTTCTTAATTATAACTTGGTAAATACTGATAGACATAACCCCCTAAACAAAAGCTCTTTGGAATCTTCAGTAATTTTTTTAAGAGGTAGAGTCGTGAAGCCATAAAGTTTGAAAACTGCTGTTCCAGAGAATAGATTGGAGGAGAAAACACATGAAAAACAAAAGACTAACACTCTAGATGTGAGGTAATAAGAGCTTAAACTAGAGTTATAACAAATGAAAAGTGGAGGAAGAGATATTTTGTAGACACTGAAGAGTGGAAAAATTGATAATACCTAGTGTAAATTATGGTGTGGGAAAACGGATACTGCTAGTGAACATGTAAATTAGTACCAGCCTTTTGGAGGAACAATTTGACAAAACTTATTGCAGACTTTAAAAATGAATCTTTCCTGTGACTTATTCTGTACTTATCATAAGGAAACAAATAAGAATATATCTTTGCGGTTTTGTTTGTAGTATCAGTAAAAATTTATAAGAAGCCTAAGTATCAGAGGAGTTTGATTAAATAAATTATTACATCAATTCAATAAAATGCTGTGTAGTCACTAAAAATAATGATGTGGGTGAATATTTAATGTAAAAAATTATATACTTTTTTGTTGTTGTTTTGTTTTGGATTTTTTGAGAGAGGGTCTCTGTTGCACAGGCTGGAGTAGCGTAGCACGAACATGGCTCACTGCAGCCTTCACCTCCTGGGCTTAAGCCAGGGACTACAGGCACACACCACACACCTGGCTAACTTTTTTAAAAAAGTTTTTTTTAAAGATGCGGTCTCACCATATTGTCCAGACTGGTCTTGAACTCCTGGGCTCAAGCCATCCTCCCATCTTGGCCTTCCAAAGTGTTGGGATTACAGGCATGAGCCACCACATGTGGCCAAAAAATACTTTTTATAAATACCTCAGTTGCATAATGTTTTCTCCATTATCAACTTGACAGGCCTTTGTTTAAGGTTTACGGTTATAAGTACTTATTTGTGTAAAATTTAAGATCTATCAATATGTCTAATTTTTCAGAAATTTTTTTCTTCAACATTTTAGCCTTTGGCCCATTTTCAAATTGTATGTAGGCCAAGGCATACACAGTGGACATTGTGCAGCTGCGTATACGAATATAGCCAACATTAAGAGGTCCCTTGCAATAATGCTGTTTCAGAAAGGATGTTTACTGTTCTTTTGAACATAGTTTTCTTGTTTCTGCTTTAACTTATAAATATTTCTCGGGAGGCTGAGGCAGGAGAATGGCGTGAACCCAGGAGGCGGAGCTTGCAGTGAGCCGAGATCGCGCCACTGCACTCCAGCCTGGGCGACAGAGCGAGACTCTGTCTCAAAAAAAAAAAAAAAAAAAAAAAAAAAAAAAAAAAAATATTTAAATAAAAATAATGTTTCACTGAAGAAATTGTAAAAGTGAACTATATGTTAAAAATAATCTAGGAAACTAAATTACTGCTATTCCACTTTGCAGTTTGATATTGCTCATTTTTTGACTCGTAAAGTCAGTGTCGATGCCTTTTAACTTTTTTTTTAAAATTTTACTGGATTTGTATTTTACCATATTTGTGCAGTGACTTTGATTAGGTACCAATTGAATTCAGATTAAAAAGCATAAACCTACATCTGAAGATAGCCTAGTATAATTTATATTGTGCATCGTTCTGATTTTGAAATAATAATTCTCCTTTACAACGTTAGGGCTGAATAAAAGATAGAATCCTTATGAAATAGTGAGCCCAATGTCATTTTTTTTTTTTTTGAGTCAGAGTCTTGCTCTGTTGCCCAGACTGTAGTGCAGTGGCACAATCTTGGCTCACTGCAACCTCCGCCTCCCAGGTTCAAGCATTTCTCTTGCCTCAGCCTCCTGAGTAGCTGGGACCACAGGCATGCTCCACCACACCCGGCTAATTTTTGTATATGTATTTTTAGTAAAGACGAGGTGTCACTGTGTTGGCCAGGCTGGTCTCAAACTCCTGGCCTCAAGTGATCCACCCATCTGTGCCTCCCAAAGTTCTAGGATTACAGATGTGAGCCACCGTGCCCAGCCCCAGTCTCATTTTGGAAATAGAGCAGAGACAGATGGAAAACTGTTAGCCCTTGGTGATGTTATTGAGCAGTGTTATCTGTGGGTTTCCAGATGTGTTAATATATGTATTTTCTTATTAAGTCCTTTGCATTGAAATGGTGGTGCATGGACTGGCAGCATTAGCATTACCTATGAGTTTGTTGGAAATGAGGAATTTTAGACTGTACCCTAGTTCAATTGAATCAAAATCCATTTTAATAGGATCCCCAGATAAGTCATATGCACACAAAAGCTGGAGAAGTATTATTTTACACCACTTTGAGTTGGATTTTTATTTACTCGCAACTGGATGCATCCTGATATGACATTCTGGAGTTGTTGTTTGTTTTCTTGTTTGTTTTTCCTGAAGAGGTACAACCTTCTCCAGGCATGCTATTGTGAATATTGGAGGGGTGCCATTTCTGATTATAATAGAAACAGCATTTGTTGAGTCATGATACAGTTTAAATAGTTCTCATTATACTTTGATATGATTTTTTTCATTTTTTTAAATGGTTATTTTTAGATGAAACCTAAAACTGTACTCTTTACTACTTGTGGTAAAAAAGACCCTACCGTTATTTTTGGCAAGTCAGGAGATGTAACCTTAGCTGTGCTGGTTAAAAGCCAGCTTTGAGAGTTGCATTTTACCTCCCTTAGAATTACTCCTTCCCATTCTTTCCTCAGCTCCATTCCTATTTCAACTAGATAGTTTTGTACTGGACCTGTGTTCCAGAACCATTACTGTCTGGGGAGCGACTCTTATAAACTACTGCCTTTTAGACCAGATGTGTGTTTCAGTTACATGAATAGAGAAAAGAATGTCATCCCCCTGCTATAGCTGTGTATATGATAGCATGAAGAAATTAAATCCACCAGCAATCTAGGAATTTTCAGAAAATTTATTTTCTTCTACTCTTTATACAAAGCCAGGTGCCACATTCCATAAAAAGCAAAGCATATTTTAAAATTGTACTTCTTGTTTGTCCATTTATTTAGAGGGCTTAATTAGTCTGTAGCCAGATATTTTGGATGATTCAATTCACAAATTAGATTATCGTTCTGTAATTAACTGAGAATGATCTCTCTGTGGTGTGCTTTATAGTGAGAATTACCAAAGGTCTGTATTCACTCGGAAAGGTCTTAGTTTTAAAAGCAGTCTTTTTAAAGGAAATGTAGCTATGCTCATTGATTTTGTTATTGTTGTCCTTTGAGTTTTTATGGTACACTAGGCATTATGCTAGGTATATGAAAATATGTCTCTAATCCCTGTTTTAGACATGATAACATTGAGGCTAGAGAGATTATGTAACATGCAGAAAATTGTATAGTTATATGAACCCACGGCTGGTGCTCCCAAAACTCATTCATCCCCTTGAGGAGTTCAGATTCTACTGATTGGGAGAGAAAGAGCTCACTGTAATAGAATGCAAAATGTAGTAAAAATTTTAAATGAAGTAAATTGTAAAAGTAGAGATACAAACAATTTAGTGAGAACACAGAGGAAGAAGGGATTAACTGTGATTAGGAGGATCAGGAAAACATAATTTATCTTCTCTCCTACTTCTCTAAGTTTTTTTTTTTTTTTGAGATGGAGTCTCACTCTGTTGCCCAGGCTAGAGTGCAGTGGCGCGATCTCGGCTCACTGCAACCTCTGTCTCCCAGGTTCAAGTGATTCTCCTGCCTCAGCCTCCCAAGTAGCTGGGACTACAGGTGCCTGCCACCATGCCCGGCTAATTTTTGTATTTTTAGTGGAGACTGGGTTTCACCATATTGGCCAGGCTGGTCTCGAACTCCTGACCTTGTAATCTGCCCGACTTGGCCTCCCAAAGTGCTGGGATTACAGGCGTGAGCCACTGCACCCGGCCTTACTTCTCTAGGTTTTTAAGCTCCTCCTGACTTCTTAATCTTTTAATAGTATCGTAAGTTTTTCAGTAATCAAGATTTAAATCTTTGACTGTTTGTCTTCATATTCTTACATTTCATCAATCTGTAATGCCTTTTAGTTCTTACTGAAAACAGTTTCTTGGTAGTTATCCCCTACCATTTCCACTGCTGTCACCCTAGTTTTACCTATTGCTGTATCATCTAGGCCAGTGATTATCAACCTTTGGTGGACCTAAGAATCATCTAATGGTGCTTTGTCAAAGTATAAAGAGATTTTGACTTATTAGTTTAAGGTTATGGGTGATTCATCAAAGTTGAGAAATACTTATCTAGGGCAGTGGTCTTCAAAATGTGATCTTGGGACTGCTGGGTGTCTCTGGGACTTTATCAGGTATCTGCAAAGTTAAAACTATTTTCGTAGTTAGACTAAGATGTCATTTACTTTTTTCATTGTGTTGACATTTGCACTGATGGTGAAGAAAATAGTGATGGATAAAACTTGTAGTGCCTTAGCTCAAATTAAGACAGTGGTACCAAATTAGTAATCAATGCATTCTTCACTGCCACATACCAGTTTTGCTTAATAATGTCTTTAATGAATCAGTTAAAATATTATTATTAATTTTTTTATTTTTAATTTTTGTGGGTACATAGTAGGTATGTATATTTATGGGGTATATGGGATATTTTGATACAGGCATACAGTGTGTAATAATCACATCAAGGTAAGTAGGGTATCTGTCACCTCAAGCATTTATCCTTTGTGTTACAATCTAGTTATACTGTTTTAGTTATTTTTAAAGTACAATTAAATTATTATTGACTATAGTCACCTGTTGTGCTGTAAAATTCACTCTTTCTATTTTTTTGCACCCATAAACCATCCCCACTTCTCTGCCCCACTCTCCACTACTCTTCCCAACCTCTGGTAACCATCATTTTACTCTTTATCTCCATGAGTTCAATTTTTTTTTTTTTGAGATGGGGCCTCGCTCTTTCACCCAGGCTGAAGTGCAGTGGCATGATCTCGGCTCACTGCAACCTCCGCCTCCCATTTTCAAGCGATTCTCTTGCCTCAGCCTCCAGAGTAGCTGGGATATTAGGTGCATACCACCACGCTTGGCTAATTTTTGTATTTTTAGTAAAGACGAGGTTTCACCATATTAGCCAGGCTGGTCTTGAACTCCTGACCTCAAGTGATCCACCCACCTTGCCCTCCCAAAGTGTTAGGATTATAGGTCTGAGCCCCTGTGCCCGGCCAAGTGTTTTAATTTTTAGCTCCCATAAATAAGTGAGAACATGTGAAGTTTGTCTTTCTGTGTCCGACTTATTTTACACAACACAGTGACCTTCAGTTCCATCCATGTTGTTGAAAATGACAAGTTCTCATTGTTTCCTTATGGATGAATAGTATTCCATTGAGTATATGTACCACATTTCTTTATCCATTCATCTGCTGATGGATACTTAGGTTGTTTCTTTTCTCTTGTTGCTTTTAAGATCTTTTTGTACTTTTTTGCCATGCATAAATTTTTATGTAGTAAAATATATTTATATTTTCTTTTATTATGTCTAAATTTTAGTCATAGTTGGAGAGACTTTCATTGCACTGAGGTTAGAGAGGAAGACACTCATGTTTTCTGCAATTATGCATATACAGTTGATCCTCATTTTTTTGTAGACTTGGTGTTTGTATGTTTACCTCCTTGTCAGAGTTTATTTGTAACACCCAAATTAATGATCTTGTTGGTTTCATGGTCATTTGCAGACATGTGCAGAGCAGTAAAATATGGAGTCACCAATGTGCATGTTCCCATCTGAAGCTGAATAAGGTGATATCTACCTTCTTGTTTCAGCTGTCATATTGTAAACAAGTGTTCTTTTTGTCGGGGATGCCACCTCTTCCAAAACACATGGTCTGAGAGTGTGGAGGAATAGTTTTCCAAAAGAAATAGGGTATATCAAATACTACATGTTCTCACTTCTAAGTGAGAGCTAAACATCGGGTATTCATGGACATAAAGATGGGAGCAGTAGACACTGGGGACCATTACAGGGGGAAGTTAGAGGGTGGGCAAGGGTTGAAAAACTAACTACTGGGTGCCATGCTCACTATCTGCATGATGGGATTATTTGTATTCTAAACCTCAGCATCACGCAATATACCCTTGTAACAAACCTGTGCATTTATACCCCCAAATCTAAAACAAAAGTTGAAATTATGTTTTATAAAAGAAATGGGGTATGTTTATCAGAAGAAGGGGGGGATTAGGTGTCAGTCAGAAACAACTGTCTACTGTAATACCTGAGTAAGCTTTTATTGGATAGATTTGAATTGGTGAATGAATAAATTGGGTCTTGGAGAAAGGAAAGGGCTTGAATGAGTTCTTTCAGAATAGGCCTTTTCTTTTCTCAAAAGTACCAGCAATAGCTTCCCATTTTTTCAGAACTGATACCTCTAGCTTTATTGGCTTTTATCATCTTTGCTGGAGGGAAATGACGTTGGGTTAAGTATTGAGTGTGAAGGAAGATAGCATGAGGATCTTGTTTGCCTGCAGCTTTATTCCTGCCTGCTAGACCTACTGCCCTTTAAAGACACTTGAAAGGGCTTGCCCCAGCTTTCCTCTTGACTTTAGGGGGCAAAAGTATGTCATTCTTATATAAGAGTTGGATTTATAAGATTGTATATCAAATTACATACTCAAGAGTTGGATTTTGTTTGTTAGTATTGTCTAAAGTTACAACATGTAAATAGTCTGTGTCCTTACTTTCTAAGCCTGCCATTACAAAAAGAAAATAATATTTCCTATTAGAGCCTGAAGCTTTTTTCCTCCCTAGCTCTTATTTAGGGAGAATATATAATTTAAGTGTTTGAATAGGAATAGAGGAAGTAGCCAAACACTTTTCAATAGTCCAGCTAAAATACACAATAGCACATGTTTAAAGTACATCTTTGGAAGAAAGATTTGAAGATCCTTGATAAGATAATATATCATGTACCACAAAGGCATGCCCTGCTAAGTAAAAGTGGGAAGAAGCAGTACATATTCTATTAGGGGGTCAGAAATCTTTAAATAGAAGTTTCTCTGGCAATCTGGTTCCCAGATAGATAGTTGAAGGCTCAAAGAAATTTCCAAGCTTGCTAGAAATTTCCATCTGCTGGCTTTTGTGTTGAGTTAAATGCCATCATATTTTATTGCCTCATACATTTGCATTAACACTTTCCCTTTAAATTTACTTAAAGTATTTTTTGTTTTGTTTCATTTTTGTTTTTTTTTGAGACTGGTCTCACTTTGTCGCTCAGGTTGGAGTGTAGTGGAGCTCACAGTTTACTTCAGCCTTCTGAGTACCTGGGACTACAGGTGCATGCCACCACACCTGGCTAATTTTTGTATTTTTTGTAGAGACGGGGTTTCGCCATGTTGCCCAGGCTGGTCTCGAACTCCTGGCCTCAAGTGATCCTCCTTGCCTTGGCCTTCCAAAGTGCTGGGATTGCAGACGTGAGCCACAGTGCCTGACAGTAATATTTTTTTTTTTATTAGAAACATAAGAACCCACCTCAAAGCTTGGGCTTGGAAGTCTATGGAGGCTTTATTTATTTTAGCCACAGACATGGATAAGAGGCAATCTAAGTTAAATATGTGCACTTTGGTACCAGGCCAACCTGAGTTCTAACCAAATTTTTCATGTTTTAGATGTGAGACAAGTTAATCTTCTAGGCCTTACTTCCTTCATGTATAAAGTAGTTATTATTACTTAATTCAACAAATATTATTAGTCACTCTTCTATGTGTTGGGGTATTCCAGTGAATAAAATAATGACAGTCTTTCCCTTAGTGCAGTTTCCATTCTAATGGTAGAGGACGGAGGATGGGGGAGGCAATAAAAAGGAATTGTATGTTAAAAATAATAATTGCTGTAAGCAGAGAGGAAGTAGAGCAGGGTAAGGGAGATACTGAATACAGAAGAAAGGAGGTGCAGAATTAGGGTAGTAAGGGTTGGCATCGTTGAGCCAGTGACATCTGAGCAAAGACTTGAATGCAGTTTTAAAAGGCTTGCTCTGGTATTGCTGAGTTGAGAATAGATTGCAGGGCATTAAGAATAAAATAAAGGAGAATCATTAGGAGCTTTTCCTAGTAACCTAGGCAACAGATTTTCTTAGGCTGTTCTTGCGTTGCTATAAAGGAATACGTGAGACTGGGTAATTTATAAAGAAAAGAGGTTTCATTGGCTCATGATTCTGTAGGCTGTACAGGAAGCATGGCACCAGCATCTGCTCAACTTCCGCGGAGGCCTCAGGGGAGCTTTTACTTATGGTGGATGGCGAAGTGGGAGCAGGCCCATCACATGACAAAAGCAAGAGCAAGAGAGAGAGTAGAGGGTGAGGTGCCCAACACTTTTAAACCACCAGATCTCTTGAGAACTCACTAGCGTGAAGACAGCAGCGAGCCATGAGGGATCTGCCCCTGTGACCCAAGCACCTTCCATTAGGCCCCATTTCCCATGTTGGGGATTAACATTCAACATGAGATTTGGGTGGGAGAATATTCAAACCATATCACAGATGATGATAACTTAACGAGTATTATCAGTGAAGATGCTGAGGAATCATTGAATTTTGTATATATTTTTGAGATTGAGACAACAGGATTTCCTGACGATTTGAGTATGTTATATGAAACAAAAAGGAGTCTATGTTTTTGGCTCAGGAACTGAATGGATGGAGCTGTTATCAACTGATAAGAGGAACACTGTGGACAGAGCAGATTTGAGGGGGAAGATCAGGAGTTCAGTACTATATATATATATATTGAGTTTGAGATGTCTGTTTGGCATTCTTGCAGAGATAATGACATCTACCAATGGGTTGGTTGTGATGATTAAATATGGTGAATGTAAATTACTGAGCACAGAATCTGACCATTATCTCTGTGAGATCAGAGAATAAATTGCTACATGAAACAAGAATAAGAGATTGCAAAAGGGAGATACTTAGGGAAAAAGAGCTCACAGAATGTGATAGAAAAAAATTTTTAAATGATGGATGGGAGGATAAGATTGAAGAAATCTCCCAGAATATAAAAGCCAAAGAGATGTAAGAATATTACAGAAATATTAAAAATAATGGAGAATCTACTCAGGAGGCCCATCTCCTTTCTAAAAAGATTTTCAGAGAGAGAGAGAGATCAAAGAAAAGGGAAGGGAAATAATTTTATTTATTTATTTTTTTGAGATGGAGTCTCACTCTGTTGCCCAGGCCAGAGTGCAGTGGCATGATCCTGGCTCACTGCAACCTCCACCTCCAGGGTTCAAGCAATTCTTCTGCCTCAGCCTCCCGAGTAGCTGGGATTGTGGGCATGCACCATCACACCCGGCTAATTTTTGTATTTTTAGTAGAGACAGGGTTTCACCATGTTGGCCAGGCTAGTCTCAAACTCCTGACCTCAGTTGATTCATCTGCCTCGGCCTCCCAAAATGCTGGGATTACAGGCATGAGCCACTGTGCTCAGCTAAGGGAAATAATTATCAGTGAAACAATGCAAGAAAAATTTCCAGAACTGAAGGACATCTGTTTCTAAATTGAAAGTGCTCAGCACCATTAATGAGGGGGAAAAAGACATATTACCAGGACATTTCAGAGTGCCAGAGAGTAAAAACAAGTCACAAGGAAAGGAATAGGGATTAGTGGAGTGTCAGACTTAACTCAAAACTAACACTGGAAGCTAGTAGACAAGGAAGCAATACCTTCAAAGTGCTGAGGGAAAATTATGACAAACATAGATTTCTAATTCCAACCAAATAGTCAATCAATTATGAGGATAGCCTAAAGATATTTTTTTAGCATGCAAAGTGCCAAAAAATTTATCTCCTACACATCTCCCCACAGGAAGCTATTGAAGTATGTGAAAGAAGGCATGAAATCTAGGAAAATGGGGAATGTAACACTGGAGAGAGAGAGGAAGTTTGCAAGATGATGGTGAACAAAAGTCCAGGATGACAGCTGAGTAGCAAGCCTAGAGATGACTAGTACAGATTGGAGCAGGAAGGTGGAAACTCCAGGGAAGATGTCTGTACAAACCAAATTAAACTGATGCATGTGATTATTCTGAAAGAGTTTCATAGTTTGTTCAGACATTAGGGAATAAACTGTCCCTAACTTAAGGGAGCTTACACTGTAATAAGGGGTACATGCAAGTAGGCAGGCAATTATAGTATTCTGTGAAGGTTCGTAAAGTTTAGTACTGTAGGAAACCAGAATATGCCTCCCCAAAATGTGAAGGATTCTCGAGCTGAAGACAGTTAAGATGCAGTAGAGCTCTCTGCCTAAAAGCAGGACACAGATTTACAGAGAAAAATGTCTTGCTGTCCTCCCTCCTCCCTTTCTCCCCTAAAGACAGGATGTAAATTCTTTACTGGAAAAAAACCCTTTATCATCTCAGAGACGGCGCCAGAGGAATCTGCAAGCTGACTTTACTCCATTAGTGCCTTCCATATATTTACCTTTCCACGGTTTCCCACCTCTGGAAGTCTGGGACTGCTTTCCTTTGCCTTGTCACTTCTCTAAAATTTATTGTTCTTTGTTGGATATACTATATAAACCAGACTCATGAACCACTGCCTTGAGTTACTTTTCACTGAGGGCTTTTCCTGTGTGATATGCACCGTACACGTTAATAAACCTATCTGTTTTTCTCTTGTTAATCTGCCTTCTGTTATAGAAGTCTGTGCTAACTACATACTTAAGAAGGTTGAGGAAAAAATACTTTTTCTCCCCTTCAGTTCTCTGCTGCTAGATCACCCATAGTTGGAATGGAGGCTCAGAAACCTAGTATTTAGCTCCTTTGAGCATCTGTAATTGAACTGGCAAAGCAAGAGCTTGGGGCTGACTGTTGGATTAGCTGAAGAATAGTTTCCGTCATATTCTAGAAAAGAAAGCTTTTTTTTTCTTTTTCTTTTTCTCCAGGGAATGAGTGGGGTTATCCATTTATTGTAGTTTAAAGGATTTAAAATCCATCTATATATTGATAAGCATTCATCAGTTTTTATTTTAGTATGTATGGTGCTATCATGTTTATAAGAATATTTTGTTTTTAAAATGACTAGAGCGGTACAAAGGAAAAAACTTTAGTTGTTAATTTTAGATGAAAAGCAACTGAATTTCTTAGGTAATAATTATTTTACCCTCCCAAGATACGTTTTCTGTACTCCATTGACTTATGCCAATAAAGTAATGTTCTTCCAATTTAATAATGGATTTTTTTTCTTGTTGAATTTTTTTCAACTCTAACGTTATTTTGTTGTTGGAGATTGATTAAAAAATACAAATTTTACTGTTTAAAGAATGTTGCCTAATTAGTTATAAATCTATTTCATCTTTGCATTTTTTTCTTTTATATACTCATATAAAATGTAGCAGTTTGTATCACATCAGTATTTCTCTTATATAAATATGGTTTATGGTTATGTCTAATCTCATTTCTCATTTGGCCAGTTAATATATGCACAGATAAATGGCCCATAAAGAAAAACTTCAAGAGGAGAAAAAGGTAATCTAAATGCATATTATTATTTTAAAGTTCTAATACTGTGTACAATTTTATGAAGTTAAGTTTCTGTAATATGTGGTCACCCAGGGGTCTGAGAACATTAGTTAATCCAGTCAACAAACATTGATGGCATATGTGCTGTATGACAGGCTCTGTGCTTGGTCTTAGGAATACAGGACAAGTTAGGGCATCATTCCCACCCTCCGATAATGCTTAGTCCCCAGGAAAAAAAAATTGACATATAAACAAGTAGAGGTGGTAAAACAGAAGATTAAAGGTCCTATAGATGATATTTACCAATGAATAAAGAGAGAAGGCTATCTTAAGAAAAATATGTAGTAAGAAGAAAGAAATGGAGATAGAGAACATTTGAGGAAATGGCAGACATTTATTTGTATTTGGTTGTAGCATAGAGTAATGGGGAAGACCGGGGAAACATTGAGAACCATCTCATAGAGCAGGCATGCTACATGCTGGAGTTTAGTCAGTTTCTCCTGGAACAGTATTTCTCAAATATGTGTGATCATATGAATCACTGAGAAAGTTTGTAAACAAACAAAAACAACCCTAACAGATTCCTGAATTTCACTCCAGACCTGGAAAATCAGAGTCCTTAGAGGAGGGCTAGGAATCCGTATTTTGTTATGTCATGTCATGTCAGACAGGGTATCTCTGTTGTCCAGGCTGGAGTTCAGTGGTACAGTCATAGCTTACTGCAGCCCTGAACTCCTGGGCTCAAGTGATCCTCCTGCCTCAGCCTCCAGAGTAGCTGAGATTACAGGCATGAGCCACTGTGCCTGGTGGAATCTATATTTTTAACAAGAGCTCTGGTAATTATTATTGTAACCAATTTATTGAACAAGTACAAGCTATTAGGGTATAAGCAAATATTTTTCCCTCAAATGTTCTAGTTGATGTGAGACTTTCCTTTGGCATGTATTAATGAAAGCAAGGACATAACCCACAAATTTCCTATGTGCATGTACATATGTGCACATCACACACACACACACACACACACACACACACACACACACACACACACACACACACATTTTGTGGTTACTAAACAGTCTAGGCCAGGATAAAATTTAGGGAATTACAGCAGGTCCTCAAATAATGTTGTTTTGGTATAACATTGATGACTGAAAAAACAAAAAACAAAAATCCCAGTTCCCAACTGGTGCCACTCTCTCTGTGGAATTTGCACATTCTCCCCATGTTTGCATGGGTTTTCTCCTGGTACTTCAGTTTCCTCCCCTGTCCCAAAGATGTGTGCATTGGGTGAATTAGCGTGGCCCCTGTTTGAGTGTTTATGGGTGTGTGTGTGTTAGTGTGCTCTGCGATGGGATGGCATCCCCTCCGTGGTCAGTTCCTGCCGTGTGCTCTGACTACCAGGATAGGCTTTGCTTTCAGAAATCTCCAGATAATTAGCTTCATATATTTCTGTGTTCAGGTGCTTTCAGTTTCTGCAGCTCAGCAAGCGTCCAGCTTTGGATCAAGTTGCCAGTGTGTCCTTCTTGCAGATATCTTCACCTTGCAATCTGTATGACCAATTATTTTGAAGTGCCAACTTAATGAATGACCCTTCGTGGTGCCAGACTCCTAAGCTCTCCCTTGCCTTCTCTTAGTTCTCTCTTTGGTAGAGTTGGTTGAATGCACCAGTGAGTTTGTTACTTCTCAGCAAACCTTGGGGGAGATATCTGAACCTAATTGTTGGTGTTCTCCCTTAGATTTGGGCTTTATTGCCTCTTGCTGTCAGCTTTGGGCCCTAGTTACTGATTCTGGAAAAAGTGGAAAAATACCCCTTAACATCTTGTTAGATTATGAATAGGTAAGTTTAGGAAATATTATTGCAGGTAGAAGAAAACCTAACAGGTTTTTATTTTCTAATGTTTAAAGAGACATTTAAGTAAAAGATCTCAATGGAATTATACCTTTCTTTTTGTTGTTGTTGTTGCAGATAGTATGTACTTAATTTTTTTTTTTTTTTAAATTTCAATAGGTTTTTCAGGAAGAGGTGGTGTTTGGTTACATGGATAAGTTCCTTAGTGGTTATTTCTGAGATTTTGGTGCACCCATCACCCAAGCAGTGTACACTGTACCCAATATGTAGTCTTTTTTTTTTTTTTTTCTTTTTGAGATAGAGTCTTGCTCTGTCGCGCGGCCTGGAGTGCAGTGGCATGATCTGGGCTCACTACAACCTCCACCTCCCGGGTTCAAGCGATTCTCCTGCCTCAGCCTCCCAAGTAGCTGGGATTATAGGCGCCTGCCACCACGCCTGGCTAATTTTTGTATTTTTAGTAGAGACGAGGTTTCGCCATGTTGGCAGGCTGGTCTCAAGCTCCTGACCTCAGGTGATCCACCTACCTCAGCCTCTCAAAGTGCTGGGATTACAGGCATGGGCCACTGCGCCCAGCCGTAATATGTGGTCTTTTTTACCTCACCTGCCTCCTGCCCTTCCCCTTAAGTCCCCACAGTTCATTTTATCATTCTTATGCCTCTGAGTCCTCATAGCTTAGCTCCCACCTGTAAGTAAGAACATACAACGTTTGGTTTTCCATTCCTGAGTTACTTTGCTTAGAGTAACGGTCTCCAGTTCCATCTAGGTTGCTGTGAATGCCATTGTTTCATTTGTTTTTACAGCTGAGTAGTATTCCACAGTGTGTATGGGGTGTGTGTGTGTGTATATATATATATCACAATTTCTTTCTTTCTTTTTCTTTTTCTTTTTTTTTTTTTTTTTTGAGATGGAGTTTCACTCTTGTTGCCCAGGCTGGAATGCAATGGTGCGATCTCGGCTTACCACAACCTCTGCCTCCCGGGTTCAAGGAATTCTCCTGCCTCAGCCTCCCAAGTAGCTGGGATTACAGTCATGTGCCACCACGCCTGGCTAATTTTGTATTTTTAGTAGAGACGGGGTTTCTCCATGTTGTTCAGGCTGGTCTTGAACTCCCGACCTCAGGTGATCCGCCCACCTCAGCCTCCCAAATTGCTGGGATTACAGGCATGAGCCACTGCGACCAGCAGTATATCACATTTTCTTTATCCACTCGTTATTGATGGGCATTTGGGCTGGTTTCATATTTTTGCAATTGCAAATTGTGCTGCTGTAAACGTGTGTGTAAGTGTCTTTTTCATGTAATGACTTCTTTTCCTCTGGTTAGATACCCAGTAGTGGGATTGCTGGATCAAATGGTAGATCTACTTTTAGTTCTTTAAGGAATCTCCACATTGTTTTCCATAGAGGTTGTACTAGTTTACATTTGCACCAGCGTGTAAAAGTGTTCCCTTTTCACCATATTCATGCCAATATCTATTATACTTTGATTTTTAAATTATGGCCATTCTTGCAGGAGTAAGGTGGTATCACATTGTGGTTTGGATTTGCATTTCCCTGATTATTAGTGATGTTGAGCATTTTTTCATATGCTTGTCGGCCATTTGTATATCTTCTTTTGAGAATTGCTTATTCATGTCTTTAGCCCACTTTTTTGATGGGATTATTTGTTTTTTTCTTGCTGATTTGTTTGATTTCCTTGTAGATTCTGGATATTAGTCCTTTGTCGGATGCATAGTTTGCTAATATTTTCTCCTATTTTATGGGTTGTCTGTTCACTCTGCTGATTATTTCTTTTGCTGTGCAGAGGCTTTTTAGTTTAATTACGTCCCATCTATTTATCCTTGTTTTAGTTGCGTTTATTTTTGGGTTCTTGGTCATGAAAACTTTGCTTAAGCCAATGTCTAGAAGGGGTTTTCCAATGTTATCTGCTAGAATTTTTATGTTCAGGTCTTAGATTTAAGTCTTTGATCCATTTTGACCTGATTTTTGTATAAAGTGTGTCTTAGTCCATTTTTACGCTGCTGGTAAAGAGATACCCGAGACTGGGCAATTTACAAAATAAAGAGGTTTAATTGGACTTATAGTTCCACATGGCTGGGGAAGCCGCACAATCATGGCAGAAGGCAAGGAAGAGCAAGTCATGTCTTACATGGAATGGCAGCAGGCAAAGACTTTGTGCAGAGAAACTCCCGTTCTTAAAACCATCAGATCTCGTGAGACTCATTCACTATCATGAGAACAGCACAGGAAATATCCACCCCTGTAATTCAGTCACCTCCCACTGGGTCTCTGTCACAACACGTGGGAATTCAAGATGAAATTTGGTGGGGACACAGCAAAACTGTATCATTCCACCCCTGGAGCCTCCCAAATCTCATATCCTCACATTTCAAAACCAATCATGCCTTCCCAAAAGTCCCCCAAAGTCTCAACTCATTTCAGCATTAACTCAAAAGTTCACAGTCCAGCGTCTCATCAGAGACAAGGCCAGTCCCTTCCGCCTGTGAGCCTGTAAAATCAAAAGCAAGTTAGTTACTTCCTACATACAGTGGGATACAGGCATTGGGTAAATACAGCCATTCCAAATGGGAGAAATTGGCCAAAACAAAGGGGCTCCAGGCCCCATGCAAGTCAAAAATCAAGCAGGGCAGTCAAATCTTAAAGCTCCAAAATGATCTCCTTTGACTCCATATCTGACATCCAGGTCATGCTGATGCAAGAAGTGGGTTCCCATGGTCTTGGGCAGCTATGCCTCTGTGGCTTTGCAGGGTACAGCCCCCCTCCTAGCTGCCTTCATGGGCTGGCATTGAGTGTCTGCAGCTTTTCTAGGTGAATGGTGCAAGCTGTTGGTGGATTTACCATTCTTCTTTTTTTTTTGAGACAGAGTCTCGCTCTGTCACCAGGCTGGAGTGCAGTGGCGTGTGATCTCGGCTCACTGTACCCTCTGCCTCCTGAGTTCAAGCAATTCTCCTGCCTCAGCCTCCCGAGTAGCCGGGACTACAGGTGCCTGCCACCACGTCTGGCTAATTTTTGTATTTTTAGTAGAGACGGGGTTTCACCATATTGGCCAGGTTGGTCTCGAACTCCTGACCTTGTGATCTGCCTGCCTCAGCCTCCCAAAGTGCTGGGATTACAGGCATGAGCTACTGTGCTTGACCTGGATCTACCATTCTGGGGTCTGGAGGATGGTGGCCATCTTCTCACAGCTACACTAGGCTCTGCTCCCCAGTAGGGACTCTGTATGGGGGCTCTGACTCCACATTTCCTTTCTGCAGAGGTTCTTCTCCATAAGAGTCCTACCCCTGCATCAAACTTCTGCCTGGGCATCCAGATGTTTCCAAACATCTTCTGAAATCTAGGCGGAGGTTCCCAAACCCCAATTCTTGACTTCTGTGCACTGGCAGGCTTAACACTGCATGGAAGCTGCCAAGGCTTGCGGCTTGCACCCTCTGAAGCCTTGGCTTGATCTCTCATTGGCTCCTTTCAGCCATGGCTGGAGTGGCTGGAATGCAGGGCACCAAGACCCTGGGCTGCACACAGCCTGGGCCGCACACAGCACAGGGACCCTGGGCCCAGCCCATGAAACCACTTTTTCCTCCTAGGCCTCCTGGCCTGCGGTAGGAGGGGCTCCCATGAAGACCTCTGACATGCCTTAGAGACATTTTTTCCATTGTCTTGGGGATTAACATTTGGCCCCTTATTACTTATGCAACTTTCTGCAGCCAGCTTGGATTTCTCCTCAGAAAATGGATTTTCTTTTCTATCGCATTGCCAGGCTGCACATTTTCTAAACTTTTATATTCTGCTTCCCTTATAAAACTGAATGCCTTTAACAGCACCCAAGTCACCTCTTGAATACTTTGCTGCTTAGAAATTTTTTACACCAGATACCCAAAATCATCTCTCTTAAGTTCAAAGTTCCACAAATCTCTAGGGCAGGGGCAAAATGCTGCCAGTCTGTTTGCTAAAACATAGCAAGAGTCACCTTTACTCCAGTTAACAAGTTCGTCATCTTTATCTGAGACCACCTCAGCCTGGACCTTATTGCTCATGTCACTGTCAACATTTTTGTCAAAGCCATTCAACAAGTCCTTTTTTCTCTTTTAAAATAGACAGATCATGCCAGTGTTGAAGGGATATGTTTCCTTTT
This sequence comes from Homo sapiens, assembly GCF_000001405.40. NCBI lineage: Eukaryota > Metazoa > Chordata > Mammalia > Primates > Hominidae > Homo > Homo sapiens. Next base: position 67,926,563 of record NC_000014.9, read on the forward strand.
TTTTTTTTTTTTTTTTTTTTGAGACTGAGTCTTGGTCTGTCGCCACACTGGAGTGCAGTGGTGTGATCTTGGCTCACTGCAGCCTCCGCCTCCTGGGTTCAAGCGATTCTCCTGCCTCAGCCTCCCAAGTAGCTGGGACAACAGGCGTGCGCCACCACACCCAGCTAATTTTTGTGTTTTTAGTAGGGGTGGGGTTTCATCATGTTGGCCAGGCTGGTCTCGAACTCCCAACTTTGTGATCTGCCTGCCTCGGCCTCCCAGAGTGCTGGAATTACAGACGTGAGCCACCACGCCTGGCGGAGATATGTTTTCTTAACACTGGGCAAAGAATCTCAGTTTATATAGCTCACTGGACAATTTACAGATCCTGAGGTCAGGGATAATAGTAAGTATGGATTGTGAAAACCTTCAGTAACTCATAGATTTTAGCCAATGATATGTTACAAAGTATTTTATACTGTGATATTATTTCCTATGAGTCATCCCATTCCTGTTATTTAAGCAGTGCTCAAGATCACTATGGTTCATATCCATGAATGTATTTCAGGGTAGAATAATTCTTGAATCTTATTTATAAGATATACTGTTGACTTTAAATGAAAGCTACTCATTTAAATAGGACACCTTATATACCTTGGATATGGATATTTGTTTTTTTCTCTTTAATTGTCATATTTTATATATTTATGGGGTTCATGTGAGAGTTTGCTGCATGCATAGAATGTGTAATGATCAAGTCTCCATCATCATGAGTGCTTATCATTTTTATGTGGTGTCATTTCAAGTCCTCTCTTCTAGTTACTCTGACATATACATAATATTGTTACTAAGTGTAGTCACTGTGGTCTGCTATCAAACATTAGATCTTGTTTCTTCTATCTAACTATGTGTTTGTACCCACAACCAACTTCTCCTGTCCTCTCCCCTTGAACCACCCTTCCGAGTCTCTGGTTATCTGTTGATCTATTCTCTATGTCCATGAGATGAAGTTTTTTAGCTCCCACATGTGAATGAGAACGTGTGGTATTTGTCTTTCTGTGCTGGGCTTATTTTGCGTAACATAATGACGTCCAATTCCATCCATGTCACTTCAAATGACATGATTTCATTCTTTTTTATGGCTGAATAGTATTTCATTGTATGTGTGTGTGTGTGTGTGTGTGTGTGTATTATATAATATATTCATTGTGTGTGTGTATATATTATATATATACACATATATAATGTGTGTGTCTTTTATGGTTCCATACAAATTTTAGGATTTTTTGTCTATTTCTGGGAAAAAATGAATCCCACTTGATCATGGTATGTTATCTTTTGGGTGTGCTGTTGGATCTAGTTTGGTAGTATTTTGTTGAAGACTTTTCCATTTATCTTCATCAGGGTTATTGGTCTGTATTTTTTTTGTTGTAGCTTTGTCTGGTTTTGGTATCAGGGTAATGCTGGCCTCATAGAATGAGTTAGGGAGAATTTCCTTCTCTTAACTTTTTGGAATAGCTTGAGGAGGACTGATATGAGTTTTTCTTTATACATTTGGTAGAATTCAGCAGTGACTTTATTCAGTACTGGGCTTTTTTTCTTGAGAGACTTTTTGTTCCTGGTTCAATCTTGATACTCATTATGTTCAGGTTTTCTATTTTTCCTGATTCAATCTTGTTGGATTGTATTGATATGGCTCCAATGAATGGAGGAACACCAGTGTCCTTGGTCTTGCGCTGATTTAGATAAAATGACATGGACACATGTGGAGTGATTTTAAGGAGCGGAGAGTTTAATAGGCAAGAAAGAAGGAAGAAGCTCCCCCATACAGAGACAGAGGGAGGGGGGCTCTGAGAGAGAAACCATGTGTGCGGTGGCAAAGTAGTTAGTTATATTAGCAGGCTGGAGGAGGCGGTGTCTGATTTGCATACAGCCCAGGGATTGGTTTTACCAGATGTGTCATTCATGTGGCCCGTGAAAAACCTGGCCCTCCCACCTTCGTCCTTTAATATGAAAATGCGGGTCACCATGATGTCCTGAACACGTGTGAGTTATCTGGAGGCGGCCATGACACTTGGTACTTGTGGTGACAAGGAGAAGAGGGCAGCAATCGCCATGTTGGCCATGTTGGGTGGACCTAGTTTCTAATCGCCAGAATTTGCATATCAAAGCTTGCCGTCTTTAAGCCGCCTTTTCTGTTAGAAAAGAAATGGTTTGGGGGTTGCTTCTTACAGGAAAATTTCCACCGAGAACCTTTACCCTTTCTACCTGCCTAAAAATTATTTCTTAATAACTCCTATATTAATGTGTTTCCAGGAATTTCTCCATTTTCTCTAGGTTTTTCACTTTGCTAGCATATAATTCATAATAGTCTCTGATGATCTTTTGTACTTCTGGTGTCAGCTGCAATGTCTCCTTTTTCATTTCTGAGTTTGTTTATTTGGGACGTCTCTTCTTTTTTCGGTTAGTCAAGGTAGCGGTTTATCAATTTTGTTTATCTTTTCCAATGATCAACGTTTTGTATTGTATTTTTAGTCTCTATTTCATTTAGTTCTGCTCTGATCTTTATTATTTCTTTTCTTCTGCTAATTTTTGGTTTTCTTTGTTCTTGCTTTTTAGTTTTTTGAGGTGCATGGTTAGATTGTTCATTTGAAATCTTTCTGTTTTTCTGATTTAGGTGTTTATTGCTATAAACTCCCCTCTTAACATACTTTTGCTATGTCCCACAGGTTTTGGTATGTTGTGTTTCCATTTTCTTTGTTTCAAGAAATTAAAAAAATTTTTTATCTTGATTCTTTCATTGACCCAGTGGTCACTCAGGAGCATGTTGTTTAATTTCCATGTATTTGTATAGTTTTCAGAGTTCCTCTTGGCATTGATTTCTAGTTTTATTCCATTGTGATCTAAGATACTTGATATGATTTTAGCTTTGGAAAGATTAGTTTTATAGCCTAACATATGGTAAATCCTGGAGAATTTTCTATGTGCAGATGAGAAAAATGTATATTCTACAGATGTTAGATAACATTTTCTGTACATGTCTGTTAGGTCCATTTGGTCTAAAGTCCCGTTTAAGTCTGATGTTTCTTTATTTTCTGTCTAGATGATCTCTTAAATGCTGAGATTGGGATGTTGAAGTACCCCACTATTATTGTATTAGAGCCTGTCTTTTTCTTTAGATCTAGTAATACTTGCTTTATGCATATCCTCTTGCTGGATTGATCCCTTTATCATTATATAATGACCTTGTCTTTCTGTGTCTTTTTTTTTTGTGTTTTTTTGTTTTTTTTAAGAAATGGGGTCTCAATATGTTTTCTAGGCTAGTCTTGAGCTCCTGGCCTCAAGTGATCCTCCCGCCTCTGCCTTCTGAGTAGCTGGGATTACAGGCAGGAGCCATCGTGCCCAGCTTCTTTGTCTTTTATTATTATTTTTGACTTAATGTCTGTTTTATCTGATATAAGTGTAGGTATTTCTGCTCACTTTTGGTTTCCGTTTGTGTGGAATATCTTTTTTCATTTATTTACTTTGAGTCTATATGTGTCTTCACAGGTAAAGTGCACTGATTGTAGGCAGCATATAGTTAGATCATTTTTAAATCAATTCAGAGAGTCTGTATCTTTTAAGTGGAGAATTTAATCCATTAATATTCAAGGTTATTATTGAGGTTTTGTTCCTTCATATTGTTAATTGTTTGCTGGTTTTCTATGGTGGTATCACTTGAATTTTTTGGCTTTTTCACTTGTGTATTGCTTTACCAGTTAGTTTTATATTTTTGTGTGTATACTTTGTGTGTGTGTGTGTTTTTTTTTTCCACTCCCTTGAGCATTTCTTGAAGAGCTAGTCTAGTGGTGATGAATTTCATCTGCTTTTGCTTGCTTAGAAAAGACTTTATTTCTTCTTTATTTATGAAGGATAATTTTGCTGGATATAGTATCCTTGGGTGGCAGTTTTTTTCTTTTGGCACTTTGAATATATAACCCCATTCTCTCCTAGCCTGTGAGGTTTTTGCTGAGAAGTCTCCTGTTGATGTAGGCTCCTTTGTAGGTGACTAGACATTTTCCTCTTGCTGCTTTAAGACTTTTCTCCTTGTCATTGACTTTATGCAGCTTGAATACAATGTGTCATGGAGAAGACCTTTCGCATTGGATCACTGGTCTTCCTGTACCTGGATGTCTAAATCTCTTGGTAGACTTGGGAAAATTTCATCTAGTATTTCATTAAATAGGTTTTTGAGCATTTTTGTTCTCTGTTTCCCTTTGAGGATACTGATAATTTATATATTTGATTGCTTTATGGTTTCCCATATATCATGACGACTTTGTTCATTCTTTTTTATTCTTTATTCAATTTTTTTTTTGGTCTGCCTGGGTTATTTCTTTTTTTTTTTTCTTTTTTTTGAGACGGAGTCTCGCTCTGTTGCCCAGGTTGGAGTGCAGTGGTGCGATCTCAGCTCACTGCAAGCTCCGCCGCCTGCATTCATGCCATTCTCCTGCCTCAGCCTCCCAAGTAGCTGGGACTACAGGAGCCTGCCACCACGCCTGGCTAATTTTTTTGTATTTTTATTAGAGACAGGGTTTCACCGTGTTAGCCAGGATGGTCTCAATCGCCTGACCTCGTGATCCGCCTGCCTTGGCCTCCCAAAGTGCTGGGATTACAGGCGTGAGCCACCGCGTCCTGCCTGGCTGGGTTATTTCAAAAGGCCCATCTTCAGGTTCTGAGACTCTTTCTTTTGCTTGGTTTAGTCTATTGTTGATGCTTTTGAGTGTACTTTGTATTTTTTCAAGGACTTCTTCAGTTCCAAAATTTTGGTTTGTTTCTTTTTTATTCTATCACTGTGGTAAACTGCTCCTTTATTTCCTGAATTGTTTTTCTGATTTCTTTGTATTGTTTTTTGAAATTCTCTTGTATCTCATTGGGCTTCTTTAGTATCATAATTTTGAATTCTTTTTCTGGGATTTCTTTTTTTTTTTTTTTTTTTGAGACAGAGTTTTGCTCTTGTTGCCCAGGCTGGAGGGCAATGGCACAACCTCAGCTCACTGCAACCTCTGCCTCCCGGGTTCAAGCAATTCTCCTGCCTCAGCCTCCTGAGTAGCTGGGATTACAGGTGCCCACCACCACGCCTGGCTAATTTTTTGTATTTTTAGTAGAGATGGGTTTCACCATGTTGGCCAGGCTGGTCTCGACCTCTTGACCTCAGGTGATCCATCTGCCTTGGCCTCCCAAAGTGCTGGGATTATAGGCGTGAATCACAGTGCCCGGCCCAGCATTTCTTGAATTTCTTTTTATTGGGATGTGTTGCTGGAGAATTATTATGTTCCTTTGGAGGTGTCATAGTTCTTTGCTTTTTCATGTTTTCTATATCCTTGTGTTGACATCTGCACACCTGGTATAATAGTTGCTTCTTCAAATTTTTTATTTTTTTATTTTTAACTTTTCTTCAACTTTTGTTTTAGATTCTAGGGGTACATGTTCAGGTTTGTTACAAAGTTATATTATGTGATGCTGGAGTTTGGAGTACAATTGAACATGTCACCCAGGAAGTGAGCACAGTATTCAATAAGTAGTTTTCAATCTTTGTCTTCCTCCCTCCCTCCTACCTCATGTATTTTCCAGCATCTGTTGTTCCCATCTTTATGTCCATGTGTACCCAATGTTTAGCTCCTGCTTTTGGATTTTCTTTCATAGGAGATGTATCAATGGTGCTAGTTGGGTGGGCTCTTTGGCTTTGATTCTGGGTGCATTCAGTTGTGTAGTCTCTGTATTATTTCTTTAGCTATAAACAATATCTGTGTTATCTGTGATTTCCTCCATGGTTTATGGTGTGGTTATTAGTGGAGCTTATAGTGAAGTTTGGTGGGACAGGGATGCTAGGCAGGCCACTTTTTGGGCCCTATTGGTGGTAGCGGTGGGCTGATCATACTTGTTCTTAGGCCCCAGCACAGTGTGCAGTGGCACTAGTTTTAGTGGGACCAAGAGGTTCAATTCTTGGCTCCCCAGGTGGCTTGCTCAGATGCTGAGGTGGTGGTGGCAGAGGTGGGGTGGGCAGGTGAGCAAGTTCTCATGTCCCTGGGAATTTGGTATGGTGTGGGTAGTGGCAGCAGCAGTGAGGAGAAGACCCTCTGGGTCCCAAGCAGTATGTGCTAATGTTGATGGTGGCTGTGATGCAGGGTCACTATCCACAGCCCCAGACACACAGCTCTTAGACTTGTCCACTCTTGGCAGCAACAGTACTGTACTGCTATGCCAAGGAGGGGAGGGGCCCCATGTTCACGTATGAGTCTAAGCATGGAGGCCACACCACCAGTGGGGGCACAGTTACTACTTACAGCCCCAGACAGGCAGCTCCTCCGGCTTGTCCACCCTGGCCCCTGGCAATAGCAGCAGTGGCAGCGGCTGTAGTGGTGTGCAGAGGAGGAGAGAGGCTCCTGTTGTATATGTGTAAACCTGAGCACAGAGACCACTCCATTGGTGCAGGCAGGGTCACTGCTTCCAGCTCCAGACAGCTATTATGCTTACCCATCTGGGTTCCTAGTGACAGCTACTGCTATGGCAATATGCAGAGAAGGGGAGGAGATCTTTCCACTTGTGAGCTTGAGCACAGAATTTGTGCTGCCTTTCCGGTAGAATGCACCTTTGGTACACTGTAACTTTTTGGTACACTGCACCATTCCCTGAGGAGTAGTGTTTTCCATGGGCTAGAATACTGGGGACCCTGGAGCACCTTTGGGTCCAGCCAGTGCTATGCTGCTGTAGCCATTTGAGTCAACACTGGGGTTGTTAGTGGGAGATCCCAGAATGTGGAGATATGGGGCCTCTGATTTCCAGGTCAGGATGCAGTCCTATGACAGCTGTGCTCTCACAGTAGTGCTCTGCAGTAGCAGCTTAGGCCTTGGGGGTGTGACTGACCCAGCATGAGTTCCTTGTCTGGTGCAATGCCCTTGTGGGTCTCCAGATCACCACCCTTGCTAGTATCAGGGTTTGTGTGGGTAGAGGAGCTCTCCCATGGTTTGGATTGCTGCAGTCCACAGTGGGGACATGGATTGTTAAGGTTCTCTCACTTACCCTTCCCTATGATAATGAGTCCCTTGGGGCTCATAGCTGATCTTGGCTGAGTTGGTCACTTGCTTCCTTCTCCTTCTTTGCCTCAGGTGTTTCCTGTGACTAGATCCTGTTGGACACTAGTGTTCTCTTCTAGATGTTCTATTATAGGTGTGATTATTTTGGTTATATATTAGTAATTTTGGTTCTTTCTGGAGAGGGTGAGTGTCCAATCTCTCTAGTTAGCCACCTTGAATACATCTCTGCTGAGGAGTTCAGGAAGAGCAGAAGCTACCTCTATGCTCCTGCTGAGTCAGGCAATGCCTATACCTTTAATTCTACCAGAATTGAAGTAACAAATTTGTCTACTTTAGGGCAATAAATAAAGTCAATATACACCTGACTACAAAGCTTCGTAGACTATCAACATCAGTTACTTCTGACAGCTTGGTTGTAGATGTGAAAGGAAATGGGTTCATTGTATCTGATGCTGCCGTTAGACCAAGCTGGCACCACAGAAGACCTGGAATTTGTTAATACTGCTTAACTTTCATGTTTCCTGGTACAATCAGGATGAAGGGAACTGTAACCACTAGGTGGCATCTTTTAATTAGAAAACTGTGAATACTCCATTGCTCACTAGGATCCTTGTGGCCTACTTAGCAAAGCAATTGCCTGTGAGAGCAGCTGGTGGCAGTCTTTAAGATGCAGATTTCAAATAGGAGAGAAAGGAAGAGATAAAGATAAAAAGAGAGGAAAGAAGTGGGAGGGCAAGAGAAGAGAAAAGGAGAAAGTAAACAGGCGTACTGTGAAGGAAGTAGTAAAATGCCATCAGTAATTAGCTCAGGAAAGTGGTATTTATGGCATTTGTTGCTTACCATTGTTTCATTTCTTTATTTATTTGACACGTATTTAATGGGAATTAGGAATTCTGGCTGAGGATACGAGATGCTGTTTCTACCCTCAGAGAGTTGATAGCTAAAGGGAGTTTAAAATATCTCAACTTAAAATCTTGACCCCCTTCCTGTAGAGTATGTTAAATAATACATGAAATAATACCTTTTATTTTTAGTTTTATTTGTTTCGTATTCTCTATTTCATTCCCCTATCAGAGAAAAGAGTTTCTGGAGTACTCTAGTTGACATACTTTGAAAATTAGCCCCTTGAGGGCAGGGAGTGTATATTATTGAGGAATCTGGAGCATGTTGTTCCATCCCTGACTCTTATTGATGGGGGGGAATGTCCATACGTTGAACGAATGGTAGGATCAGATGAGAAACCTCAGCAAGGTGTCTCCTGGTTATAGTCTACAGCCTTCCTGGCTCTTTGTAGAATTTAGGCTTCTGACTTTGAATGCTTTCCTGACAGCACCATACTCTCCTCTGCTATATAGCACACTATCATATTGCCTGTTTACGAGGCATTTGTGTTTCTCCACAGTGATGAATTCTTTTATGGTAGGGTCTGTTTCTAATTTAATTTATTTATGTAGTTTCAGTGTTTAGCAGGTGGTGAGTGCTCAATAAATTTTGGTTAAATGAATGAATAAATCTGACTAATTATAGTGTACTTGGTATAAGATAAATTTGTATAGGAATCCTTTTGGAGAGAGTTAATTTTTGGATATGCCAGAAAGACCATCCTTTAAGATTTTTTTTACATATGTGAGGATGATTAGGCAATTACTTTGAGTGTAAGATATGGTGCACTTTCAAAGATAACCAGAAGATATACCAGTTGTATGCTAGAGATGGATTTGTAGTGCCAATTCTACAAATACAACTCTTAAAAAAGTTTTTTTTTCAGAGACAGTCTTGCTCTCTTGCCCAAATGGGAGTTCAATGGCTCGATTATAGCTCACTGCAGCTTTCACCTCCTGGGGTTGGGTGATTTTCCTGCCTCAGCATCCCATGTAGCTAGGACTACAGGCACATACCATCAGGCCATGCTGATTTTAAAATTTTTTTGTAGAGATGGGGATCTTGCTGTGTTGCCCAGGCTAGTTATAAATCCCTGGCCTCAAGGGATCCTCCTGCTTTGGCCTCCCAAAGTGTTGGGATTAGAAGTGTGAGCCACTGCCCCTGGCCAACTCTTTTAAATTTTAAAGTGGATTCTGTTGCGTTGTCTTAGATAAGTAGCCCAGCTGCAGTCTTCTTGTTTCTTTTTTCTAAAATAATAGGCACTGATGACATCTATTATTTGCTCCTTCAGGATCTAGGGCCTGCCGAGGACTTCATCTTATAAAGATGAGTATGAGAACTGAGACAAGGTCAAGTAGAGTAGTAAAAGGTGGGCAGAGAGGGATTTCACTATGGCGGAATTCTATTATACCAGAGGATAATGTCAGTAGGCCAACGTCTGTTTGTTGAATGCCAGAACTTTCATATTCAAGAATATATATTAGAAAATAGATGTCATTTTATTAATAGACCTTTTTAGAAAGGTCTATCTTATAAAGGACACATTATAAAAAGCCTTCAAAAAACAAAAATTTTAACAGCTTTTTGAGATATAATTTACATACCATACAATTCACCCTTTTAAGGTACACAATATAGGGTTCTTTTTTTAGCATATTGACAGATTGTGCAACGATCACCACAGTCTAATTCCAAAACATTTCACCACCCCAAGAAGAAACCCTGTACCCAGTAGCAGCCACTCTCTCACTCTGCATTTCCACCTTCCCCAAGCCCTTGGAAATCTCTATTTGCTATCTCTATAGATTTGCCTGTTATGGACATTTCATGAAAGTGGAGTCATATAATGTGTGTTCTTTTGTGACTGGCTTCTTTCATATAGCATAAAGTTTTCAAAATTAGTGTTGCAGCATGTTATCAGTATTCTTCATTCCTTTTCATTGCCAAATAATATACTGTTGTATAGATAGAACTCATTTTGTTTATCCATTTATCAGTTGATGGACATTTGGTTTATTTTCACATTTTGGGTATTATGAATAATGCAGTAATAAGCATCCATGTACAAGCTTTTGTTTGGACATATGTTTTTATTTCTCTTGGTTATATCCCCAGGAGTAGAATTGCTGGATCATATGGCAGCTCTGTGTTTAATAATTTGAGGAACTGTGAAGCCACTTTTCCAAAGTCCTACCAGCAGCGAGCTAGGGTTCCAGTTTCTCCACATCCTCACTAATACTTGTCATCTTTTTCTTAAAAATTACAATAATCCTTGTAGTGCTTGTGAAGTGGTTATGTCATTGTGGTTTTTGTTTGCATTTTCTAATGGCTGATGATGTTGAGAATTTTCAAGTGTTTATTGACCATTTGTATATCTCTTTTGGAGAAAGTCTATTTAAATCTCTTGCCCAGTTGTAATTGGGTTGTCTTTTTATTATTGTATTTTAAAGTGCTCATTTTATATGTTGGATACAAGACCCTTAATAGATATTTGATTTTCAAATATTTTCTCCCATTCTGTCCTTTTACTTTCTTGATGGTCTTACTTGTAGCAGAAATATGTTATATACACATATATGTAAATGTAATATTTATAGCATAATGAAATAAAGTAGTTTAGAAGGATTTGCAGTAGGGTGCCATGAAGGGGATAACAGTTGTCTTTTATTGAAATTCAAAGCTGAGCCCTAAATCCATATGTAATACAATTATGGGAAGCCAAAAAAGAACAGAAGCTGCTCAGAGTGAAACATAATGTCCTACAGCACATGACACACCTTCTTCCTGTCTTTGTGATATCCCAGTTACAAGCTAGTTAGAGAAATGATAGGGATTGGGGTAGTGAGAAAAGAATAGTTGTTTCCTTTGGTGTCTCAGGTAAGATATACTGTTAGAGATATAGCTAGAAATAAAACCAACCGGTTCTAGCAGAGATGACGATAATTCTACTTTTGTCAAATCACCACCAGAGAAATCTCCTCTCAGTTGATTAACATCATGTGCCGCAGGCTGTTTCTTTCTTTTACTCTAGGTATAGTGGGAGTAACCCATTGGCAAGAAAAACTCATATTTAGGTGGTAAGGGGAAGGCAGGTAGAGAAAATGAAGTGTGTCTTTGACACAGTATGAATGGAGGTGCTCCCCATTAGGAATTGAGCAGGTAGACTGTGTTGATGAACATAGAGTAACACGCTGGGATGGTTGTGGCCACTTGTCTGTCTCATTGGTCCATCTCTCCCAGTATTCCATTTGAAATCCTTCTTCAGCCCCTTACCACAGCTTCAGGTTGATATTGAAATACAATGGTAATAGTGAGGGTATTTTAAAAGTGGACTTTAAAGCTGAGTTACATTAAGAAATGGGCATATCTGGCAAGTTACAGGCACAGGTAAGTAACTTTTTTTTTTCTTTTTTTGCATTAGGGGTTTGAAATAGTGCACCGATGGCCTTCTGAGAAAGGTGTCTACCTTCTCAAGGTTTTTCTATAGAATGACTTATCAAAATCCATATGGATTCTTGACCGAGGCTTTTCAGCTGGATTATGTGAAAAGCTGTGGATTTTGTAAAGAAGCCTGGCATGTGCTCCAGTGTGTTTCAGTTTTTAAATTTTCATTTTTTACAGTGTGAGAACTAATTCCAGACTAATAACATTTATGTGAATAGTTCTCTAAGCTTTGCTTCCTAAAGTGTAACTGTTAAGCCTTCTGGAATAACAATGCAGTTCTCCCTTCAGAAAGATTCTTTATGTTGATGTCTTGTGACTGGCTTAAATTCTTCAGGCACTTTCTCTCCTGGTTCCTCTCCACACCCAGAGAGAGATTTTAGATAATCTTGTGCATTGAGCAGAATCAAGAGATGAGTCAGGAAAGTTTTCTAACAAATAATACTTTTGACGGAGCCATACAACTTAATTTCGATTTTGAAGTGACAGTAATTGTCAGTATTGCTCCTTCAAGTGGAGGGACTAATTTGTAATCATGAGCATATTGCATAATGGCGACATAATTGAGGGCGTAGGCCTATCCTTTAGAACATAGCCCCCAAGAGAATTGTGTTCCATACATAATATAAAGATATGTTAAGGTGGTTGTGAAACTCCTTGCTGTGAAATAGTAGGGGCTTCTCAGTCATTTTGTGTATAGTTTGCTTTGTAGATGATGCTGTATTTCAGTAGAAAACAGTTGATGTCTCAATGTCATATTGGCATCTGTGGTTGAGAATAGCTCAAATACTATTGAATTAAACTTGTGTGCGTGACAGTGTGCTTGCCCAGACGGACTCCTTAGCACTGTATGACTCTTGAGAAAATGGTCTCACTTGACAATTTCATTGCTACCTAAGATTTTTATTTAGTGGCTGAGGAAGTGAAGTAGTGACTTATACTGATTTGCCATCTAGGGAGATAATTGGTAAACTTGGGCCTGAGAAAGGAAGAGATCTGTTATGTAAGAAAAATACTGATCAAAAGAACAATATTTGTTGTTGTTGTTGACCAGCTCTGACTGTGAAACATTTAAAGTGTCTGGGCTCTAATTTGAGAGACTAGTTGAAAAATAATCATTTGACATTTAGCACTCTGCTAGGTACCGGGAAATTAGAGCAAGTAAGAAATAATTTCATATCTTGAGGTACTTATATTAGGGGGAAGACAGACATACAGGCAGATATTTTTTTCTGATATATTAGATAAAGGCTTTACTCTTCCCCGCCCCTGCCCCCCTCCATGTGGAAACACATACAAACAGGAGCAAAAAAGGGAATACCAAATTCATTTTAAATACATGTAGATACCCAATATGTAATATGTGTCATCTTACTCTAGGATGTGAGCTTTAAAAAGGTGGAAGCCAAATTGTGCATGCTTTTGTATAGATCCTTGCATAAACTAGATAGTATATAGAAAATTGACAGTAGTAAGTGAAATGCTTGATTCCTTTTAAGAAAGAAAATTCCAAGAGTTATGTTAAGAACTTCTTTAAAAAAAGGCAAGAGTGAAAAAAATGCACAATTCAGAATAGTGATGATCATTGCAGGGAGGCAGGTAGATGGCTTTCGGTAGGGGCCCATGTATAGCTTCACTGGGATTGTGTTTTTAGTTAGCTTGGGCTGCTGTAGCAAATTACCATAGATTAGGTAGCTCAAATAACAAACATTTATTTCTCACAGTTCTGAAGGCTGGAAGTCTGAGATCAGGGTGGAAGCATGGTTGGGTGCCCTCTTCCTAATTATGTCTTCACATGGCTGTTCCCATCACAGGGACTCCAGCTTCAAGACTTAATCGAACCCTAATTACCTCCCTAAAGGCCCTAGGTCTAAATACCATTACATTGGGGATTAGGGTTTTAATACATTAATTTTGGGAGGACACAAACATTTAGTCCATAGCAGATTGGAAATATTTTAATTCATAAATTAGGTGCTGGGTTCATTAGGTATATATTCTGTAATTATGCCTCATAACATACATTATATATATATAAAAAAATAAAAAGTATATATATAAAACTGTAACATTTGATAGATGCATATATATATATATATATATATATATATATATTTTTTTTTTTTTTTTTTTTTTTTTTTTTTTTTTTTTGAGATGGAATCTCACTCTGTTGCCCAGCCTGGAGTGCAATGGCGTGATCTCAGCTCACTGCAACCTCTGCCTCCCAGGTTCAAGCTATTCTCGTGTCTCAGCCTCCCAAGTAGCTGGGATCACAGGTGCCTGCCACTGCACCTGGCTAATTTTTGTATTTTTAGTAGAGATGGGGTTTCGCCATGTTGGTCAGGTTGGTCTTGAACTCCTGACCTCAGGTGATCCACCACCTGCCTTGGCCTCCCAAAAGTGCTGGGATTACAGGCGTGAGCCACCGCACCCAGCCTTCCCAGTCTGAATTTCTTAAAAGCTTTTGCTTAGGTTAAGTTGTGGGAGAAAAACTGAACTCACCCAGCTAGCCAAACTATCTCTCTGTTGTCTTTCCACTTTATCCATCTATTTTTTACTTTTTTTGGAAACACAATAACAATAGTGTAGAAGTCTTTTCACATTGCCTGACTCTCCTGTTTGTGTCCCATAAGGTTCCATGTACTCTGTCCAGAACTCAGCTTATTATGTCAAAGGATTCTGTCTGGACTGGTCAGTCAGAGATATAAGTTCTCATTACCTCAGTGTGTGTGTTTGTATCTGTATTTAATGATGTTTGTGCTTGGCTTAGGCTGGGGATTTTGAAATCTTTGCAGAGTTTCCCAATTTGTTGGGCAGTTTTAGAAATGATAGTATCAGTAGGAAAAAAAAAACACAGAAAAATACAATTTCTTCTTTCATCTATGTCCCATATTATACAAATGTTCGCTGAAAGCACCAATTTTCTGGGAAAGGTTTTGACTCAGACTTTTTTCACCCTTTACCTCTACTCTCCAATTCATGTTTCCTTCTTACAACGTGGTCATATGCTTGCCCAGGCCTGGCTTATGAACCGTGCAGAATATTTGTGGGGTTTGTTTTTTAAGCCCTAAACTGTGCACATGATGCAGTATTTAATTTGGAATGAGCTCTTAGTTTAGTCACATGTGCTTCTTGTGGTGTTTATCTTGGAATCCACAAGTAGGAGGGAAGTATTTTTGCATTTTATACATCTGGACATTGTTCATGGTCCTTCTGTAACTTGGGAATTCTGTGTGAGGCAAAATCCAAAAAAACAGCATTAAAAATAACACGGAGTTATGATGACATCTGAGTCAAAACCCTTGAGAATACCCTTCTGATCCCAGCAGAGTTTGTTTTTGAGGTGGTGAACTTTTTCAATTGTGTGTGGTTCACTGCTGGCCTGAGGAGAATGCTGGGATTATAAGGTTACCTGACACCCTTGCATGTAGACTAATGGGTTTCCAGACATTCTGAAAGTCTATTGCAGATTTGGCATAGGGGGAAGATTTTGCTTTTTGGCTTAGGGGGAGGATTTTGCTCTAATTTTGCATGGGGTAAAATAGGTAAAGTGAATTCTGCTCACTGTTGCTATGCCTCTGCCACAAGCATTCTAAGAGACCTGTGAGACTGTCCCTATTTCTCTCTTAAACTTGCCTAATTACAGCCAGCTTAGAGCTAAAGTTGACTCTGAGAATGCCTCGGGCTCTGTGTCAGGACTGGGGGTTTAGTAACCTTATCCTTCCCCTGATTTCACATGAGAAGTTGTTTTAAACAGGATTGGACATAGAGATATAGCACAGTACCTCCTCCTTTTGGCTAGGGGTCTGCTAAAGTGGAAAAAGTGGGAAAGGATGTACAGAAACTCCTGCTCTTTGAGTGAGTTTGCATATGGACAGTATTGCTTTTTGGCCCCAGCCTAGTTTTCTTTCATTCCCATGTCTCATCTTTTATGCAGCTGCAGAGAGCAGGCTGGGAAAGCAGAATGAAAGCTTCAAACAGATTTGCACTTGAATAAAAGAAAGAGTGATTTCTCTTGTTCAGAGTACAGACCAGTTTGGGTAGAAAACTGTTTGCTTTTTTACTTTCTGGGTAAGGACTGTTTGCTTTTCTCTCTTTAAATGTAGTAAAGAGAGGAAAAGCTAATAAAGTAGTTGGACCTGCTGGTTATAATTCATAGAGAATTTTCAAGTGTGTTTAATAAAGTCTCTCATATAATTATAACAGAAATAAGTAATTGGAGGGGAAAGGTTAAAATCCTGTAGAGGTTTAAGAATCAGTTAAATATGAGGCAGTGTGCTTGGATGAGACAACTAACTAGGAGCTGCTTCTCTTTGCTGATTTCTCTGAACTTTCCTTTTGAGATTTTTTCCTCTTTACTTTCGTAATGCATTTTGCAACTTTCATTAAAAAAATCCATCAATGTTTAAACTTCTAACAAATAAACATATCCTAGTCCTATTATGGAAATCACAATGTAGCAGAGAATAGCTTGACTTCAGCTAGAGAGAGGTTAATGATAGGAACCCTAAGGATTGATACCAAGATCATGCTTGTTTAGTGTTTTAATGACTCCAGAAGGAAATGGTGAAATCTGCTGATGACACCAAATTGTTTTTGCTGATCCAAACAAGGATTTCTGGGAAGCTTCTTCAGAGTATTTGGAATAGTAGAAGAATTGAGAAATATGGTGGCAGACACACTGAACTTAAAGTGAAGGTTTACGTGAAGTAGCAGGAGTAACGTCAATACGTTGAAGTTACAAAGCCTGCCAAATCTTCCAAAAGGAAGATTACGGAGTCTATAGTTTCATGAAAGGAAGACTTAAGACAAAGAACATTTATACATATAGCAAATGAAAACTATTATGGGAATAGTTGCAATTATAAAGTTCAGTGACTTAAAAATATGATGTCTGAATTTCTTTTTAAATGTCAGCAGTAGTATATCTAAATAGGTGTTGTTTCTCTCGAAATGGTCATAGAAGATTATATACCCATTTTATGCATGCTCCTTTCTTGGTACGTTCTTTTGTCAGTTTTCTGTGGTGGCAGGTCTTTATTTTGCAGGCTGTTTTGAATTTTGAAACAGTCAACTGTCACTTAAAGCCAAGTGTGATAAATAAGATGGGTGGTCAAACTAAGTAATAGATTTAAATATATTAAATATATTAAATGAAATATAAAGTAGTAAAACTTATTTTCTTTTATTGCTTTCAAAAGTGATTCTAAAGGACATTACCAATGAGAAATTGCAAAAATGTTTGTGTACTAATAGTGTTAGATTAAGTTCTTGGTTGATAGATTTCACAAACATCACTTATTTAGATATGTAAGTTACAGGGCTTGTACTAATACACATTTTATTATATTGGAGACAAACCATGTTTATAAGTGACCTTTTTAAAATGTTTTCTTTATGCTCCCTAAATATACACTTAGGGAGGAAGAAGGAGGTTTTGAATTAACTGGAGATTTCCCTAATGTGTTGAATTTTTCTGACTAAAGCCTACATTTTTGTAAAGAAAAAGACCCTGTGGGATAAAAAATACGATAGGCACTATCACAGGAGCTGTGGGCTGGCCATCTATATCCATCCATCTATCTATTATTCCACCCATCCCTCCATCCATCCATCCATTTATTTAATTAAGTTATTTTTAACGGTTGGCTCTGGAGTTGACATTCATTTATTTTAAAAGAACAGTGAATCATAGCTCTTTTCCTCAAGATGCTTGCTTTTATTTGCATGGTGGCATATTGATTAAGTACTCAGAACACTATTTGACATATGGTAAGCCCTCAATAAAAGTTTGTTATTATTATGACTGTACTTCTCCCCTCTAATGTATAGAGGTAAACATTTTGGTTCCTATTGTGACACGTGGGTTATAATGAGTTAGGGCCTACTTAAGAAGAAAGTGGAAAGAAAGCGGGTAAAATTGTTGCTCAGATACTAGCATGTGGGTGGAGATATAGATATAGATATAGGTATAGATATAGATAGTGTAGGTATTTACATCTAAGTATATTGTATAAAGTGACGGATTCTGAATTTGCTACATTTCTCATTTCTTCAGCACTCTGGGATAAAACCAGCAAAAATGATGTGATCTGAACAGACACAGTAGATGGCGCTGTAGGACTTAGTTTTTAAAGAAAACAGTACAGCCAGGGGGAGTGGGGGCATGGAGTGGGAAGAAAACTAAAGCACATTTTAATGGGCTCTTTTGTACCACCAAGACAATTTCATCTTAGAGTACGTGCCTCTAAGAAGTAAAGATTTTTTTTTTTTTTTTTTTTTGACAGAGCTGGAGAATAATTTTAGGAAAACTAAATCTCCCTGTTGCTATGTTTGTGCCAGCTTTGTCACTTGGAAAGTATTAGTTGTTTTAAGCCACAAATATATAAGGAAGTTATTTTCTTTCAAAACATTGCCTTATTTATGAGGGTTTTGTTTGTTTGTTTTAGCTGTCTTTGTCTCTGTATTTTAATATTTTTGCTCCTAGCTTTTTTGGCCCTTTGTTGTTTCATAAAAACGTGGTTGTAAAGTTAATTTGAACCATATCAATATGACTATAATGTCATATTTTAAAATTCAGCTATATTTTAATAGGCCTTAAAAATACAGGTTTACATTAAAGAGTAACATAGTGTTTTTGATACTACCGTAGTGTGTTTATGTACTTGATCTTATTTAATCTTAGTACTAATTGTATGAATTTTATTATTCACTTTTCTAGGTAAATAAACTATATCAGAGATACTTAGTAACTTGCCAAGCTCACATACCTAGTGGTTGAACTAGTAGTTGCTGCAAGAGTTTCGCCAGCATATTAAAGTTGTATTTTTTGAGCACTTACTGTGTGCCAGGCAAGCTAACCACTGGAAATACTATAGTGTCCAAAGCTGACCTGGACCCTGCCCTTATGGACCTTACAGTTATTAGATACCCCACAGACATTTTTTGAAATCTGCTGGATTGAGAGTGGGTCATGAAGATGAATTTGAATCATTGTGATTGTTGGATAAGCCAGAGAGCCCTTTCACCAAAAAGAAAGTAAGAATCATACCTACCTTGAATATATTACTGTATTAAAATATTTGTTTTAGTTGTACTCCCTGTAGCCAAGGGAAAGGCAAGACCTCCTTTGGCTACAATGAGTAACTAAACTGTCTTCTAGATAAGAATCAGGAAGAGTAAGGAAAATCTGGCTATACTATAATGTCAAAATTTTCCACTGATTAAATGGTATTAAAATATCTAAAGCAAGAAGGTGTTAGTTAGCAGTGGAAGTCTGAGAGATTAATGTGGTTTGTGTACAGCCTAAGACCATGTTAACTTCTAATTGGCTTCTCTAGTGCCATTTGGTGAGATCTTTTAGAGTACAGCCAGCTTAGTGATACCCCAAATTGCCAAGTACCCCTTTCATCTTGGGACATTAATTGTCAAAAATCTTTGAATTGATTTTTCTTCAGAAAGCTTCACTTTATTATTTTCACACAATACCAAGTTCTCATGATATTTATGGGTATGTGATTGGTGAGAAAACAGACCAAGAGTTGTTTTTTGTTTGTTTGTTTTTTGTGACGAAGTGTTGCTTTGTCGCCCAGACTGGAGTGCAGTGGCGCAATCTCTCCTCCCGGGTTCAAGCGATTCTCGTGCCTCAGCCTCCCGAGTAGCTGGGATTACAGGCACACGCCACCACGCCCAGCTAATTTTTGTATTTTTAGTAGAGATGGGGTTTCGTCATGTTGGCCAGGCTGGTTTCGAACTCCTGACCTCAGTTGATCCACCCGCCTCAGCCTCCCAAAGTGCTGGGATTACAGGCATGAGCTACCATGCCCAGCCCAGACCAAGAGTTTTAAATTGAGGTCCATGATTGGGTTTCAGTAAGTGTATGGAATGTCTAAAATTATATAAAATTTTATGTGTATGTACTTAGAATTATTCTGGGAAGAAAGTCCATAGTCTGCACAAATTTCTCAGTGAGTTTCATAACCCTTAAAAGGTTAAAAGTGGTTGTAACTAGACTTTATCAAAAGGGGTGTTCAAAAGTCACTCCAGTTCAGGATTGTGGAAAGATAACTGTCTTCTCAAATAGGCATCTTAGAGGAAGGGCTGTTTGGGTTCCTTTTAAGAACTGTAATCTTGAGATGTGGAGTGAATTTGGGATTTGAAAATCCCAAAATAGAGTTTTGGAACTCTCAGCTCTTAGTGATATATTCTGTTTTGAAATGAGGGATACCTTTCGGGGAATTTGAAAATACTTTTTTCTAATTCAACTTTTAATCAGATAAATGATTATTTTTGAAAAATGAAATAGAAAGTAATAGGAAAGGGGGAAAAGTTGTTATGTCTCTTCGTGGAATAAATAGCTAAAGAAATTAATTTCTAAATTTTAAATTTCATCCCTGGTTAAAATAGTTCCTCTTTTTTGTTGTTGTTGTTGTTGTTGTTTTTTGTTTTGAGATGGAGTCTCACTGTTACCTAGGCTGGAGTGCAGTGGTGCAATCTCGGCTCACTGCAACCTCCGCCTCCCCAGTTCAAGCAGTTCTCTGCTTCAGCCTCTCAAGTAGCTGGGGCTACAGGCACTCGCCACCATGCCCAGCTGATTTTTGTATTTTTAGTAGAGACATGGTTTCACCATCTTGGCCAGGCTGGTCTTGAACTCCTGACCTCGTGATCCACCCGCCTCGGCCTCCCAAAGTGTTGGGATTACAGGTGTGAGCCACTGCACTTGGCCAAAAGAGTTCTTTTAGAGAAAACAAAAGTCTTTGATATAAGCAATATGATCATACAAATGGATATTGTGCTTTTTTAAAACAAACAAAACACACAGGTTTAAGGAGAGAAGGTATGGATATACTACTTCTGTCTTCCCTATCTTCTGCCATATTCTAAGCTTTGCATATGTTCTCCTGAGGAACAGGATAGTTATAACTTAAACTTGCATTTATATATTTCTGATTAAGTTGTTAACTATGGTTCTAGATAGAAGAATAAAGAAGTAAAATTAGATTTCTTAATTTGATATATTTAAGTCCCTTATTTTGATCTAATATATTTGATAAAATAGTAATCTTTTAATAGTAGCCCTGTTATACATAATAATAATACCTATCAGATAGGGTTGTGGTGAGGATTAGACCATATAGTAAATGTAACATGTCTAGTGCTGTGCCCTGAACTTAACACGTGCTTATTAAATATTAACTATTGCTATTACCATTATCATCATCATTAATAAACATCTATATTTTATATCCCCATGACTTAATGTACAGTATAAAGCATAAATAGTAAAATTACCCAAAGACAAAGAGGAATGGGAAGGTCCAGTTGATTAGCTTCTTGTTTAGAGAAGCAGATTATTCCGGGGGTTAGGAAATAGTTTCCTGTAAGGCATGTTTAGCTTTCATTCATGGATTGATGGCAATATAAATCGCTCTTTTGATGTGAGAAAAATATAATGATGGCATTACATCAATTATAAATTTCATGAGGGTAGGGACTGTGTTCGGTTTACCTTGTGTCCTTAGCTCCCATTTTAATGTCTGACCCATGGAAGGCATTTCATTAAATATTTGTTGTCATCTGTCTATGTTTTCTTCTTTGTCTTTCTTTAGCTTCCAAAAAGAGTTGTTTTTATATTCATAATTTCTTATTTCATCAGTAATGTGACTCCCCTAGAAGTATTGGTTAAAATACAGATCTTTCTTGGAAGGAGACTGTTTTGTTTGAAGCAAATGACTTGGGAGATGACTTAAGAACATTCAGGCTTTAGGTGTTTTTGTAGAAAGACTAATATTTGGTCCTAAAAAACAAAAAAAACTTATCTTCATCTGTCAGAAAATTCCTAATGTTTAGCACTTAAGTTGCTTTGTGTTCTGATGTATATATTATAATGGAAAAATCTGCAGCCTAAAAGGTAGTGTTTTCAATTAGATATTTAAGAAACACTTTCTACTCTCCTACTTTAGAGGAAAACTTTACATAGCCCATTTATCTTCATGTCTTCTTGAGTCAGCAAAACATTTACAACTATAGGAAAGAAGATGTTTTTCAGAAATGAATGCTGATCAAAAAGAAGTATAGCTACTGTGGCAAAATTAGGTAAATAGTTCTATTTGTTAAGGAAAAAATCTGTCTTGTGGAGTTGTATATAAAGTACGAAATTGAATATATAGTTATATGTTAGTGTTCCTATTGCATACTAGAGTCTGGATATACATAGGCTCAGAGTAATTTGTTATGGTCCACAGGAATATATATTTTAAGATGGACTCTCCTAAGAGTGAGAGGTGATCCTACAGCCAGTGGCTTGCTTGGTTGTAGGATCAGATGTGATTAAGTTCAGAGAGGAGACATTTTGAACTTCTCTGGTTGTAGAAATGCTGCCTCCCTATTTCCTACAAATATACAGTGAACTCTGGATGTCTTCTGGGACAGAGTAGAAATACTTGCAACAGGAATTGGGGTCTGGAGATATATGCAACCCAGCAGCACTGTTATAAATATTTTGGTTTTGGTAGCAAATTTGCTTACAGTATACAGCCATACCTTGTAGATATGGTGGGTTCCGTGTCAGACCATCACAATAAAGTAACTATTGCAATAATGTGAGTGATACATTTTTTTTGGTTTCCCAATTCATATAAAAGTTATGTTTATACTACATTGTAGTCTATTAAGTGTGCAATAATATTATGTCAAAAAAGCAATATATAGGCCGGGCACGGTGGCTCACTCCTGTAATCCCAGCACTTTGGGAGGCTGAGGCAGGCAGATCACAAGGTCAGGAGATCGAGACCATCCTGGCTAACATGGTGAAACCCCGTTTCTACTAAAAATACAAAAAAATTAGCCGGGCATGGTTGTGGGCGCCTGTAGTCCCATCTACTTGGGAGGCTGAGGCAGGAGAATGGTGTGAACCTGGGAGGCGGAGCTTGCAGTGAGCTGAGATCACGCCGCTGCATTCCAGCCTGGGTGACAGAGTGAGACTCTGTCTCAAAAAAAAAAAAAAAAAAAAAAAAAAAGCAATGTACATACCTTAATTTAAAAGTTTTTATTGCTAAAAATGCTAGTGATCATCTGAGCCTTCAGTGAGTCATAAGCTTTTTGCTGGTGGAGGGTCCCCTCTCAATGTTGATAGCTGCTGACTGATCAGGGTCGTGGTTGCTAAAAGTTGGGGTGGCTGTATCAGTTTATTAAAATAAGACAGCAATAAAGTTCATTGAATGATGCTTGAATCAATTGACTCTTCCTTTCATGAAAGATTTCTCTGTAGCATATCATGCTACTTGATAGCATTTTACTCACAGTAGAACTTCTTTTAATATTGGGATCAGTCCTCTGAAACCCTGCCACTGCTTTATCAACTAAATTTATGAAATATTCTAAATCCTTTGTTGTCATTTCAACAATGTTATTAGCATCATCACCCGGAATAGTTTCCCTCTCAAGAAAATAATTTCTTTGCTCATACCTTATCCCTCATCTGTTCAAGTTTGGTCATGAGATTGTAACAATTCAGTCACATCTTTAGGCTCCACTTCTAATTTGAGTTCTCTTGCTATTTGTATCACATCTACAGTTATTTCCTCCACTGAAGTCTTAAAACCTTCAAAGTAGTCCATGAGGGTTGGAATCTTCTTCGCTCCTGTCAATGTTGGTATTTTGACCTCCTACCATTAATCAGAAATACTCTTAATGGCATCTAGAATGGTAAATTCTTTCCAGAAGAATTTCAATTTTCTTTATCCAGATCCATCAGAAGAATCACAATCTATGGCAGAAATAGCATTACGAAATGTATGTCTTAAATAGTGAAACTTGAAAGTTGAAATTATTCCTTGATCCATGGGCTGCAGAATGGATGGCTGTGTTAAGAGGCATGAAAACAACATTAATCTCCTTGTACATCTCCAGCAGAGCTCTTGGGTGGCCAGGGGCGTTGTCAATGAATTCTTTTCAAAATATTTTGAAAAGAATCTTTTCTTCTGAGCAGTAGGTCTTAACAGCGGGCTTAAAATATTCAGTAAACCATGCTATAAACAGATGTCCTGTCATCCAGACCTTATTGTTCCATTTCTAGACCACAGGCCGAGTAGATTTAGCATAACTTTTGGGGGCCCTAGGATTTTCAGAGAATGGCCAGTGAGTACTGGCTTCAACTTAGAAAGTTGCCAACTGCATTAGCCTCTACCGAGAGAGTCAGCCTATCCTTTGAAGTTTTGAAACCAGGCACTGACTTCTGCTCTCCAGCTATGAAAGTCTGAGGTGGCATTTTCCCCCCACCTAGTGTGAGGCTGTTTTATCTGTATGGAAAATCTGTCGTTCAGGATAGCCACCTTCATCAGTGATCTTAGGGAGATCTTCTGGATAACTTGCTGCAGCATCTACATCCACACTTGGTGCTTTGCTTGCACCTTTATGGAATGGCTTCTTTCCTTATACCTCATGAAGCAACCTTTGCTAGCTTCCAACTTTTCTTTTATAGCTTTCTTTCCTCTCTCAGCCTTCACAGAATTGAAGAGAGTTAGGGCCTTGCTCTGGATTAGGCTTTGGCCTTAAGGTAATGTTGTGGCTGGTTTGGTCTTCTATCCAGACATTTGGTCTTCTTATCAGCAATAAGACTGTTTTGCTTTGTTAGCATTTGTGTGTTCACTGGGGTAGCAGCACATTTAATTTCCTTCAAGAATTTTTTTGTTTGTATTCACAGCTTGGCTATTTGGTGCAAGAGGCCTAGTTTTTGCCCTGATTCAGCTTTTGATACGTCTTCCTCATTAATCTTAATTATTTCTAGCTTTTGATTTAAAGTGAGAGATGTGTGACTGTTCCTCTTTCTTGAACATTTAGGGGCCATTTTATGGTTATTTCATTTTTTTTCCATTTTTTTGTCTAACGTGATTCAGAGAAATGTAGAGTTATTAAATGGACTAATTTTCATATTTTTATGTCTCAGGGAATAGGGAGCCCAAAGGCAGGCAGCAAGACAGGAGAATGGCTGTCCTGGTGGAACAGTCAGAACACATAGACTTATCTATTAGGTTTGACATCGTACAGGAGTGTGGTTGGTGGTACCTTAATAGTAATATCAAAGATTGCTGATCACAGATCATCATAACAGGTATGACAATAATGAAAAAGTTTGAAATATTGTGAGAATAAGCAAAATGTGACACGGACATGAAATGAGCACATGCTATTGGAAAAATGGCAGTCATAGACTTGCTCAGTGCATGGTTGCCACAAACCCTGAATGTGTAAAAGACCACAATATATGTGAAGTACAGGTGAGGTATGCCTGTACGTAGTTGGTGCCTGTAGTTTTGTATCCATTGAAATATACTGTCACTCATTGGGTCTGCAATTGGGTGTAATAATAATATCATTTTATTGTTAATGGGCTTTGAGTCTTCCTCTTTCTTCTGTGATAGTTTGCCATTGTCAAGTTAAATTTTTATGAGCTTTTTCAGAGCAGAAATTAAACATTAAATGGTTTATTAACCAAAATAAGGCAACTGCCTTTAGACTTTAATGTAGTACCCATTTTTTCCTACAGCTTATCGTCTTCCCAGTTTAAAAGGCTTAAGCAGAAGAGTAACAGTATAGTTAAAAGTTTTTAAGTTACAAAGTTGGAACTTGCCTTTTTTTGATTATATGATCCCAAGAGTCACAAGAGAGTAGGCAGAAAGATTACTGCTTTATCAATAGGTGAAAGTTCAGGTTTATCTGAATTTAGAATATTAAATTGTACTTTAACCATACCACATGTTTTTATAACATATAAATCATAACTGACTTCATACTATTCTGTTATTTTATGAGGTGATCTGATGTGGCTGCAAAGTTGTTAAAGTTAACCTTGAAGAAACCTCCTATGGCTTAGTGTTTATTTGCAAAATCAATCACATTTTTTCTTCTGCCTTATTAGACTGATGAAATCATTTTCTAGCATATGGAAACATTCCTGGACCTCCTGTTATTTTGCGTAAATAACCCCATGTGACTCACAAATGTTGAAAAAGCAGTAGATATTTCCAAATGCTATTAGAACCATCAAACTAATACAAAAAATTCTTCGGTGGGACAAATGAAGACCAGAATGAAGTCTAAGTCACTGTTTCCAGTGAAGATTAGTCACTTTTTCCACTCTAATTCCAGAATTTCTTTAATTTTTCTTGCTTATGTTAGCAACAGTATTGTCACAAAAGATTCAACAGTCATCTCCTCAGGTAACCAATTGTTACACAAACCATATGTAGAAAATGCTCACTGGCTTCATTTATAGAAAAAAAAAAAGATAACTGGAAGTTAGAAACAGTTGTCCAAACTTTTGAACTATAATAAGCTATTTTGAAGTGTCATTGTCAATACAAAGTACATACCAGTGTGAGATTTTAAGCAGTAATAAAATCTATGTGTGGAAGAGTAAATGAAGCGTTTCTGCAATATTAATGAACGGACAGATATATGGGAAGAAGTGATATTAAACCTTGCCATACACTCTGACAATGTACATGAACAGAGCCAGTTTGCTTGTAAAGATTAGTAACATATCATTGCAATAGATGTGCATCCTGTGGTCTAAACTTATTCCTAAATGACATCTTGAAGTTTGGCCTGTCCAAAAACATCTTTTGAGGAAGGACAGATGCTATAGCTGCTTTCTTCAAGGAAAAAAAAAAAAGTAAGTGACATCACACCTTGTTTTAAACTTAATGAAGTGAAGTAAGGATGTCCTCTGAAAAACTGGCCGGAAGTAGGAGTAGTAGGAGGGGGAGGAAAAGGAGAAGGAAGAGGGAAAGAAGCTCTTTAAGAAATAGAACTAGTTGAAAATATTAGTATCTAATATTGTCAGGAACATGACATATAAGAGATTATTGGCAGAGTGCAACTTCAGAACTCTTAGAGGATTCTAAAAGCAAAGGAAAAAAGTTTTTTAGTTTAGTTTAGTTTAGTTTTTTTGTTTTTTTTTTAATAAATGCTTACTACTTCTGAATCAGACATTCTTTGGCATCTTAAACTGAATGCCTGTAATTACATTAGCTGTTTTGTGAGACTTACATATATTCTAGTCCTGTCTAGTACAGAACACTATGCTAAGCATTGCAGAAAGAGCAAAATGGATATTACTTCTGTCCTCAGAGAACTTATCTAGGAAGAGGTAGAATATAAATATTCAAACATCTATAGAAAAAGCAGAATCAACCATCTAAGAGGACTGTGTAGACAAGACAGATCTAATCCTTTTATTAACATAAGTGCTTCATGAAGGAAGTAGATGTGAACTGGACATTATGGTGTGTGTTGAATTTGGACAGATTAAGATGGGATTGGGGTAGGAGTTAGGCTTTTGACAAAGAAAACAGCATGGGCAAAGATGGAGCAGAGGTGGAGATGTAGGGGATATTTGGGAACAGGAAGCCTGATTTAGGGTGAAGTATAACTTTTATAGAGGAGAATGGTGGGAGATAAAATGGCAAGTAAAGCTTAGAGCCAGGTCATGGAGGGTTTTAAAAATGAGAATGAAGATTTGAACTTTATTCTCTAGCAGTGGGGAGTCCATGAAGACTTTTTAGCAAGGGCTTGGTAGGAGCTAGTAGCTGTGCTTTAGAATGATTAATGGGAAGGATATAGTGGAGTCGGGAGAGGTTAGAATCAAGAATTAAAATTAAGGGGCCATTGCAGAGGCCCAGGTGAGAGAGAATAAGGCCTAACATAAGGTGTGGCAGTGGAGACGGAAAAGAAAAGTGAAGCATCTGGTAGACAGAATCGGTAGAACTGAGCCATGATTGTATGTGGGAAGTGAGGGATAAGAGAATTGGAACAATATTTGCATCTGAGTAACTAGGGCACTGGTTGTACCATTAACAGAAAGAAGAAAATTAGGAAGAGGAGCTGATTTGGGAAATTAAGAAGATGTATTAAGTGTTTGAGATGAATGTGTAGGGGCATATGAGAATTGCAAAGAAGAGAAAGGGACAGGAAGAAAAGACTGAAAAGAAATGTGTGCTTTGAGAAATACACACATTTTTGAGTTTGAATAGAAGAAAAGAAGGTGGCAGAAGTGGTCAAATCAGGGAGAAAGAAATCAGGACAGCATATTATTAGGAAGTCTCTCTTGAGGTGTGTGATCTTGTTTTACTCCAACTACTGTGGTTTTCATTGTCCTTGCAGACTCTTCTGTACTCCATGGTTATAGTAACGCTCTAACTCAAATTAATTCCATTGTTCTTTCTATTGAATCATCACAGAAGCTGTTAGGACTGATAATCCACAGAATGATATGAGGGATCAGAGGCTTACATTCTCAATGCCAAGATTATATATACTATTCCTGACCTTACCAGGTAGGTAAGATTCTTTGTGCTTAATTCCGCACTCAGGACAGACTTGGTGAGTCTGTTGCTTATTTTCCTGTATCTTATTAGTGAGGGAAATAATATTAGCCATTTTGTAGGTTTGGATGCTGACTCTCGTGTTTGCTTTCTAAATCAGCACCTGATCTGGAAACCAAGAGATGAAAGAATTTCAGTGAGAGGCTAGTCAGTAGCATCATATGGTCCACTCTCCAGAGGAGAAGACAGATGAAGGTTAAGAAAAGACTCCACTAGGTTTGGTGGTTTTGAGGTCACTGATGGCCTTTAAGAAGATAGTTTTAATACTATGATGTGGGTGAACTAATCCAAGAAGTTAAAGAATAGGTACATTTTAAAGAATAAACTTTCCAACACAGACTACTCTTTCAAGGATTTAGGAGATGAATGGGAGGATAGAGATGAAATGTTAGCTATAGGATCACTAGGGTCAAGGGAAGACTTTTTTCTTTTCTCTTTAAATTGAAAAAAGTAAGCATATTTGTAGGCAGAGGTAAAGGAGTATTTGGAGAAGAAGAGAAAGAAAGTACTGGGGAGTAGGGGGTTAACTGTTGGCTGATAGATCTTGGAGGAATCTGGAACAAATGATATCAAGTATATAGGTTGAGTTATTGACCTTGGGAAGGAATGTTTAGAGATCAGAGGAGTAAGAGGACAGGAGATGGGTGGAGGTATAGGGAGAGGACAGATGCTGAGGGAGGATATATCAGACCTCAGGCATCTCATTAAAAAAGATAAGGCCATTGGCCAAGAATGAGGAAAAAAGAGATAGGAGAAAAGGTGTAAAATAGTTGCAGTGGGAAATAATTAAAATGAGGTAAACTCAGCTGAGGACAGATAGTTGATTTTATTTCTTGCCTTTTTCTAGTAAAATTCAGTTTTACTAGAATTTGTTTTTGCTTAAGAAAGTTCCATGAAAGGCTGCATTCAGAAATATGAAGAATTTTATTGTCAGCTAATTCATGCTGATGTACATATCTTAGATCCAGAAATATAAATGATGATAGTACTATTACTACTTAGGGCTGGATCACAAAAAGCCAATATGCACTTAGGATTTGAAGGTACTTTCAAATGTTATAAGGAAACAGTTTCATCAGGGAGTAGTTGTAGGAATGTAGTTTGGAATTTTGTCAAGCATATCTTTTCTGTCAATCAAAGGCATGGTTTTGTATGACACAGTGTCTAACTCTTGCTTCTGATTTCTTCTGTTTATATGAAAGATATTTCTCTAGGTTTGGAAGTATACCAAATTACATGCCTAATGTGTAAAAGATGTTTGACTTAATTCAAGAAGACCTTAATTTTCAGAATTGGTGATGATAAAAATGAAATACTACATATATCAATTGCTGATAGTTCAGAAAAATAAAACATATTAGATTCTATGTAGCTAAAATTAATTGTATTTAATGAACTTGACAAACACTATAGAACAAAGCAGAATTTACCAGCTTAGAGGACTGTGTAGACAAGACAGATCCAATCCTTTTGTTAACATGAATGTGTCATTAAGAAGGAACATGTGAACTGGACGTTGGAGTACATGTAGAATTTGGACAGATGAAGATGGGATTGGGGTAGGAGTTTGGCTTTTAGCAATGAAAATAGTGTGGGCAAAGATGGAACAGAGGTGGAGATGTAGGAGATATTTGGGAACATTCTTTCCCTAGTTCCTTTCCTGAAAGTAAGGACTTTAGGTAGCTTTTTGACACTGTGGTGGATACTCAGTTCAGGTAACATCTTTTTTTGTTTTACTTTAACTTGGTTGTCTGTTTTTTAGTTTTCACTTGTTATACTTAAACTGGGAAGAAAATTTAAAAAAACAGAGACACCAGATTCTTTAAATTTTAAGAGTCAGTATTCCCTTTCAGTTTAACTGAATGTTAAATGTTTTAAAATGTTAAGTATCTGGCCGGGTGTGGTGGCTCACGCCTGTAATCCCAGTAGTTTGGGAGGCTGAGGTGGGTGAATCACTTGAGGTCAGGAGTTTGAGGCCAGCCTGGCCAACATCCCTACTAAAAATACAAAAATTAGCCAAGTATGGTGGCGGCCACCTGTAATCCCAGCTTCTTGAGTGGCTCAGGCAGGAGAATCGCTTGAACCTGGGAGGTAGAGATTGCAGTGAGCCAGATCATGCCAATGTACCCCAGCCTGGGCGACAGAGCGACTCCGTCTAAAATGAAATGAAATGAAATAAAATAAAATAAAATAAAATGTTATGTGTCTACTATCTATAAGATGATGATGAGCAAGATAAAATTCCTTTTCTCGAAAAGTATGTAATCTGTTAAGAGACATTTCACGTAGGAAATTTGAATTATTTCAGTAAACTATACTTTAAAGGGCAATCAATATATTAAACAATATAATCAAACCAAGTCATGCATAATATCTTATATTCCTATTGTAACTAAGAGTTGCACTGTCCAATATGTTAACCACTAACTGTATGTGGCTATTAAAATGAATGAAAAATAAAATTGAAAATTTAGTTTCACTAGTTACATTTCAAGCATTCAGTAGCTACATGTGATTAGTGGCTAGTGTAGTGGACAGCATAGATAGTGAGCATTTCCATTATTGTAGAAACTTCTGTTGGGTAGTGCAGCTCTAGAGCTATAGAACATATTTTAATTGTTTTGGACAGGCTTGTCCTTCATCTCTTCAACAAACCTTCATTAAATGCCTACCATATGCCAGGTGTTGTGATAGAGTGAGATGATAAAGTCCTAGTTCCTCCTTACACAAACCTTTCAATCTTGTGGGACATCAAGTCAGTGAATGGGTGAATAAGATAGAATGTGATAAGCATCACTATAAGAGGAGAGATACAAGAGGATGTGAAAATACACAAGGAAAAGTACAGAAGCAACACTTAAGGTTTCCTTTTGTAGAAAGGTGAGTAGGTGTTGGCATGGTTAAGTTGGAGATAAAGCAGAATCCAACTGCAGGAAATGCTTGGATGTGAAAGAACATGGCACATTTGAGGGACTGAAAGTTGTTGACTGTATCTGGAGCCCAGATAATTTCTAAGGTCTCTTAATTCACAGTCATTATTAGGATACATCTAAACTATTTAAAAAACACTCCTTCCTTTTTCAAAACCAAAGGGACAAAGATCCCCATGCACCTTCCATCTATTTGGGGAGCTTCTTATTTTTATATCTGTGGATCCTACAGTCAAAGGAAGGCAAGAGAAAGTGAAAAGAAAATAAATTTGAAAAAGAAGGACCAAAGAAATGAAGATGGCCAGAGGAAGTTTTAGAGAAATAAAACAGGTAACATTTGATGGAGAATGATAGTACCATTTATAACACTCGGATCGCTGTCTCCAGTCAGAAGTGAACACCAACCATTCCAAAAGCTAGTGCCCCCAAATAGTTTACTTGGTATGTGAAATATAATATGTGAGAATATTTTTTGATATGGGATTTAAAAATTGAATTTCTGCCCTGGTTCATTTCAGCAGAAATCATAGTAGAATTTGCTTTACTGTAATTTTCGTAAATGTATACCTTTGTAGTGTATGCAATATGGAAGAAATTTACATTCTATTATTTTGTTTTTATAGAATACAAAATAGTCACAGTCAGGTTAAAACTTACATGAGAAGTCAGAGAGAGAGTAGGATCAGGAAACAAAAGAATTGTACGTTCATTCAGTCCTCACCAATTACAGAGAATATTATATGTATTATACAAAATACATTGCACATAATAAATCTCTCACATTTTGTAAATATTTAGCTGTTGTTGATTTATTTCTGGGCTAATGGCAGCCGTCACGTCTCTGGTCTGTGTTGGGAATGTCTGTTTATATGTCTGTGTCACATCATCTGCTCTAGCATGGAGGCTTCATGGAAGACAGGAACCATGTCTGTTTATTTTGTGTGATAGTAACATGGAGCTCTATATATGAAGCTTTATTTTTATTTGATGATGATGATGGTGATGATTTTCTGTATGAATTTCTTTCCTGGCTTCAGATTGATTGAATCTTCTGATCACTATTAATCCAGTGGAACTCAGAAGTGGAGTTTACTTTTGAGTGCTTAGCCTGGCTAGGCAGCAGGCTTTTGCAAACACGGCTATATGAGATCTTATGCCACCACAAAGAGGCACTCTCTTGAAAAAAGATGAAAAATACAGAGAAGCCACCCACATTGGTTTTCATCAAGGAAAAGTTTGGTGTCTAGTCTTACCACCAAGTGCTTGTCAAATAAACTTGGTTTGAAGTCAAGACTGAATACAGTAAACAAAAAACTCAGATAAAAGCTATAGTAAAAAACAATATTTCTCTTTATTTTCATTCCTTTTCTTATTTGGGACAACCTTTTGAATAGTGTGGGATGATTGAATGTAAAGTTGATGAGGTGAAACTGTAGCCAAGTGAATAAGGTCTCAGTGCTTTTTAAGGATGCCCTAGCTCTAAACAAATTTTACTATT
This sequence comes from Homo sapiens, assembly GCF_000001405.40. Lineage (NCBI taxonomy): Eukaryota > Metazoa > Chordata > Mammalia > Primates > Hominidae > Homo > Homo sapiens. The sequence continues at coordinate 67,958,754 of NC_000014.9, forward strand.
GTATCCTACCTGTAAAATATTTGTCTTTGTAAACTTGCATCACTCTAAATTATAAAACTGGGCATCCAAAGTCATTCATATGGACACAACTATTAAGTTTAGTTTTATTTGTTAGAATGTTCAAGATACTACTGATAAGGAAGCTTTTAAATATTTCCTTGAAAACCTTTCTTTCCTCTTTCACCTTGCCTCTACTGCCCTTTCTCTAGATCGATCATGAATTTTTCTATTATATTTCAAAGAATCTTTAGGGTTTACTTGCCACATCTTCTATTGGAGTCCATTTTTCACATCACATTTTTTTGTATTAACCCATTATAAATGATACTACTTCTTGTATTATTTGATTTCTATGTTCATTTTTATGTTTTATTCTATAACCTATTGAGGTTTATACATATAAAATAATAATCACCTGCTAGTGTTACCAATGCTGATTATGATTTTTGAATTTTTAGAATGTTTGTGTTTGATTCTCCTGATTTCCTTTGGTCAATATTTTTTTTTTTTTGAGACAGAGTCTTGCTCTGTTGCCCAGGCTGGAGTGCAGTGGTGCGATCTTGGCTCACTGCAAGCTCCGCCTCCTGGGTTCACACCATTCTCCTGCCTCAGCCTCCTGAGTAGCTGGGACTACAGGCGCCCGCCACCACGCCTGGCTAATGTTTTTGTATTTTTAGTAGAGATGGGGTTTTACCGTGTTAGCCAGGATGGTCTCGATCTCCTGACCTTGTGATCCTCCTGCCTCAGCCTCCCAAAGTGCTGGGATTACAGGCATGAGCCACCGCACCCGGCCAATACTTTCTTTTGAAATTTATGTTAGCCTTGAAAAATAATGGTAAGCCGGGTATAAATATGCTGATCTAAAAGTGTTATTAGTTGACATAGTTAAAGTTGATAAAACAGTCAAAATTTACCATGCTGTCTTCTTTCTAGCATATCTATATTTTGACAATGAAAATGGTTCTTTACTAATTATATATTTGCTTATTCCTGCCAATAATAAGACATTCTTTGTAAAAGCACTTTAAAACTTCATAGAAATATGACCGGGTGCAGTGGCTCATCCCTGTAACCCTAGCACTTTGGGAGGCCAAGACAGGTGGATCACTTGCGGTCAGGAGTTTGAAACTAGCCTGGCCAACATGGTGAAACCCTGTCTCTACTAAAAATACAAAAAAATTAGCTGGCCATGGTGGTGGTGGGTGCCTGTAATCTCAGCTGCTTGGGAGGCTGAGGCAGGAGAATTGCTTGAACCTGGGAGGCGGAGGTTGCAATGAGCTGAGATCGCGCCACTGCGCTACAGCCTGGGCAACAGAGCAAGACTCCATCTCAAAAAAAAAAAAGAAGTGTGTGTGTATGTTTGTGTGTGTGTGTATAATAGAAATATGCAAACATAACGTTCTATGTTAAGTGTATAAATATACTACTTGACAGAAATAATACTGTTTCTGTTGAGCAGATGCAGAATCAAGTTCAGAGAAGTTGAATTGCTTGTTCAAAGTCATGTAATAGTAGGAGCTGAGCCTCAACTTTATAAATGGTTTGACACTACTTTACTTGATCTTTCTATAACATCATTTCATCTCTTCCTTTAAAAATTCAGAATCGTTATGATTGTTTCCTTTGTCACCTTTATTTTCTTAGTCATCAAGAAGACTCTTGTTGTTTTCAGCTCAGCACTTCAGGAGAGCCTATAGTTTTTATCTTTCACTTTAGAAAAATAGATTTTTGTTCTAGGACCCTGTCCCAAGATTTTAGGAATTTGATAGCATCAACATGAGTTTAGATATAGCAGTTTACCCACAGTGTATCTAGGATAAAATAAATTTAAGATAAATATATTTGCAAGAACACTGGATAGAACTTAGATATATTAATTAACAATTTGCCACACTCAGAGGAACTGCCTTTTTTCTTTCTTTTTCTTTTTTTAGAGACAGGGTCTAGCTCTCTTGCTCAGGCTAGTGTGCAGTCTTGCAGTCATAGCTCACTGCAGCCTCAAATTACTGGGCTCAAGCAATCCTCCAACCTCTGCCTCCCAAGTAGCTGGAACAACAGGCACCTGCCTTTATGCCTGGCTAATTTTTTAATTTTTTGTAGAGACAGGGTCTGACTTTGTGGCCCAGGCTGGTCTGGAACTCTTGGCCTCAAGCAATCCTCCCTTCTTGGTTCCCCCAAAATGTTGGGATTACAGGCATGAGCCACTGTGCCTGGCTACAGAATTTCCTAAGTTATTATTTGTTCGTTTGTTCATTCATTCATTCATTTATTCAAGACAGGGCCTCATTCTGTTGTTCAGGCTGAGTGCAGTGGCATGATCATGGCTTACTGCAGCCTCGACTTCCTGGGCTCAAGTGATTCTCCCACCTCAACCTCCCGAGTAGCTGGGGCCACAGGTGTGCGCCACCACACCTGGCTAATTTTTTTATTTTTATAGAGGCAGAGTCTCGCTATGTTGCCCAGGCTGGTCTCAAACTTCTGGGCTCAAGCAATTCTCCTACCTCTGCTTCCCAAACTGTTGGGATTACAGACACAAGCGACCATGCCCAGTTGGAATTTCCTTTTTTCGATACAGTTTTGATGAAGAAATTTTCTGAGGGCTATACTTGCTAAAGCTTGAAACAGAAGAACAAAATTGGTCACTAAGAAAGTAGGAGAGGTTTTCATTCATATCCACTGTGTATCTGTGTCTCAGACAAAGATATGCTGGCTATCAGAATGCTGACATTGCTTACTTTCCTATTTTTCAAAGACTGAACACCATACACATAGCTTGAGGAAGGATATTATTCTTGTATACATTTTGACATAAAGATGTTTAGTCCTTGGCTGGATATTTCAGTTCTCTGAAAATGTGTAGCTATCCTGTGAGAAGCAAACATCTTGGAAACAGTATAGTATAGTTGAAGGAAACGGTCCTACCGTTTCCTTGCTTAGACAAATCATTTCATCTCTTCTTTTCTCAGTATTTTTTTTTCTGGAAATCTACTCTTTTTCTAGAAATATGTATACAACATTTAAATTTGCATGTGTCTGTCAACATCAGTGTGTAAACATATTATGTTCACTATGAAAACATTTAGGAAATTCAGATAGGCAAAAAGGAAAAGAGATCGCTGACTACAGCAGAAAACTATAACATTCTGATAAAGTTAGATAAAAGCCTTTTGGGCTTTTATAGTACATGTATATGCACACATACACATAGACTCACACACATACATGTACCTACAAATAACATCTTAAAATGAGTTCATATTGTTAAAAAGTGAGTTTATATAGCTAAGGAAGCACATCTGAGGACAAGAACACCTCTATTGCAAAACTAACAGATGATATAGAACTAGTATGGAATACAATAGAGGTGACTAAAAATTTAATGGTTTGGAGTGAAAGCGTGGAATAATCACGGTAAACACAGGAGTAAGACACAAAGATGAAAGCAATTTGGTTAACAATGATCTGATATGAAGTTGAAAGGATTACTGGTGTCTTTGAGGAAGTGGACCCAACAAATCAAACTAAAAAAGTATTTGGAGAAGTGATATAGCAAAACTTCACTGAAATGAGGAACTGAACCTGCAGATCAAAAGATACATTGAATCCTGAAAATTGGTAGAGAAGGTTCAACATCATGTCATATCCTGATTGTTGCCAAACAAGAGAAAGGTTTCTTCAGTCATGTAAGCAAAAGCAAAAGTTATCTATAAGGAAGAAAAGCAAAAGTTATCTACAAGGAAGAAGTTTAGACTGGCCTCAGACTTCACAACAATGTGCAATACTACAGGAGCTATGTCAACACAGTTCTGATAAAAGAAATTACGGCCCAAGAACAGTGTACCCAGCCAAGTTGTTGTTGAGGTATAAAGGCCACAGGCGTATCCTCTCAAATGTGAAAGAACCCAGAGAATATAGTATCTGTGAGACCTTTCTGAAAAAGAACTAATTGTTGAAATTTAGCCAACCAAGAGAGGAATCAAACCAAAAAAGTGTTGTGATATTAAATACCTTCATATATATATGTAAGATTTAGATACTGTAGAAAGTGTGGCAGTACAACAGACTGTAAACACTCTACATCATGGCAAAGTAAAACAAATATATACAATAAAAATTGGAAGGTAGGTAGAAGGGAAATGGGAATGAGAGATTATTAATCTTATTCATAGCAACAATTCAATCAGAACTGTCTCAAATGTAAAGTAGTTTAAAAGTAATGTTAATCTATTCTTTGTGGTTTTGATCATTTTTCTTAAAGTTAGAGGGACTTTTTCACAATTAATGTTTCTTGAGTGAAGAAACATTTGTCTAAGATTTAAAATTTCTTCAGTTTCATTTCGGCTTCTGTTAATTGCAGGTAAAATTAGAATTGATATTTTTTATTTTTAACTGTGAATATAATCTCATCCCAGAAAGAATACATTTATTTCTGTCCATCCATTATCTATGTGTATATGTGTATCCATGTGTATAGAATTGATATTTTTTATTTTTAACTGTGACTATAATCTCATCCCAGAAAGAATACATTTATTTCTGTGCATTCATTATCTATGTGTATATTCCAGTTGTCTGGAATAATGTCACTAATTGCTAATCTAATACCTAATATTTCTCAATGGTGAGATTTTGGATGATTTAATGCATCTTTTCTGTGTATTTTTTGTAGTATTTGAATTTATATAATGAGAATATTTTAAAGAAAGTGATACAATGAATTTATTGCTCTGAAAAATGAATAAATACTTACGCAGTTTTATAGCCTCATTTCTTTTTTAACTTATCTTGACCCCTTTTCTCTTACCATCATTTTAAATAGTTGCACAGTATTTTATGGATGTGTTAATATATTTCTTCTTTCATTCCTGATCTCAGTTTCTTCATCTGTAATGACAGAGCTGAACTAGATTAGCCGGTTGCAATCTTTCTCTTTAAACTATGAAATCCTTCCAAGAAATAAACAGTTTATAACTCTTGGCTTAGGCATTTCCCATAGAATGTAGTTTCAAAGCTGTACAGATTAGATAATTTCTGAGGCTTATTTCATTTTACCACCAAAAATTAGGGTTTTTCTTTTTTTTAGGATTTTTTTGAGTGACTTTTTCATGTGTTTAAAAAAAATCGGTAACAGACATAATCTTATGAATCAGAATTTTAAAGTGAAAGGGACTTTGAAAACCATCTAGTATATTTGCCTAACTTTTATACATAGGGAAACCAAATTTAAGTTTTTAAACTAACGTCATACAGCCAACTGAAATGAATGAGACTTGAGTGCACATCTCCTGACTTTCTATGCTGTTCTTTTCCCTACAGTACACATAAATATATATACATATATATTTATACAATGATGGGCAAACAAGATGACAATTTTATTGTACTCATGTCACATTTAAACCATCATGTAAATGTCAGGAAATATGCTTAATTTATAGTGTATTTATTTTCTTGTTCATGAAAAGAGATCAGTACTGCAGCCATTATTGAACTCCTAGAGTTAGAAAGGAAAGTGAGTGGGATTCTGGCGAGAAAGAAAGCATTTACTTGTCAAAGATTTGGAATTTACTGTGGTTACCAAAATTAAAATAAAACTAAAACTTGACTTGGCAGAAGATTAAAAACAAAGCAGCTCCAAAGTGTGTGCACATCATGGAGAAGATGCCATTATTCCTTCAGGCAGCCAAAGGGGAAGGGAATATTGTTTCTTTGCGTTGCTGGAGCTGATTTATTTAGTTATGATTTCAACATGCCTACAGGGCACACCCCAGAAAACATTACACAACAACATTAACCAGAACAAATGGTGCTTTCTTTTTCTGTATCTCCTCCTAAGGTTTTTTAACAGCAGTGAGGTTTTTTCTTTTTCTTTTTTTTTCCCCCATATTGTTAAAATGGCTCTGATTATGTTTGACTATTGGGTGTGGCAGGTTTTAGAATGTTAAGTGGTAGTACAGGTTCCTGAACAAGAAAGAGAATTAGAGTTGATGTGACTTGATTATTGGAATGTGTAGAATGTAAAGTTGTGAGACATACGACGGTCTACCGCAGGTTGCTCTTAGTAATGGACCTTCTTGTTAAAAGCCCTGTTATTATTGGGAATTTATTTTGGAAACTACTAAAGAAGAAATTTGACAGAAAAGTAAAACAAACCACCTTGTCTCATATTTCCTTTCTACACAGGCACTTTGAAGAGATATCTTAAATATTGTCAAGTCTCAATTATCCTGGCACACGTTAGCATTATCACCATTCTCACAAACTTGAATTAAATGCACATGGTATTGCAGCAGGTGCAGCACAGAGAAAATTGGCAAACAAGATCCTTATCCTTTTGGAGCTCAGTAAGGGTTGCTATCCTAGTAAGTAGTTCAACCAATCCCAAACTAATTTTTCCGGATACTCTCCAAACACCCTCCCTCCCTTCCTATATCCTCTGTCTTCATTAGTGGCCTCTCCATCCTCTCAGCTGGAAACCTCACATTCATCTTGAGTCTTTATGTTCCCTTGGTCTTCACAACCAATCTGTCAACAAGTCCTGTTTCTTCTATCACTAAAATTGCTTTTTGACTTTGTTTGTACTCTTCCCTCCATTCTCCTAGCCATTGCCCTGTTTAGGCCCTTTTCATCTTCCATTTCAGTTCTTGGAGAGCTGCTTATCTACTTTTAACCTTTCCATTTTCTAATCCATCCTCCATACTCTTGTCAAATCTCTTTCTTTAAAGACAGTTCTAATCATATCACTCTCTGGTTTAAAAACCTTTGATGGGTCCCCATTAACACATAAGGGATAAAGTCTAAACTCCTTAGCTTGTCATGCCAGGGTTTCAGAGTCTGGCTCTGATCTACTTATTCTCATCTCATTACCTGCCATAATTTCCCCCTTACCGTATTTCCCATTGCCAGACGCACACACACATGTACATTTACTCCATTCCCACAAGCTTCCTCATAATTCCCTGAGCTTGCTATGTAATTGTGCTTTTGATCATGCCTTTCCTTGCCCCATATACACAGAACACTCTTCCCTGACAAACTCTTGCTTGTATAGAGGAACTGAGGAAGCCAAGATTTTACAAAGAGTACTCTTGACAAAAGAAATAAACCACGTGCATAGACCAAGCAGTAGGGCCACCGTTAGAGCAGAGTTCAGACTAGTGGCTGCCGACTAGTTTCTCTTGGGCAAACCAGGAAGAAGGACTCAATCCCAGAAGGTACTGGCATTATAGCAGTGATTAAATTGGTTTGCAATAGTATTAAATGAATGCCTCCTTCCTATTTATACAGCCAAGAGTTAGCATTTACTTTTATAGCTAAAGGATAGAGGGAAATAGCTACAGTAGGTTTCTGGCATAGTAGTTAATTTCAAGAATTAAAAGAAAACTCATTACCCTTATCTACCTACTACTCCTACCTTATCTCATGTTCCAAAGGTGTAAAGAATGATTAGGAACTCACAGGACCACGAGCCTTCACACTCACATTGGTGCTTTTTAAAAATCACCAGGATAGAGCCAGAGATGATGGGTTTAAGGGGTAAATTGAAAGAGGGAAATAGCAGCTCTTTACCTCAAGTTACTGAGGAAGCAGAGGCCTTTTTCATGCTCTGCCTAGTCATGCTTCTCCCTAACCATTGCATCTTTCTGCTCAACCTTTGTCCTTTTTATCCACATATGATTCTTTTAAAAAATTAGTTCTTACTATATAAGTATTGTATTAACATAGTATCTTCAAAACATGTGGAATGTTTGTAAAGGCTTCTCTGACATTCTCTCACCACCATCATCCCCAATCCCAGCTGCCTACCCACCAATGCCAGAAAATGACAACTATTTTCAGTTTGGTTTTCTGTTGCTTCAGACCTTTCTCTATGCATTGACTTAGAGATACATGTTGTGGATAGACAAATAGGCTTATGAAATATAGTATTGCTGTGTGTGTTTGTATGTGTACGTGTGTGCTTGCTTTCCTCACAGAATCAGTATCATACTTACTCTGCCTCTCAGTTTGCAAACTTGCTTTTTTGACTCTGCCCGTAGATCTTGGATATCTTTCCTATTAGTATGTAGAGATAATTTATCACAGTTTTTTCAACTTCTTACATACAGTATTATATTTAGGTCTAGCTTAACCCTTTCCTCTTCTCATAGCAATCTGATATGGACAATTAGAAGAGAAAAAAATTTTAGTAACTGTGTTAGTTTGTTTTCATGCAGCTGATAAAGACATACCCGAGACTGGGAAGAAAAAGAGGTTTAATTGGACTTACAGTTCCACTTGGCTGGGGAGGCCTCAGAATCATGGTGGGAGGCGAAAGGCACTTCTTCCATGGCGCCAGCAAGAGGAAAAATGAGGAGGTTGCAAAAGTGGAAACCCCTGATAAAACCATCAGATCTTGTGAGACTTATTCACTACCACGAAAACAGTGTGGGGAATACTGCCCCCATGATTCAAACTATCTTCCACCAGGTCCCTCCCACAACACAGGGGAATTATGGGAGTACAGTTCAAGATGAGATTTGGGTGGGGACAGAGAGCCAAACCTCATTCAGCCTCTGGCCCCCTCAAATCTCATGTCCTCACATTTCAAAACCAATCATGCCTTCCTTATAGTCCCACAAAGTCTTAACTCATTTCAGCATTAACTCAAAAGTCCACAGTCCAAAGTGTCATCTGAGACAAGGCAAGTCCCTTTCGTCTGTGAGACTGCAAAATCAAAAGCAAGCTAGTTGTTTCCTAGACACAATAAGGGTACAGGCATTGGGTAAATACAGCCATTTCAGATGGGAGAAATTGGCTAAAACAAAGGGGCTACAGGGCCCATGCAAGTACAAAATCCAGTGGGGCAAATTCTAAAGCTCCAAAAAGATCTCCTTTGACTCAGTGTCTCACATCCAAGTCATGCTGATGTAAGAGGTAGGTTCCCACAGTCTTGGGCAGCTCTGCACCTGTGGCTTTGCAGGGTATAGCTCCCCTCCTGGCTGCTTTCACAGGCTGGTGTTGAGTGTCTGTGGCTTTTCAAGGTGGAAGGTGCAAGCTGTCGGTGGATCTACCATTCTAGGGTCTGGAGGATGGTGGCCCTCTTCTCATAGCTCCACTAGGCAGTGTCCCAGAAGGGACTCTGTGTGGGGGCTCCAAACCCATATTTCCCTTCCACACTGCCCTAGCAGAGATTCTCCGTGAGGGCCCTGCTCCTGCAGCAAACTTTTGCCTGGGCATCCAGGTGTTTCCATACTTCTTCTGAAATCTAGGTGGAGGTTCCCAAACCTCAATTCTTGACTTCTGTGCACCTGCAGGCTCAACACCACATCGAAGCTACCAAGGTTTGGAGCTTGTACTCTCTGAAACTATGCGCTGAGCTGTACCTTGACCCCTTTTAGCAATGGCTGGAGTGGCTGGGATGCAGGGCACCAAGTCCCTAGGCTGCACTTAGCATGGGGCCCTGGGCCCAGCCCATGAAACCATTTTTTCCTCCTAGGCTTCTGGGTCTGTGATGAGAGGGGCTGCCATGAAGACCTATGACATGCTCTGGAGAGATTTTCCCCATTGTCTTGGGGATTAGCATTCAGCTCCTTCTTGTGCAAATTTCTGCAGCCAGCTTGAACTTCTCCTCAAAAAATGGGTTTTTCTTTTCTACTGCATCATCAGGCTGCAAGTTTTCTAAGTTTTATGCTCTGTTTCCTTTTAAAAATGGAATGCTTTTAACAGCACCCAAGTCACCTTTTGAATGCTTTGCTGCTTAGAAATTTCTTCTACCAGATACCCTCAATCATCTCTCTCAAGTTCAAAGTTCCACAAATCTCAAGGGCAGGGACAAAATGCTGCCATTCTCTTTGCTAAAACATAACAAGAGTTACCTTTGCTTCAGTTCCAACAGGTCCCTCATCTCCATTTGAGACCACCTCAGCCTGGACTTTATTGTCCATATCACTATCAGCATTTTTGTCAAAGCCATTCAACAAGTCTCTAGGAGGTTCCAAACCATCCCACATTTTCTTTTCTTCTTCTGAGCCCTTCAAACTGTTCCAACCTCTGCCTGATACTGACTTCCAAAGTTGCTTCCACATTTTCAGGTATCTTTAAAGCAACGCCCTACTCCAATGGTACCAATTTACTGTATTAGTCTGTTTTCATGCAGCTGATAAAGACATACCTGAGACTGGGAAGAAAAAGAGGTTTAATTGGACTTACAGTTCCACTTGACTGGGGAGGCCTGAGAATCATGGTGGGAGGTGAAAGGCACTTCTTACAAGGTGGTGGCAAGAGAAAAAAATGAGAGGATGCAAAAGTGGAAGCCCCTGATAAAACCATCAGATCTCATGAGACTTATTCACTATCACGAGAACAGTATGGGGGAAACTGCCCCCATGATTCAAACCATCTCCCACTGGGTCTCTCCCACAACGTGTAGGAATTATGGGAGTACAATTCAAGATGAGATTTGGGTGGGGACACAGAACCAAACCATATCAGTAAGCAAGTACTGGTTCTGATTAAATGCAAAAAATGTTGCAATTGTTGGTTTCAGGAGGAGTGTTATCCTTAAAAATTAGACTGTCTTAGAAACACTTGTTGGACCCAGTTCAAAGGACTTCACTAGCATTAACACTCTCTCTCCTTTCTTTCTCCTTAACCCACTTCTACCCAATTACTGACATTGATGGGAGTTAAATGTAACCAGGACTCTTTGTTTATATATACATCTGGTTTTCCCTGTTCCGTATGCCTAAATCCTCCCTCCATTGCTTCTGTTTAGCATTTAATGTAAATTTCCAAATTAATTCAAGAAGAAAATTTGAAATATATAAGATGAGGGCATTAGGTGATCTCTGAGGGCTTTTACAGCTCTAGGATTCTATTAGGTTATTAATAATTTATTTCCAGAGGATACATTCTGATAAACTAAGAAGTTTTCTGTGCTTGATTTAGCTTTTACTTAATTAGGAATATAAATAACTAAATATTTAAATAGATAAAACTTATGCTATTTGTCACTTTTTCTTGAAGCATATTTATAATGATCATTTAATGTTCAAAGTAAACCTCCAAAAGGACTTGGTAACTGCCAAATATTACCACCAAACTGTAGACTAATCAATTAGACCACTAGTATTTGAATTTTTTTCTTTTACTATATAAAACTAAGAAACGTGGACTGAATCAAAGTGAATGGGAGCTTTGGATAAAATATTGGTAAGATGTTTGCACTTACTGTCTGCTTTTGAATGTTCAGATATTTAAGAGGTACCATCATATACCACGAACAAAAGGTTGGGAGTCAGGAATCAGGGAATTAGTCCTAGCTCATCACTGTCTCATTTTGTGATTGCAGGTCATGCTTTGCTCTTAAATTTTCCCATCTTTAGCATGTAGTAGATTATTTCTGACCCTTAACTTACCCAGGGATGTTTTGTGAAATAATAAAGATAACCACTGCCAGTTATTTTTTGCTGCTCAGTAAAGATTCTACACAAATTAATGGTAGCAGTAGGGTGGTTATTTCATTATTTAAGAAAGTTCTTCAAAGTGAGAGAACTACCCAGCATAGGTCATTTGGAATTGCTGTTTATTTGTTCTTTTAGGCCAGCAAAAGTGTTCTATGTTAGGTAGAACAGTGCTAAAAACTTACATAAAAGCAAAGGTTTTGTAAGTTGTAGGAGCCAGTCCTTGGTGGATCTAGTTCTTTCCAACTCTTGTTTTTAGTCATCTGCTTTTATAAAAGTGAGTGGTCTTACCTTTTAGTTGTTTTTTTTTTCCTAAGGTAGATTTTTATTTTTATGTTTATTCATATATTCTGTATGAGTTCTGTCATCTTGATAAACCTTGGAATAGAAAGTCATATGTAAAATTTGCCACTTTACTTGAATTCTAACACTTTTTGTGATGTTAACCTGTTAGATTCTCATTCTAAATTCCACTTCTCACCTTCTTGTGATTGGTTGCTGTTTGTTAGGAAAACATGTAACAGATTCTTACCCTCTTTGAAAAATCACTGTTGTTCTTTTTGTTGATGCAGAACAGCAGTAATTTTTTCTCTTTAAAGGAAAAATAATTTAGACAAAGGAGATACTTGAGAAAAGAGTTTAAAGAAATTTACTGTTTTCTCAGTGTACTTCTTTTCAAAATGATGTCACCCCAAGTGTTATAATTCTTTCAAAGCTTAGTGTCCAACTGGTGAACAAAACTAACAGTTGATTGCCTCAAGTTCAGCAGTGTTTGCTGTATATTTTCTACATCTGTGGACTATTCTGTTATGACATAAAAGCTATTAAAGATTATAATTTTTAAACTATATATTTCACTAAGTATTTATAAACACGTATGAAACTCGTTCTAAGTATAACCTGTACTGAAATGAACTGTTCATGTTTATGACTCAGTAGGTAAATTGCTCTGGAGTGCTTCAGACCAGGCTCAGCTGAAGCAAAGCATTTTGAATTGATATTGTTAGGAAAGGTTTTTTTTCCTTATTCAACGGTTACATGCGAATTTTAAAAGATTTCTTGTGTTTGGTTAGTTCTAAATTTAAATTTGTTATACTTCTTATACTAGTAGAATGTTTCCTTTCTATCTGCAGATTTGAGAGTTGGTCTTGGAATATGGCTTTGCAGATTAAAAAAAGGTTACTTTTAAAATTCCTCTTAAACTTTATAATTCAAATCAGTCAAGTAACCAAGAAGAGAAATTAGAGAGGATACCATTGACTTGCTTTGTATCTGTTGTTCTTCCTTTCCTTCTCTGCAAAGGTAAACTGAATTGCAGCTTTGTACTTAGAAGTAAATTACTATTAAAATAAAGACAGTTTAATAGTATTTTAGAAAATGTGGAAAATGGAAAGATGGGAATGAACTATAAAAGATAGAATTTGAGCTGAGTCTTGAAGAATACATTGTTCTTGATGTATTCCAGACTTCCCCTTAGACGTTTTTTATTCTTTGTGACTGTTGTGTGTTATGTGACTACTTAGGTCATCCTCCCTCAGGGGGAATAGTTGGACGTTTATTCTCCAACTACTATGTAAGCACCATCTTAATATTTGCCCTTGGATGAGTCACATCACTCTGCTTTGCCTTAATTTCTCCATCTGTAAAATGATAATGGCTATATAATTTTAGATTTATTGAGTTCAGTGGAGGCAAACCTTTAAAGTATAGAGATGGCTTTCACTGTGAATGAATTTAAGATAAAAGATAGCATTACCACAACAGTGCATTTTTCTACCTTTAACACATATGTTAACCACATTTTTGTGGGGGCACAAAAATAAGGATTTGGCATACAAGATAATTTGAGTGCCTTGTACGTGTTCTAGCTGGCAATAATCCTAACCCTTGTACTCAGCATCTGGTTTATTCATGAGATCCCCTGTAATTAACCAGTAGTACTTCTCAGTCTTGTCTTTTAGGAAGATTTATGGTATACCTCAGGTGGTGTCAGATAGCAGGCAGAAGACAGATGAGTAGCTAGTTCTCTTTATTTAGAAAAAAATTCTGTCTCCTTGACACCAATATTGTTAAATAAGATATGATTTCTAAAAAGCCATTTTCCCTGTTTATTTGACATGATTGGCAGCTCTACTATCTGAACACCTAAGAAGTTTAAGTTTCTTAGGTGTGGTTTTAGAGTCTTAGGAAAGCTGGGAAGGGCCTAGACTTTAGAGGCGACAGGCTTATGGTGTGTCCTGGAGTGTTACACAAGGAAGAATTATTAGGGCCAGGTGCCTTTCATGTCTATGTCTGCCAAAGTAAAAAATGCAGAGGCAAGAGTTTGTCTCAGCAATAGTTTCATACATTATCTACACAGAGAAAAGTGACTATTTAATACTGGCAAGAATTCAAATACTTTCTATGTAATCAATATCAAAAGAGGGTAAGTTTGTTTTTTGATTGGTTATCAAGTTGATATACAGTCCTATTGCTGTGGTCTGCTTAACCTGTAATTATCAGAGAAATCTTGTCAAACAAGATTTTCTGAAATGAAGCCTGTTAATTATATCAGATCCTTTGGTTTTATGTGGAACTATTATCATGTCATGAATTGGGAACCGTTTGAACAAAATACTGATTTGGAAAACTCTTTATCTCAAATTTTGCTTGAAACCCATGACATCTAATGGAAAGGGCATGGTGAGAGGCAACACTAAATTTCTAAGCTGAACTCTTTTCCTAAACATCCCTCAGTGATCATTCTCTTGTATGAGTAGATCCCAACAAGGGTAGGGATTGGTTAGTTTCAGGGCATCTTATCTAAACATTCGTCTAGGGGCAGGTCTATGCTGGTTAGACACATAGAAATCAAAATTATCAACACAGTGATGACAATGTAATTGGCCATATCTATCAGCAACTTATAATCAACCATATCTAAGGCTGCTGAAAGGTACACCCTGGTAAAAATTCTGGCTCTACCTTTGACTTTCATTACTGACCCTAAGGATTTTGGACTGAAGTCTGTAAGTGAGCTTGAATTCAACCTGGAATCTGCTTTGACCTTGTAGGTAAATAGTGTGCAAAGTTAGGAAATTAGAACAAAATAAAATTTACTTTACAGCTAGGATAAATTGTGATAAAATGAGAAATTGGCAGCAAGAAGTTTTAGTGAATAGGACCCTCAAAGGAAACTTAAACAATGTTGAAGTGATGTTTGCTGCCATCAGACAGCACACACACACAAAAAACTATGTCTAAACTGTTAAAGTGGATTTTATGTAAATTGTTCATGATAAACATTTGCATTATATATTCCTATTCCTTTGTACTTCCCATTTGATGAAGTTTTCAAACTGTGGTTTGCTGGAGGGGAAAAAGAAAACCCAAATCCAAACCACATAGGACAAATTGAATTACAAACCTGGTGTGGTCCCTTAACTCAATTACATCTAATTTGTGTTATTTTAGTCATCCTGGGTGGCAGCTGTTCTGAGTAAATGCCCACAAACATTTTCAATGTAAGAATTTGTCCTGATTACAGCTCTTTAAGATCAGTAGTAGCCTATTTATATTTTAAGTGGCAAAGTTTTAGATTAATTTGGTGTATCAGGACCATTTTAAAAATTCAAAATTTAGTTGTTTCACAAATAGACATTTAAAAAGCAAGCATCCAATGTTTATTTTAAATGTTAATTTTTGTAACTTCACCTCATTTTCTTATTTCTTATGTTTCTACTTATGTTTCTTCTAAACATAGCCACTTAATTACTTTATTCAGGCATTTATCAACTTGCATATACAAGGGAATATGGAATTTTAGATTCAGATAAATGCTTTGACATTCCAAGTCAAAATTTGAGATGATCTGGGAAGAAAAACATGAAATAATATGGGTTCAGGATTGTTCAGTTCAATATAATTAAAACGGAGGTTTGTGTTAGAACTAAGTTAAGATTGAATATTAAATACAAAAGAAATGAAGACCTTGAAACTCATGAAAGTCTTGTGGAAGGACCTTGACTAGTGTTCTAAGGTAGACAAATGGGACCAGGCTAAATTTTAGGGAATTACAATGAAGAGATACTATCCAGCAGAGACAGTAATGAAAGAAAACTCCTATTACTTCAAAAATGATAGATGGTACATGAATATGTTTAAAAGCCATTGTTTTTCTACTAAATTCAGTAACTTTCAGTTAGCAACTGAATATCTTTTATGGACTAGATATTGATCTATGTACTGAGACTTCAAAGATGAATAAACTAAAGGTTCCTACTTTGGAGGAACTTATACTGTAGTTAGGATGGGGAACATGTAAATAATTTATAGCAACATATGGTAGGTGATATGATAAAGGTTTGAATAAATTCAAAGCTTTTTCTTTTGTCATAAGGAGGGTATAGGCCTAAAGTTAGGGTATTAGATCAAAACAAGTGAAATTTTTGTTTAAACTTACTACAGTACATGAGACTTATACTTCACTAGATATTTAATCAGTTAATGGTCGACCCATAGACTTAGGAATATAAATTGTTTAAATTTGAGGTGTTTATCAGTTGTGTACACTTTTTCCCTACTCATTCTCTTTTTATGGAAAAAACAATTTGGTAATCAATTATGATATGTATTTTCTTGTATATCTCTTATAATTTTTAATTAGTTGTGAACTGTATCAACTTTAATAACATTTTAAAAGATGTTCATCATCCTATATTCCTCTTTTATATGTGATACTGACTACTAATCTACTATTTATTTTTGAAATTATTTTTGGTCTTCAGTGGTAGTGTGCTTTTTTTGGTTTCTCTCCCACTTTTGGAGAGTTGATATCTGCTTTGCTGGCTTCACATCTGTATTAGTTATCAATTGCCATAACAAATTACCCTAAAACTTAGCCGCTTTAAACAATGAACATTTATTACCTAATGGTTTCTGTGGGCTAGTAATATCGTATCTGTCTTATTCACATGTGAATGATGAACATTCAGACATCCGATAAATATTATTGAATGGTGCACAAATGAATGCTGTTATTCAAGTTGAGGTTCTTATCACTTAGCACCTAATGGGCTCCACCATCTTCTTTGCTGGCTTCCAATCCTTACCCCCATGCTGTTTGTAAAACCACCCTTTCAAAAGAAATTTATGCTGCTGCTTCCCTTATTAATAACCAGTTGTGACTCTCATTGGCCTAATCAAATTTCTGTTGGTCTCCTTGGCATTCAAAGCCTTCCATAAACCAGCCTTATCATATTTATTCAACCATAAACCTTAACAGATATACCTATTTTACTTAAACTGGTTGTTTATACTTTAGACCTGTTAAAAGACAATCCTTAACCAAATTAAATATAACTCAGTTTAATTGAGCAAATCTGGCGGCTTCTTGAACCCGAGTAGTCTGAGAGAGACTCCATTGCAGCCACGTGCTGGAAGATTTATGGACAGAAAAAGGAAAGTGACGTACAGAAAACAAAATAGAGGTACAGAAACAGCTGGATTGGTTACAGCTCCGCATTTGCCTTATTTGAACGTAGTTTGAACAGTTGGCCCCCTTTGGCCAAAACTCAGTGATTGTCACAAGAGCAGATTACAGTCTGTTTACACATCCTTTTAGATTATAGTTCACACTGTGTAGAGAAACCTTTAGGCTGAATTTAAAATATGTAAGGAGGCAGCTTTAGGGTAAACTTGATTTAACAGACCAAACCTTATCCCCATCCCTAATATCATGTTCAGTTTTACTTTCTTACCTTTATTAATGCTTTATTCCCTCATCTGTAATGCTTATATTCCTTGCTTTTTCAAATGTTGTTGATTCTTGTTCTCCACTCAAATTCTTTATGTTTCTTGCACCTCTTTCATAAACCCAGTTTGGACTTTTCTGGCCCACTCCAGTTGTTTTTGTTTTCGCTTGATTTTTTTTTTTTTGGTTGTTGTTGTTTGTGTTTTGAGACAAGGTCTCACTCTGCTGTCCAGGCTGGAGTGCAGTGGCGTGATTATGGCTCACTGCAGCCTGGACCTCCTGGGCTCAAGCAATCTTCGTGCCTCAGCCTCCTGAGTAGCTGGGACCACAGATGCATGCTACCTTGCCAAGATAATTTTTAAAAATTTTCGTAGTGATGGGGTCTCCCTATGTTGCCCAGGCTGGTCTTGAGCTCCTGGGCTCAAGCGATCCTCTCATGTTGGCCTCCCAGCATGCTGGAATTACAGGTGTGAGCCACTCCACTTGGCTCAACTCTAGTTTTTTGTTTTTTGTTTTTTAATTTTATTTTATATATTTTTATTATTATTATACTTTAAGTTTTAGGATACATGTGCACAACGTGCAGGTTTGTTACATATGTATACATGTGCCATGTTGGTGTGCTGCACCCATTAACTCGTCGGATTAAAGACTTACATATTAGACCTAAAACCATAAAAACCCTAGAAGAAAACCTAGGCAATACAATTCAGGACATAGGCATGGGCAAGGACTTCATGTCTAAAACACCAAAAGCAATGGCAACAAAAGCCAAAATTGACAAATGGGATCTAATTAAACTAAAGAGCTTCTGCACAGCAAAAGAAACTACCATCAGAGTGAACAGGCATCGTACAGAATGGGAGAAAATTTTTGCAACCTACTCATCTGACAGAGGGCTAATATCCAGAATCTACAATGAACTCAAACAAATTTACAAGAAAAAAACAAACAACCTCATCAACAAGTGGGCGAAGGATATGAACAGACACTTCTCAAAAGAAGACATTTATGGAGCCAAAAAACACATGAAAAAATGCTCATCATCACTGGCCATCAGAGAAATGCAAATCAAAACCACAATGAGATACCATCTCACACCAGTTAGAATGGCAATCATTAAAAAGTCAGGAATCAACTCTAGTTTTTAATCTTTGAATTCTCGTTGCATTAACACTCAGTACCAAACAGTGCCTTTCTTTATTTTTAATTAGTTTAAGTGGGTGAATATGTCTTTCCAACTAGAATTCCAATTTTCTGACAGCAAAATCCTTTTACTTCTCGCATCTTTATTGTAGTGTGCTGTGAGTGTATCCTGGTTGATTGAAAAACTAGAAATGTTGATTCACCTGTATGTAAAAAATCCTTTTTGAGTGAATTTTAACTGCTAGAGACATTCATGAGGATGAGCTGGGACTGCAGGACAGTTTGGAACTACATTTTATTATTTTCCTGAAGAAACATTGCTGTATGAAGAGATTAACTTTAAAAAGTTCCCTCCGGCCAACTATCAGAATTGGCTTTTAGCCTTGAACTATCAAAGCAAAACTTTCAGTGTTGCCTAGAGCAGAACAGGTATTAAGTAGCAAGCAATTCAAGGTCTCTGATCCCTAGCCTGCTTCAGCTATGGGCCTGGCCAAGCCCTTTGGCAAAGATAAGTTGAATAAGGAATTTACTTTTATCTTCTCCCTCTTGGAAGTTTTATGGATTTGATTCACAAAGAAAGGGCAATAATTGAAATTTTGTGTTAGCTTCTTCTTGTTATTCACCAAGAAAAGTTAAAGTCAGGTAATGATATCAATCAAAATGTAAGTACACCTACTGCCTAAAAATAACATTGTGGTTAATTGTGTTCCATAATATTCTTGGCATACTTTGCACAAGCCCTGGAGAACAAAGCCTGAGAGCCCATGGGAAATAAAGCTCCAGTTCTTTCGGCCACTTTAAATTTAGTTCTGTGATCTTGATAAGATATCATTGTATTTACATTGTTAGTTTCTACCAGCATTCCCTTGTATCTTCTTTTATGGCTTTTTCTATTTCTGTGCCTTTTTGTTCCTCTTCCTTATTTTCCCCCTAAAGCCATAGGTAGAATGTTTGGTTTTAGAGTTTTATAAGAGGAGTATTTGACTTTTCCTTATAGCGATCTCAGATTTCATTAAGTTTGTGTTTTAGGATGATTTATAATATCAGTCTATGATTTGGGCTATTATTTGCACATTTTTGGCTTTCCTGTGGCTAAACTACTGGTGTTTATATAAAAAAGATTTTTTTTTATTTATTTATGCATGTAGGGGTTTCAGCCAAGATTCCTGTCTTTAGTACTGGAATATTTGAATTAGAGAAATTAAGAAAGTGAAAAAGGCTAAAGTTCTTGATTCTTACCTTTTATCCTTATAGTTAATGACTTATAAATATATTTCTTTGGGAAAATAAAGAATATCAATTGACTGTCACCTCAGTTAATCCCTCCAGCCTCTGCGTTTTTTCCTCTAGGTGACCTGTAAGGGCCTGCTCAATAAAGCCAGTGTGATGATGTTAGCTTTGTTGCATCTTTTAGTTTTCTTCTTTACTCATCCCACACTTCCCATACATATCCCGCTTCCCTTCCCTGGTGTGTTTAAAGGTAAAAGAAGTAAAGAAGTGGGAGAAGAGACAGTGTGAAGGAGGTGCAGAGGCAGACATGAAAAAGTGTCAGGAAGAAGTCTGAGTGTAGCCCTTAAAAGACTATTGCTTTCTCTAGCCACTACCCTATTCTGCTTTGTTCCTGTTGCCCCTACTTTAATATTTCTAAAAGGAGTTTAAAATAAAAATGAAATCCATTTGAATTTCAGTCTTGAACACTCAAATAAAAGTGCTTTTCTGAAAATCTACAATGATGTTTTTAAAACACCTTCCTTGATCACTCTGCTGCATTTTATGCAAAGATGAGCATTTCCTTCTGAAAAAAGGAAAAGACTTATTGACTAACTTTTGCCACATGAAACTGTATAATCAACCTCATTTGAAAGTGCACATTTCATTTGATGGCATTTGCAAATTGTTCCTTCCCCCCACCACCAGAACTTGCAATGTGAAAATGCTTCCATATGCTAAAAGCTAGTCTACTAATTTTACTGAAGGAGAAGAAAAGAAAGTATGGCTAGCCATTTTCTAAACATGAAGCTACAGTGTGGGCAGATTTGGCAATGGGAGCCCCTCAGAGTTCACTGTAAACAACTCTGCAACCCCCAGGCCTCACTACTGTTCAAGATGAGTGTAGAAAGTTGTTTTTGCCCCACAAAAGTAAATTTTTAAAAATGCAATTGTAATGTGTATATAGTTTTAAAATATCTAAATGCAGTTAAAATATAGTATTAAACTCTGATTTCTAATAGATTTGAACATTTTAAGTGAAGAAATACTTTTGCTTTCAGATTCTTTGTGTATCTCAAGACATTTTAATAGTTTTCAAGACATTTAAACTGAGTCTTCACTCTGGGTGGTGGGCCCCCAACCCCTAATGCGTGGCTTATAGCAATAGTTTTCTCCCTGATTTTCCTAATATTAGTCATTCTCCCTTTTAACACTGCGCTACTTGGTGCTACTAGGATAATCTTTCATAAATAACATTATGCCTTTTCCTGTTGACTGATCTCATTTACCCTAATCTCACCAATATTTCTCCCAAATCTGATTTATAATTTTCTTTAAGGAGTCTTCGTAGTAATCCCATCTGGCCCCATTTTTCAACAGTACTTTTGAACCAAGCTTCTACTATTATTATTTTCATGTTGATTTATTAAAGTTTTTTAAAAAATTGTATTATGTCTGTTCTTTTTTTCCCAAGTAGATATCAGTGTGATGGAAACACTATCTTCTATATCTTTTGACTGGAGTCTTTTATACTTCTGAGTACATGATAGATGTTAAATATATACTCTGTTAATACATATTAGCAAGTTTAAAATGGTGGCTGTTTGTTTAAGTCACATAAATTATCAAACAAAAGAGCTGAGTGATGGTACCTGCACAATGCTTAATATATAGTAGAGATGATAAAATAAATTCTACTGAAGTCTGTACTTCATCTTTTTAAAAGGTTTATTGCTTAGCTTTTAGAATTAATGGTTTTATCTTTGAAATAGAGAAACAGGTCTAGGGTTCATGCAGTTATAAATAAAAATTCCTTAATTTTATTTCTATTACTGTAGCATCTTATGCCAAAAAAAAAATATCGTAAAGAGGAAGAAGTGGCCAGGCATGGTGGCTCATGCCTGTGATAACAGCACTTTGGGAGGCCGAGGCAGGTGGATCACCTGAGATCAGAAGTTTGAGATCAGCCTTACCCACATGGCAAATCCCTGTCTCTACTAAAAGTACAAAAATTAGCTGGGCGTGCTGGCGGGCGCCTGTAATCCCAGTTATGGGAAGGCTGAGGCAGGAGAATCTCTTGGACCCAGGAGGCAGAAGTTGCAGTGAGCCAAGATCGCGCCATTGCCCTCCAGCTGGGCAACAAGAACGAAACTCCGTCTTAAAAAACAAAAAAAAGTGGAAAAAATTAGAGGACTAACATTACCTGATTTTAAGACTTATAAAGCTAGAGCAATCAAGGCAGGGTATTGGCATAAAGATAGAGAAACAGATCAGTGGGAAAGAATGGAGAGTCCAGAAACAGATTCTTATGTACATGGGCAACTAAGTTTTCACAAAGGTATAAAGGCAATTCACGGGTGAAGGGCCAAACTTTTTAACAGATGGTGCTAAAACAATTGGATATTCATGTGAAAAAATTATTTATATCACATACCATATAAAAACTAACTCAAAACAGATCATAGACTAAAATGTAAAAACTAAAACTATAAAACTCCTTAAAGAATACATAGGGAGAAAGTCTTTGTTATCTTGAGATAGGAAAAGATTTCTTCTATATGCCTCCGAAAGCACAACCCATAAAAGAACAAATTGATAAGTTGAACATCATCAAAATTTAAAATTTCTGCTCTTGAAAAGAGAATGAGAAGGCAAGCCACAGATTTGTGGAGATGATATTTGCAAAACATATTATGATAAAGGACTTATATTCAAAATATATAAGGAACTCTCAAAATTCAATAAAAAATCAAACAACCCAACAACAACAAAAGGTAGACATCGGATAGAGTATGGTGGATTACATCTGTAATCCCAGCACTTTGGGAAGCCGAGGTGAGAGGATTGCCTGAGCCCAGAAGTTCGAGACCATAAGCACATGAAAAGCCCAATGTCATTAATTGTTAGGGAAATGAAAAGTGTACTGCAATACCACATCAAATATTACTTCCTTTTCTATAAATATGTACAATTATTATGTGTCAACTAAAAATAAAAGAAAAAAATAAAATTAAGAAGACTAACCATATGAAATGTTGGTGAATATGTGGAGGAGCTAAGTCTTATACCCTGCGGGTGGGAATGTAAAATGGTATAACCACTTTAAAAAATAGTTTGGCAGTTTCTTAAAATGTTAACCATATACCCACCGTACTCTTCAGCCATGTCAGTTAGCTTTTTACCCAAAATAATTGAAAGCATATGTCCATGCAAGGGCTTGTACATAAATGTCATAGCAGCCTTATTTATAATAGCCAAAAATGAAGTCACCCGCATGTCCATCAACAAGTGAATGGATAAACAAACTATAGTATATCCATATAATGGAATACTATTTACAATAAAAATGAATTAATTATTGGTACATGTAACAACATGGATGGCACTTAAAATAATCATGCTGAGAGAAATAAGTCAGTCAAAAAAGACTGCGTGCTGTTTGATTTCACTTGTATAATATTCTAAAAAATGAAAAATAATTCATACTGATAGCAGATGGGTGGTTACCTAGAGATGGGGAATAGAGGAGGAGAAAGGAATTACAAAGAGGCACAAGGAAACTTCAGGAGGTTAAAGAAGTTTTAACTATCTTAACTGTGATGATAGTTTTGCAGGTATATACATAATTCAAAGGTTATCCAATTGTACACTTTATTTATTTATTTATTTTTGAGACAGAGTCTCGCATTGTCACTCAGGCTATAATGCAGTGGCGCAGTCTAGGCTCACTGCAGCCTCTGCCTCCCAGGTTCAAGCAATTCTCCTGCCTCAGCCTCCCAAGTAGCTGGGATTACAGGCACACACCACCATGCCTGGCTGTTTTGTATTTTTAGTAGAGACGGGGTTTCACCATGTTGGCCAGACTGGTCTTGAACTCCTGACCTCAGGTGATTCACCTGCCTTGGCCTCCCAAAGTGCTGCGATTACAGGCATAAGCCACCATGTCTGGCCCCAATTGTACACTTTAAATATGTGCAGCTTTTTATAGCTTAGCAAAATTATACTTCAATTTAAAAAAAGAAAAAATTGTAAAGAGGTGTTAAACATGCAGTTCACCATTGAAAGCAATATTATTTAACATATGCACTAGCATATTATAAGTATAATAAATGTAAATATAATTTATGTATTTATAAACATAAATATAACAATGAACATATACATTATTGAAGAGTCCCATATGTCACCTTCCATCTTGGGTTTTATAGTTACTAAAATGTTATCAAAGGAGAAGACCATTTCATAAAGGAAATTATTACACCTTGACCATCCAATACTTCAGTCTTTCATTTTGCGTGGAAGTTCTGTATCAGCTACCATAGTCATTTTTTAAAAATAACAGCAATCTTCGTTTTTTGAAAAACTATCATAGGCCATCTCAATCTTTATCTATCAATATTTTCCTTCTTTCACTTTCTTGATAAAGCCCCATATTTTGCTTCTGCTTCTATGTTTTTTTTTAAAACCAAATGATTACTAAACAGGGAGTGAAGGTCCAGGTGTGGTGGCTTATGCCTTTAATCCCAGGATTAATCTTTGGGAGGCTGAGGCAGGAAGATCACTTGAGCCCAGGAATTTGAGACCAGCCCAGGCAACATAGTGAGACACGAATATCTACAAAAATTTAAAAAATTAGCCAGGCATGGTGGCACGAGCCTGTAGTCTCAGCACTTTGGAGGCACAGGTGAGAATTGCTTGAGCCCAGGAGTTTGAGGCTGCAGTGAGCTATTACCACATCATTGCACTCTAGCCTGGGTGACGGAGGGAGAAAGACCCTGTCTCTTAATCTGTAGAAACTGTCTAATACTATTACTACTGTATTAGTTAAATGACTCATTTACAGCATAATTTGGGAAAGGAAATTCTTGGATTTTATCCCAAGTGAGGACTTAGAACCAAGTGATATAGTGGTTAAAATAAGAGTCTCAGCCAACTAGAGGGTTAGAATTTTCTTGGTATTTAATGTATTGTGCTTAATTTATCATTATGTAAGTAAGCTCAAATCTCATTGGTCTCTTTATATAAAAAGGAAAAAAAGGAAAAAGAGCAGAAAAGATAAAGCCCCATATTTTGCTGCTTCTGTTTTGCTGCTATTGACATAAGAAGGCCTATGTAGTCCTATGTAGGCCTTTTTATGTCAATATCAGTCTGAGTAAAAGCAAATAATGAATTTATGCTGAGGTACAAATATACCATTTGGACAGTTTTATATTAACATCTGACAATGTACAAAAGTTATACAAATTTGTTAGCATTTTCTCACTGCAAAATATTATCAAATTAGGAAATAGCAGACACTAGGGATGGTTTTTACTATATATAATGATGTTTAAGAGGTACTTAAACTTGATTTAAAAGCTCTGCAGTGATTTACCTAAGATGAGCCTGAAGAGCTAATAGTCTAGTTTTTGTTTTTTAATTTTTATTTGTAGCAACAAGCACATTAACCATTTGATTTTTTTTATATTTTGGGAGAAAGTTGTGACCATGTGGCAGTTTGGATTTGAAATAATAATGGCAAATAAGTGGCCTGTGCTGAAAATTGTTAGGCATATCTCTTTATGGAAAACTACTTTGGTGATATAAAACCACCGAGGTCTATAGTTATATAATTTAGGCAAGCAGAAAAATCAGACAGGGCTGGTTTTTTTTTTTTCTTTCTTTCTTTTTTTTCTTGACAGTGTCTCCCTCTGTTGCCAGGCTGGATTGCAGTGGCGCGATCTTGGCTCACTGCAACCTCTGCCTCCCAGGTTCAAGTGATTCTCCTGCCTCAGCCTCCCGAGTAGCTGGGACAACAGGGGCGTGCCACCACACCCAGCTAATATTTGTATTGTTAGTAGAGACAGGGTTTCACCATCTTGGCCAGGCTGGTCTCGATCTCTTGACCTCGTGATCTGCCTGCCTCTGCCTCCCAAAGTGCTGGGATTACAGGTGTGAGCCACCATGCCTGGCCAGGGCTGGGTTTTTATTAAAGATTTAGTTTCGTTCTTAGAAGTTATGTCAATTTCTGATGAGTAATCTAGTAATAACTTAATCTGTCTTTCTGAATTAATTCTGCAAAACACTGCCACATACTGATTGTTGTAAACATTGTTGGTTTCAAGACACTTTCTTATTTTAACCCTCCTAACCTTTCAAAGATTCCTCATTACTTATGGTTTAAGTCATTCCTTCTTGTTTTTTATATTCAAGACCTTTCACAGTTGATCACTGAGCTGTCCTTTAATCCTCTGTGTCACTGCTTTTCAGTATGAATTGCTAAAGTTTCTATGATTTTTCTGTTTCTTTGCCTTTTGTCAATCTTTGTTCAGTCTGGACTCTCTGCCTTTCTCTCATCTCTACCTACTCTTCTAAGCCCTAGAATGCTTCAGGTACCACATAAACCACATCAGCATAAAACCTTCCATGACATTCTATTCATACATGTTGTAAATGCCTCTTTTGTGCCGAGCTGTCAGTGGTCACCAAGGTAAGGACAGGAGCAAAGGATGCTCCGTGGTACTCCACTCTGATGGACGAGGAAAAATGATAAATTTACAAATATTTTATCTCATCCTATATACATTTTACTTTTTATTTATGTCTTATAATGTAAGCAATAAATTGGTACCCAAATAGAAAGTGTAAAATAATTAAAATACATATGTTGAGGGAGTGCATGCCCAAAATGTTTTACTGATGGGGTATAGAACAAAAAGTTAAGAAACCACCGATCTAATTGTCAGGTCTGTTTCCGCATTTGTAAAGTTAGGTCAAGGATTGGACTAGATAATTTCCAAGGTCTTTTTTAAGCTTAAATGTTCATGGAGTTAAAAAAATTATTTTGAAATCTTTAAGTATACAGAAGAGTTGCCAGTGTAGTACAGTCAGCTCCCATAAGCCATTCATGTGGTTTTATCCACTGTTAACATTTTGCCATATCTCCTCCTTGTCTTCTAATACATATATATACATATTACTATACTTTTGTTCTGGACCATTTGCTAGTAAATTGCAGAGGTTGCAACCCTTTAAGCTATGTAGTTTAGTATGTGTCCCTTAAGAACAAAGACATTCCATTATAAGATGTTATGTAAGAGACTCAGCACAAAAGAGGCATATGTAACATGTAGGAAGAGAATAACAGTAATTGATCAAGTTCAATATACCATAATCTAACATAGAGTCCACATTCAAATTTTGCCTATTGTCCCTTTATGACCTTTATAGCAGTTTTTTCACTAATCTAAGGATTGAGGGAATAGGAATTTTCTTGCCATGTCTATTTAGTTTCCTTTAATACAGCAGCTTTTTAGCTTTTCCTTGACTTTTGTGACACGGACAGCTTTGAAAAGTAAAGGCCCAACCAGAAACAGTGGCTCATGCTTGTAGTCCTAGCACTTTGGGAAACCAAGGCGGGGTAGATCGCTTGCGTTCCAGACCAGCCTGTGCAACATGATGAAACCACATCTCTACAAAAAAAAAAAAAATTCAAAAATTAGCTTGGTGTGGTGGTGCGTCCCTGTAGTCCCAGCTACTTGGGAGGCTGAGGCGGCAGGATGGCTGGAGCTCAGGAGGCGGAGGTTGTGGTGAGCTGAGGTCGTGCCACTGCACTCCAGCCTGGGCAGTAGAGCCAGAACTTGTCTTAAATAAATAAATAATAAGAAAGAAATAAAGAAAAGTAAAGGCCCTTAATTTTGTATAATGGCTCATTTGGGTTTGCATAAGTGTTTCCACTGTACCTTGATTTGTGTGTGTGTGTGTGTGTGTAGTTTAATTCTGTGTGTGTATGTGCATTTGGGTGCACACAATGTGCACGTACGTGCTATGGTGCTGTGTGCGCAAGTTGAGTCCTCTTTTCCAAAATAGATTGTAAATTCCTTATAGACAGAGATGATTTATCTTGGTAATTTTTATTCCCCACACTTCTATGCACGTATGATACTTAGCCTATGATTCAAATTAAAAATATTCATAAGTCAAAAGTTCTTACATATCCCATGGGTTAAGGAGATGATTTAAAACATACAGGGAAGAACATATCAGATTAATTAACTCTCAGTGATTAAGGATGCCAGAGAATACCATGGTAACAATAGAAGCATTATGTTTTATTTTATTGAATCTTGAAGGAAATTGGATACTCCAAAGTATAATATAATATGGAACATGCACTGTGAATACTGTACTAGTTGACATGTGTAATTTCTTTTCATCATTTCTCTGTGGAAACCCTTTGCAATAACGTTTGACCTTTTTTCCATATACAGAGTCCCAAAATAGTATTTTCATCTGACATGTGTATTTTAATGGGTAGTTAGCACGAAAGATCTTTGTCTTTTAAAAATATGTTTCTCAAGATTGGGAATATCTTCAGTTGTCAGTAAAAGATCTCTTATTATCCTTTTATTATCAAATAAGCATAGTTGTAAGACAGTGACTCATCCAAAGATTTGTTGTGGCTGCTTCTATCTATGGTTTTTTTGTGAGATGGAGTTTCGCTCTGTTGCTCAGGCTGGAGTTCAGTGGCGTGATCTCGACTCACTACAACCTCTGCTTCCCAGGTTCAAGTGATTCTCATGACTCGGCCTCCTGAGTAGCTGTGACTACAGGCACACACCACCATGCCCAGCTAATTTTTGTATTTTTAGTAGAGATGGGATTTTACCATGTTGGCCAGGCTGGTCTCAAACTCCTGACCTCGGGTGATCCACCCACCTTGGCCTCCCAGTGTGCTGGGTTTACAGGTGTGAGCCACCACGCCTGGCCCCCTTCAGTCTATTTTTTATTTTTGTGGGTACATAGTCAGTGTATATATTTATGGGGTACATGGTATGTTTTGATACAGGCATACAGTGTGTAATAATCACGTCATGGAGAATGGGGTATCTATCCCCTCAAGCATTTATCCTTTGTATTACAAACAATACAATTACAATCTTAGTTATTTTGAAATGTACAATTAAGTTATTATTGAGTATCGTTACCCTATTTTGCTATCAAGTAGTAGGTCTTATTCATTTCTAATTATTATTATTTTTGTACCCATTAACCATTTCCACCTCCCGCTAAGTCCCCACTACCCTTCCCAGCCTCTGGTAACCACCATTCTACTCTCTATGTCCATGAGTTCAATTGTTTTGATTTTAATGGTTAGTACAAGTAAGAAGTTTTTCATTTTAAAGTCAGCATCTGAAAAGATACATTGTAGCCTTTAGAGGCTCTGATTTCCTTGAAGCCTGTTACTTATTTGTAAAGGTCCATAGTAAGATTGAACTTACTATTTGGAATTTTAAATTGGTAGCTTCAAGAACTCTTAGAAGATCTTTTTTTTTCCTATTTTAATGAAGAACATTTAATATACAGGTTTTCTTAGTATTGACTTTCATAAGTATTTTCTGGGGCAATTACTATCTCAGTTGATTATCTCTGAAGGCCTATTTTAACTCTACATTTATCTGAACTTAACTGAATAACTCCTCATTACTCAGCACATATTTTAGTGAAGAGATTCTTAGGAGTAACGGCTGACATTCACCATATTGTGGTTTGTCTGTGTGTATGTTCCTGTGGATAACTTGGCAATCGCTTCCTCAGCGAAATAACAGCCAGTGTGGTTCAGCCAAAGTTTAGAGGAATAAAGTAACTGAAGTGGGAGGTTTTTCTGTAATGCCGAGTGATTTTATTCTTGGTTCTTTCTTTTTGAATTGCTCAGGTAGTGTTTGCCGTGGTAGGTATTAAAACCAAACCAAGCAAACAAACAAACAGTAAAAACCCAATAACAACCAACAAACAGGAAATACCAGGTAATTCAGATTATCTAGTTATGTGCCATAGTATGAACCCAAGAACTCTTCCTGTAACTCCAAAATAAATGTATGCTTAGGTCAGAATCTGAGTTAGAAATGAAAAACAAGGCTAGGTGCGGTCGTTCACGCCTGTAATCCCAGCACTTTCGGAGGTCAAGGCGAGCGGATCATGAGGTCAGGAGTTCGAGACCAGCCTGGCCAACATAGTGAAAGCCTGTCTCTACTAAAAATACAAAAATTAGCCGGGTGTGGTGGCAGGCGCCTGTCATCCCAGCTACTTGGGAGGCTGAGGCAGGAGAATTGCTTGAACATGGTAAGCGGAAGTTGCAATGAGCCAAGATTGCACCACTGCACTGCAGCCTAGGCAACAGAACAACACTCCATCTCAAAAAATAAAGAAATAAAGAAATAAATAAATAATAATAAAAAAGAAATGAAAAACAACATCTTGTCTATTTTTTCCAGGATCAGGTGTAATAGGAAACTGGTGATGCACTAAGTTTTTCACAGACATGGCTTGAGAATATTTTCTATTTTATATGCTTGTTAATTTTTTAAAAATAGGATTGTTTGGGAGCTTATTTCCACTGCAGCAGGAAGAGGCACTGTGATTCACTGAATTGTGTGAATTAAAGGCATGATCAAGGAACAGGCCATTGAAAATGATGGCCCTGCAGTATTAAAAGTGCTTTGATCTTCTGTTTTGACACATTGAATTTATCTTTAATTATATGTGATGACATTTGATTACTATACACTTAGACTATTATAATGTGGTTTGTAAAATATAGTTTGTAATGTATAATAACTTCAACACCGATTTTTCTGTAGATATGAATTTACAGAGTCATGTTTTAGTTTTGTTTAAGAGAAAACTATTAGACTTCTGAATTAACAGACATTTAAAAGGTAAATATTTAGTAGTCAGGCAAAGTATGATTCCTATACAATAAGTATTAGGACTGTACCCTGTGGGACTCAGTGCCTTATTTTAATAGAGGTAATAGAATTCTATGTGGTGGTTTCCTGATCTATCCACTACTGGCTGCTTTACTACAGGTAAATCACTTAGTTCTCTGAGCCTTTGAAAAATGAAAGCCTTAGACTACATGATATTCAAGATTTTAATTCTGAAATTCTTTGAATCTATTATTCTGTGACGTCTTTGATGGACATAATATAGAATTCCATAGAAATTACTGACACATTTTCTAAAAGAAAGATATTTTTAAAATATTGTGTGAATTAATGGGTTTTGACCTTGCATTTAAATATGAAAATGAGGCCGGGCGCAGTGGCTCATGCCTGTAATCCCAGCACTTTGGGAGGCCAAGGCAGGTGGATCACCTGAGGTCGGGAGTTCAAGACCAGCTGACCAACATGGAGAAACCCCATCTCTACTAAAAATACAAAAAAATTAGCTGGGCGTGGTGGCACATGCCAGTAATCCCAGCTACTCAGGAGGCTGAGGCAGGAGAATCACTTGAACCTGGGAGGTGGTTGTGGTGACCCAAGATCATGCCATTGCACTCCAGGCTGGGCAACAAGAGCGAAACTCTGTCTCAAAAAAAAAAAAAAAAAAAAAAGAAAGAAAGAAAAAAGAAAAACTTTAAAAATGCACTTATGGGACAGTGGGTTGGGGGGCAACCCCCCACAGGCCACAACTGTAGAGAGAACTTTCATTCGGAATTTCCTTTATTATGCCAGTACCTTAGCCTTGAGGGTGTGAGTCTTTCTTTGAAATTGTCTGCTTTGCTTGCATTTACATGCTCAACCCTGGATTTTTCCCAATTTAGGCAGTTTTATTCCCCAGCAATGAGAGTCCTTAAGAGTTTGAACCTGATCCTAATTCTCTAGGGGAAATTACAAATTATTCTTTCTTTTCAAATGGTAGCCATATACAGTGATTTTACTTTTAACATCTTTTTTTTTTTTTTTTTTTTTTGAGGCAGAGTCTCGTTCTGTCACCAGGCTGGAGTGCAGTGGCGCAATCTCGGCTCACTGCAACCTCTACCTCCTGTGTTCAAGCTATTCTCCTGCCTCAGCCTCCCAAGTAGCTGGGACTACAGGTGCACGCCACCATGACCAGCTAATTGTGGTATTTTTAGTAGAGATGGGGTTTCACCATGTTGGCCAGGATGGTCTTGATCTCTTGACCTCATAATCCTCCCGCCTCACCTCTGAAAGTGCTGGGATTACAGGCGTAAGCCACCACGCCTGGCCATTAACATCATTTAATCAATTTTGTCAATGTCCCTAATGGGATAGTCAGGCAAAAACAAACCAACAAAATTCTGTAAGAAAAGTGGCTAATTATACATTATCATTAGGAAGCATAATATTTCATGTGTTTTTATCCTGAACTTTGTTTCTTTTTGCCATACAACCCGTTCCTTACTTTGTAGGGAGGACTTTTATTGTAAAAAAAAGATCTGCCTCACACAATTATTGGTTATGACTATTTATCACCTAAGAACTAAACAGTGGTGCTTTGATTTGAGTTTGTTTACTCGAGAGGCAGAGTATGTTTTATCTGTAAGTACTTTGGGATTTCTTTTGAACTAAAAATATACAAATACAATTATTGGTTATGACTATTTATTGCCTAAGAACTAAACAGTGGGGCTTTGATTTGAGTTTGTTTACTAAAGAGGCATAGTATGTTTTATCTGTAAGTACTTTGGGATTTTTTTTAACTAAAAATATACAAATATGTATAGTTTGTGGTAAGTAGGTGACAGCGTGAAAAGCAAAACTGGAAAGCTATGATCCTACAGCTACATATCAAGCTACCCTTTTTTTCTCAAAGACTATTGCTGTGTTAAGATTTTATTATAGCATTTGTTTCTTTTTAGAGAGGGTAGAAGGGTGAAGCCTTACTCGAAACCATTTCAGAGTAGTTAACTCCAGACTATATACTAATGGAGAAGAAGAGTAATACAGATAAGTTAAAACATTAGATAATGATTGCTCTTTATTGCTTTAAAAAAACATGGGGAAGAGCAGTTGGGAATAGGACCCAGGCACTTAAATCTGGGAAACTCATTTTTGGTCTTTTTTTCCCACTGCTGCAGTAGCCTGGGCAGGATCCCTAGAGACACAGCCTTCAGGCAGGAAGATGGAGGAGAGAAAGCAGATCACAGACCCTAAACATCTGTAGGTTCTCTCTCTTTCTTGTTCCCTACAGCTGGTGAATCTGAATTGAATCCTTAGTAAAGTTTCATATTAGGTGATTTAGTAGATGCTAGTTAAGGAAAAATGATGATCTCTAAGAATTAGCCTGATTTTATTAAAAAAACTTTGTGGAGATTAACCTAATTTCCTTCTTCTTAGGAAGGCTATTAGACTGTTGATCACAGCAGACAGGGGTCTGAATTTCATGAAGTTTTTTGACATGGTCCATCATGATATCACTGTGGGCAGAATGGATGAGAGGGATATGATATAAAAATACGGTTATGTTGTTATGCAGCTGGCTGAACAGCCATCTGAAAGAGTGATATTTAATGGTCTGTGTTAACCTGGAAGGAGAACTCTGGGATACCATAGGAATCTGTCTTCACCTTCATTATATATATCAACAAAGAGTTAAAAGAAATATAGCTGGCCTACTAATTAAATTTGTAGATAATATACAGTTGAGGAAGGATGGCTTAAATTATTGGGTGATATAGACAGGAGTCAAAATTATTGGGTGATATAGACAGTCTCAATAAACATAGGAGTGCAGATATCTCTTTGATATAGACAGGAGTCAAAAAAGCTCTAAAAATATCAGGATGATAGGCTTAACCAGCAAGATAAAATTTACTGAGAACAAGTTTATAATATAATATATAATGCTATGTATTACAGAATAGAGGAGAAATGGCTTAGATGTAGGGGTAGGAAAAAAGGCTTAACGTTCCTAAGTTAACAGAAAACTTAATATGGGCAACTTTGTCATGTTTCTTTCAAAAAAATGCATTGTGATCTTAGGAATGTCTAGAACATTAATAGAATGTCTAGAATAAGATTAGTAGTAGTCCCGCTTTATTCTATGCATCGGACTATTTTGTTCTGATTATCGCAGTCTGAGAGTGATAAGCTTCAAGCACATCCAGAAGAAAATGGCTAAAGTTTTTCACATAACAAAGCTACAAAAAGAAGCCTATAAGGAGTCATAATAGCTGTCTCCTGATATTTGATGGGCAACCCTTTGGAAGGAAGGTTAGAATGAGACTGTGAAGCTCCAGAAGGTAAAGTGACAACCAATTGTTACATGAAGATGGATTTTGACTCCATATAAAGAATATTTGTCTGGTCCTTAAAGCTGTCTAAAAAATGAAATAGACTGTGCTGGGAGTTAAGTAGTGAATTTTCCAGGGTGTTGCCAAACTACCTTAAGGGTATGTGGTAATAGAAGAAATTTATTCATCAGAAAGGGGGTAAAACTAGTTGATGTTTAGATTCAGTCTACTCTTTTTGGTGGTGTGTTTCCTACTTGTTTATACCAATTTACTCTCTGTCGTTTGGCTAAGAGGCAGAGAATGTCTTTGACCATAAATTGATAAACAGGATTCATCTGTATATGTTATTATCAAAACATGCCTGTTACTTTTCCAAGAAGCTTTATTCTTATCTACTCCTAAAATATCTTTATGAAGTTAAAAGGACTTAACATAAGTATTTAGAAGGAAAAATGTTTTTTTTTTCTAGGAAGCATTATTTATATTTGGCACTTTTTTATTAGTGTCAAAAACAAGGTGATCACACTGCAGCTATAAGAAGATAGTGCTATGAAATGAATATGTGCAGATACATCAGAGTAACCAGGTTCATTGGTTTGTTCACTCATTTGTTTTTTACTCATTCATTAATTTATAAATATTTTTTCGGATACCTGGTAAGTGCTGGTCGCTCTGCTAGGTACTAGGAAGTTGATATATACTATAGTTTCTCTGACCATTTACCTAAAAATCTGTTAATAGGCTCCATTTCTTCTAATCATCCAAGAAACATTTTTTTAATTTTTAATTTTTGTTGGTACATAGTAGTTCTGTATATTTATAGAGTACATGAGATATTTTGATACAGATACACAATGTGTAATAATCACATCAGGGTAATCATGCTTGAGGGTATGGATACCCCATCTTTTAGTTATTTTAAAATGTACAAAAAATTATTGTAAACTATACTCACCCTGTTGTGCTATTTAGCCCTATATTTTATTAATTCTATCTAATTATATTTTTGTAGCCACTAACTATCCCACCCTCCCTCCATCCCGCTACACTCCCCAGCCTCTGGTCACCATCATTCTACTCTCTATTTCCATGAGTTCAATTATTTTAATTTTTAGCTCCCACAAACAACTGATAACATGCGAAGTTTGTATTTCTGCGTCTGGCTTACTTCACTTAACATAATGACCACCAGTTCCATTTATGTTGTCACAAATGACAGGATCTCATTCTTTTTTATGGCTGAATATTACTCCGTTTTGTGTATATACCACATTTTCTTTGTCCATTCATGTGTTGATGGACACTTAGGGTGCTTCCAAATCTCGGCTGTTGTGACTAGGTCTCCAATAAATATGGGAGTGCAGATATCTCTTTGATTTACTGATGTCCTTTTTGTGGATGTATACCTAGCAGTGGGATTGCCAGATCATATTGTAACTCTATTTTTAGTGGTTTTAGGACCCTCCAAACTGTTCTCCATAGTGGTGGTAATAATTTACATTCTGTCAACAGTGTATGAGGGTTCTCTAGTAAACAATTATTACTTTGTTTTTTGTGATGTAACCTCTAAAGACAAGTATAAAAGAAACACTGGAAAATACTGATTTTTAACGCTGTATGCTAGCTATTCTAACAACTATATGTTAATAACTTAATATATAACTGTTAGTATATATAATAACAGCTGTATTATAACTATTAGGTATCCATAAAAATATCATGCCTTTATGTACTTTAATATTAATATTGCTTTGAAACTGAATGCTGAGGTAGAATTTGTTTTTTCAGGTTTCTGTTTACTGTTAAGAGTTTTCTATATTTTCTTCCTTTTCCTTTTTTGGACTGTTGTTAATTTCCATATTGCTTTTTGAAAGGAGAAATAAGATATTGTTAAGGGGCCCAAAAATATACACTAACCACTGTTTTTTTCAAGAAAAAAAAGCCATTTTTTTCTCTTAGATAAATATTTTTTAGCTGGTTTTAATTTTAATGTGCATCATTGCTAGGTAGGCAAGAATGATCTTGAAAAAGAAAGCTTTTGTAATATTAAGCCAACAAAGACATTGCCTGCAGGATAAATGAATAGTTGAACATATTCACTGGTTACATGGTCAAGTTTTATCTTTAACTTATTTTAATATAAGATGGTTACTATGTTTCATATTAAGAGTGTACCCTTTTAACAGTACCTTATAAATAATTCTTAAGCCCAGGTAGGGTGAGTTAGAAGTATCTAGTTTTACAATTAGAAATATGAAATGAGAAATCAGTGCTCCTTTGTATGACTAAGCTCAAGCAGGATTTAAGGCAGGGAGGGGTCACCACTGATTGATCTTCAAATCTTACCATGTCTAAGACTGTTGCTGCTGCCATTTGTCTTTCTCTGGTTTTCTAGGATTCTTTGGCAAAATGTTAGCTCCTTTTCATCAATCTTCCCATCTGCAACTGATGATTTTCTCTAGCATTTCCCATAATCATCTCAAGATTGCAGAGAAATAGAAGAGATATTTCTACACTCATGTTTATAGCAGTGTTAGACACAATAACCAAAAGGTGGAAGCAACCCAAATGTCATCAGTAGATGAATGAATAAACAAAATGTGGTGTATAAATATAATTGAATATTCAGCTTTTAAAAGGAAAAACATTCTGACACATATACAACACGATGACCTTGAGGATGTTATGCTAAGTGAAATAAGCCAGTCACAAAAAGACTAATAATGTATGATTCCATTTATATGTGGTACCTAGACTGCTTAGCAGATTAAGGGATCTTCAGGATTTGGAGTATAAGACACACTCGGCCGGGCATGGTTGCTCACACCTGTAATCCCAGCACTTTGGGAGGCTGAGGTGGGCAGATCATAAGGTCAAGAGATCGAGACCATCTTGGCCAACATGGTGAAGCCCCATCTCTATTAAAAATATAAAAATTAGCTGGGCGTGGTTGGCACGCACCTGTAGTCCCAGCTACTCGGGAGGCTGAGACAGGAGAATTGCTTGAACCTGGGAGGCAGAGGTTGCAGTGAGCCGAGATCACGCCACTACTCCAGTCTGGCAACAGAGCGAGACTCCATCTCAAAAACAACAACAACAACAACAACAACAACAACAAAAAGAACACACTCACAATAGGATATAACTAAGTCATCTACTCCACATGTCCAAAACTGGGAACTTAGGATCTTTTTCTCACACATTTATCCTTGCTCCTTCCATCCCAAGTTAGAAATATGGATGTCAACCCATACTGCTTTTTTCCCCCCTCTGAATACTATTGGAGACCAAGCCCTGCTGATTTTATATTCTTTTTTTTTTTTTTTCTTTTGAGACGGAGTCTCTCTCTGTCACCCAGGCTGGATGGAGTGCAGTGGCGCAATCTCAGCTCACTGCAAGCTCCGCCTCCTGGGTTCATGCCATTCTCCTGCCTCAGCCTTCCGAGTAGCTGGGACTACAGGCGCCCGCCACCACGCCTGGCTAATTTTTTGTATTTTTAGTAGAGACGAGGTTTCACCGTGTTAACCAGGATGGACTCGATCTCCTGACCTCGTGATCCGCCCGCCTTGGCCTCCCAATGTGCTGGGATTACAGGCATGAGCCACCGCGCCCGGCCTATATTCTTCATTTTTAAAAAATCTGCCTTCTCTACATTACTGGTACAATTTATTCATTCAAGGAGTACTTAATTATATAGTATTCCAGATGGTGTCAGTTCTGTGAAAAAAGAAAAAGTAGGGTGGGATGGGAGTTTGGGAGTGTGGGAGGTGGGGAGAGAGTTGCAATTTTAAAAATGGTGGTAATGGTGGTCCAGGCTTGGTGCAGTGGTTCATGCCTGTAATCCCAGCACTTTGGGAGGCCGAGGTGGGAGGATCGCTTGAGCCCAGGAGCTCAAGTCCAGCCTGGGGAACAAAGTGAGACCCGGCCTCTACACAAAATTAAAAAATTAGCTGGGTGTAATGGTGTGCCCCTTTGGTCCCAGCTACGTGGGAGCCCGAGGCAGGA
Organism: Homo sapiens; assembly: GCF_000001405.40. Lineage (NCBI taxonomy): Eukaryota > Metazoa > Chordata > Mammalia > Primates > Hominidae > Homo > Homo sapiens. Next base: position 67,996,306 of record NC_000014.9, read on the forward strand.
AGATTATTTGAGACCAGGAGGTCGAGGCTGCAGTGAGCCAAGATCATGACACTGCACTCCAGCCTGTGTTGACAGAGTGAGATTCTTTCTCAAAAAATAACAACAATAATAAATAAATAAATAAATAAATAAATAAATAAATAAATAAAAGATGTTCCATAACGGTGAAATCTCAGCAAAACCTGAAGGAAGTAAGCCATGAGAATATTTGGAAAAAAGGCTTGCCAGATAGAGAGAACAGTCAGTGCAAAGGCTGCAAGATGAGAGCATGCTTGGTGAGTTCAAGGAACTCCAAGGAAGCCAATAGATCTGAAGTGGAGAGAGCAGGAGGAAGAGCCATGGGAAATGAGGTCTTAGAGGTAACAATGGTCTGCTTATGTAGGGGTTTTGTGAGGCACTGAATGGATGGATGCATTGGGCAGAGAAGAGACACCTAATTTATATTTTTAAGAGATCACTGGCTGCTGGTTGATACTAGGTTGTATGAGCAAGGGATGAATTAGACAAGCTAGGAGGTTGTTGGAATATTTCAATCAAGAGAAGGTAGCTTAGACAGAGTGGTCAGTGACAGTGGAGGCAGTGAGCTGTGGATTCTAGAATTTGGAAGATAGAGCCAGCATGAGTTTCTAATAGATTAGATGTAGGATATAAGAGAAAGAGTTAAGATAAATCTACGTTTGTTTGTTTGTTTTTTCCTGTGTAAGTGCATTTTACATCAACTTAGATGGGAAGGAAGGCTGTGGGTAGAACAGGTTTAGAGGGGAAGAACAGGACTTGTTAACTTTGAGATGTATGTTAGGTATCTAAGTGGAGTTATTGAGTAGGAAGTCAGATATATGAGTTCAGAATTTCATTGGAAGTTAATTTGGGAGTTGTATGAAAATACATAGTATTTGAAACAAAAAACTAGATACAATCCCCAAGAGAATGAATAGACAGAGAAAAGGAACAAGAACTTAGCCCAGGGCATTTCAACATTAAGAAATATGGATTCAGGCAAAGTAGGGGAAAAGAGGGAACCAACAAAGGAGACTGAGAAGAAGCAACCAATGAGATAAGGGATGAAATCAAGAGTATAGTATTCTGGAAGCCAAGTGAATGAAGAGTATCAAGGAGGAGAGAGTGATGCATTATTGCCTTAGTTTAGGTCTTAGTCACAGTCACGTCCTAAATTATGACAGTTTACTTTGGTCTTTCGGCCTCTAGCTGCCTCCAACCCCTTCTCTATACCTCATCTTTTTCCTATTGTCTGTGATCAAAATGTTCTTTAAAATGAACACAGATGGTTTTCTTTCTATTTATGCTGTTTGTCATTTGTTGAGATGCTTTTACCTGTTTTTTGATATTTTGTCAAATATGGTAAATTTTTGGCCATTAATTTTTCACGTACTGTCCTGCCCTCTCAGCCTACCCATGGTACTGTATTTACATGTAAGTTCAACCAGTTAATACTGTTCCACAGATCAGCGAATCTTTGCTAATTTTATTTGTCTTTTTTCTTTCTGTGCCTCAGTGTGGATATTATTGTGTGCTTCAAGTTCATTATCTTTCTCGTGCCAAATCTGCTATTAATCCCATTATTAATAGTAATATGGAAATTGTGAATGTGATGCTGATGAATGCAGAACTCTATTGTCTTTCTGTAAAGAATGTTGAGCTTTCTTCTAGGAAGTAGTTTGAGTGAATTGTGGATCAGTACAACCCTTTTGACACTTGTTAGAGTTTGTCCAGAGTTGTTTTTACTCTAGGGCAGTGGCTCTCAAAGTGTGGTACCTGGACCAACAGTATCAATGTCACCTTGGAGTGATGCTTAGCAATCTGTGTTTTAATACATCTCTAAGTTATTGTGATGTACTCTTAACTTTTAACCTTTTACCCCTTTAGAAAATATAAGTGCAGCTTACTGCCAGTGCTTTTTTAACGTTACATAAACATGGGTCTTTGAGGCTGAAGCAAATCTGACTGATTTTCAATGTGGAAATAAAATATAAAAACTGTTCTTAGAGTTATTTTTAAACTGAACTAACATCAGAATCACCTGAATCATCAGAATCGTCTATTTCGGAAAAATTAGATTCAGCCAATAACTGTTTGAGAACTGTGTTAACATCATGTGTAGGAATGCTATGTTTTCTAGGATTTGACATTTTTGGTGATTGAGAATTACTACATTTTGTAAATGGATATATCACTACCAAAAACAGAATGGTACAAATAGAATGATGTATTTTGTTTCCAAAGTTGATATACTAGAGCAATGTGAAAGTAATAATTAAAATGAGATATTACATGGCAAAGTTATCTCAGGGTAAACGCTGCAGCCGCAAGTGCCACTGGTGAGTATTCTCTGGGCAGATGGGAAAAGGATCAAGAACCACTACTCTGGAGCTAGTTCAGCCTTACTACTAGGATGTAACCCTTCTGGAGTCTCTGTGCAGTGCTCTAGATATTCAATGAGGTCTCTCTCCTTTACCTTGTCAAAATGTCTCACAGTCTTATATGAGTACTGGGAATTATTTAGATTAACATTCATGGTACTTTGTTTGTTCTTATGGAATTTACTCTATGTATGTGCAGCTTAATTTTCAGTCATAGTCTCAAGGGGAACCCTGTGTAGATTTCCTGAGCTCTTCTCTGCATAGCTCTTCCTCTTTAGCACTCTGCCCTGAAGAGTCCATCTCTTTCCTCCTCTTTAAACTCTGAACTCTGTCACCCTAACTTAGTAAGACCTCTGTACTCTGCTTGGGGTTATCATTCCTTGTGGTGCATTCCAGAAAGTGCTTCCAGACAGACATCAGGGCGACCTTGTTCATTTTCCTTTTCTCAGGGATCACAGTCTTAACACTAACTTTTGTCTGAGGTGTGACAGTAACTTTTTTGTATATTTTTCCAGTTTTTTCAGTGTTTACAGTAGGACAGATCTGGTACTAGTTATTCTGTTATAGCTGGAAGTCCAGGTACTTATTTTTTATGGTCATGAGGCTACATAGAAGCTCATTATATGAGGAAAATAAATGCTGTACTAATTTCTTCACATGATTTCAGGCAGCACTAGAGTGCTATATGATACATATTAGGCACTGTGCTAGCATAGGAGGATTAAAACCCAAATGGGATAGTGCCTTTGTCTTCAAAGATCTCATGACCTACAAGAGTGGACTGGTATATAAACAACACATTCCAAGTCAGTTTGTGATAAAGGCAGCATGAAATTATATAAAGGCCATAGACTTTGAAATCAGATAGGCTTTGGTTAAATCCCAACTCCATGACTTACTATTGTATTATGCAACCTCTCACATCTTTAGTTTTCCAACTGCAGAATGGAGATAATAGTACGTTATAGGACTTCTGAGAAGGTTAAATTAAAATTCTTTTATAAAGCACTTGACTTGGCATATCATAGAGGTTCATTAAGTATTAGGTTTATTTCCCGTTAGAATACACATAGGATAGAGGAGCAGTTAATTTTTATTATTACTATAGAAATCTTCAGGGAGGAAATGATATTTAAATTGTGCCTTGAAGGTGGAGTAGGGTTTTGATATGTGTTAGATGGGTTCCAAGGACATTCTACTTTTAAGGAACTAAATGAGCAAGGGCTCAAAGGTGTAAAACGTGGGGAAGGCTGTAAATACACTTATGAATGTCAGCATAGTCCAGAACCTTAGGAAAAGCAATTTAGGTCTTAAAAACAAACAAACAAACAAAAAGACAACAAAAAACTAGTAGTAGGAATGTAAAAATGAAGAAAAAAAGAACAAACAGAAAGTCTAACCCCATAGTAAAAGTATACTTCCTTAGGCCATTCCTATTTATTGCCATGACTAATAAATTTGGGAATGCCTGTGGAAAATTCCTGTGGGCTGATCTTTTCTTAACCACTATTCAAGACTGCTTTACGTTGATAGTCTAAGCCGATCATTTCATTAATATTAAACTCCAGAGCTCATTCCCGAGTTTCCAAGAATTTGCTGAATTGCTTTTCTCTGTTATCTGCTTCTTTGGGTAACTTCCATATTTTTCTTTCTTGCCCTGTAAAAATTGATTTCCTAGGTTTTCCAAGTGATTGATAATGTGACAGTACTATAAAGACTTTTCTTAGACTCTGGTATGTTCGCATTTAGTACAAATACTGTCAAGGGTTTTATAAAGTGTATAACTAATATACTTTCTACATATCTTTTACTAGGGAATTCTAAACTTAAGTATTTTATTTCATTGAGGTTAAAATATGTCCTGTTAAGATTTTTTTTCTCTTTTAAATTATTAGTGTTTTGCATTGTTAAAAATCAGCTGGCTTCTTGGATTGAGTTTACTTCACTTTTCCAGTGGGTAACTTTTATCTGACCTTTAGGTCTGTAATTGTTTGGTTTGTTTTCTGAAGCTATGGAATGTTTTGGAAAAAATAAGCCTCATGGAGAAGGGCTATTATCCCTGAAAATGATGAGACCGGAAATGAGAAAAGCAAAAATCAGATATCACCCTTGACCATGTGGATTTCAGTTTTTAAAAAGTCTTTATCCTCTGTCTCTGAGAACCATTATTTGGAAGTCTGTTTCTCTGCCTCTCTGTGATAAGTTCTCACCAAAGATCCTCTTGTGTTTTTATTAGAATTACATCGAATTCATAAATTGGGGAGAATTTATGTATTTATAATATTGAATCTTTTCATTTATGAAAATGGTTTATTTCTCTATTTAGGTATTCTATAATATTATAGACTTTTGTCCTCAAAGATCTTACAAATCATAATTTGGTTAGATTTATTCATGGGTTTTTAATAGTTTTTAAAAAATGGGATCTGTTTTTATTATGTAATCCAATCAGTTCTTGGATCAGAAAATTGATTTTTATATTTAAAGTCCAGCAAAACTGCTTTGCATGCTTATTAAAATGGCTTGCAAACTATCGTATATTTTCTATGGAATCATATATGCAGTAGCAGTTTTTCTTCTATTCCAAACCTCATACTTCTTTATTCTTGAATAGAAGTGTCATAGTGGGATTTTTTCTTATTCCTGATTTCCGGAGACTCCAATATATCATTTTTCATTTTAGAAAGTTTATTTTTCTTGCTATATTGGTGGAAGCTTTTTTCTTAAGTGATGAATCAATGTAAAATTTTATACTTTTTTATTTTGGAAATTTCTAGTTTATTAGGGTCCTCTTTTAATGGACAAGGCAGTAGAGACTCAAAAAGGTAATGGAGTTTATTTATTTATTTATTTATTTGATTTTCAACTTTTAAGCTCAGGGGTGCATGTGCAGGATGTGCAGGTTTGTTGCATAGGCAAATGTATGCCATGGTGGTTTGCTGCATAGATCATCTCATTACCTAGGTATTAAGCCCAGCATCTGTTAGCTATTCTTCCTGATGCTCTCCCTCTTCCCATCCCCCACCATCCAAGGCCCCACTATGTATTGTTCCCCTCCATGTGTCCCTGTGTTCTCATCATCCAGCTCCTACTTACAAGCGAGAACATGTGGCGTTTGGTTTTCTGTTCCTACATTAGTTTGCCGAGGATAATGGCCTCCAGTTCCATCCGTGTCCCTGCAAAGGACATGGTCTCAATTTTTTTATGGCTGCATAGTATTCCATGGTGTATACGTACCACATTTTCTTAATCCAGTCTATCACTGATGGACATTTAGGTTGATTCCATGTCTTTGCTATTGTGTATAGTGGTGCAGTGATCATATGTATGTATGTATCTTTATAACAGAATGATTTATATTCCTTTGGGTATATAAGCAGTAATGGGATTGCTGGGTCAAATGGTATTTCTGCCTCTAGGTCTTTGAGGAATCGCCATACTGTGTTCTACAATGGCTGAACTAATTTACACTCCCACCAACAGTGTAAAAGTGTTCCTTTTTCTCTGCAACCTTGCCAGCATCTGTTGTTTTTTGACTTTTTAATAATAGTCATTCTGACTGATGTGAGCCATTGTGGTTTTGATTTGCATTTCTCCAATGATCAATGATGTGGAGCTTTTTGTTATATATTTGTTAGCTGCATGTATATCTTCTTTTGAGAAGTGTCTGTTCATGTCCTTTGCCTACTTTTTAATGTTTTTTTTTCCTTGTAAATTTGTTTAAGTTCCTTGTAGATGCTGGATGTTAGACCTTTGTCAGACAGATATATTGCAAAAATTTTCTGCCATTCTGTTAGAAACTATAATCAGCTTGATGATAGTTTCTTTTGCTGTGCAGAAGCTCTTCAATTAGATCTCATTTGTCAAGTTTTGCTTTTGTTGCAATTGCTTTTGGCATCTTCATCATGAAATCTTTGCCTGTGCCTATCTGCTGAATGGTATTGCCAAGATTTTCTTCTTGGGTTTTTATAGTCAGGGTTTTACATTTAAGTCTTTAATTAATCTCGAGTTGATTTTTGTATATGGTGTAAGGAAGGAGTCCAGTTTCAATTTTCTGCATGTGGCTAGCCAGTTCTCCCAGCACCACCTATTAAATAGGGACTCCTTTTCCCATTGCTTGTTTTTGTCAGATTTCTTGAAGATCAGATGGTTATAGGTGTGTGGTCTTATTCCTGGGTTCTCTATTCTGTTCCATTGGTCTATATGTCTGTTCTTGTACCAGTACCATGCTGTTTTAGTTACTGTTGCCTTATAATATAGTTTGAAGTCAGGTAGTGTGATGTCTCTAGCTTTGTTCTTTTTGCTTAGGATTGTCTTGGGTATTCAGGCTCTTTTTTGGTTCCATATGAATTTTTAAATAGTGTTTTCTAATTCTGTGAAGGATGTCAATGGTAGTTTAACGGGAACAGCATTGAATCTGTAAATTGCTTTGGACAGTATGGTCATTTACATGATATTGATTCTTCCTATCCATGAGCATGGGATATGTTTCCATTTGTTTGTGTCATCTGTGATTTCTTTGAGCAGTGCTTTATAGTTCTCCTTGAAGAGGTCCTTCACTTCCCTTGTTAGCCTGGGTATTTTATTTTCTTTGTAGCAATTGTGAATGGGAGTTCATTCATGATTTGGCTCTTGGATTGCCTGTTTGTGTATAGGAATACTAGCAATTTTTGCACATTGATTTTTATATCCTGAGACTTTGCTGAAGTTGCTTATCAGCGTAAGAAGCTTTTGGGTTGAGAGGATGGTGTTTTCTAGGTATAGGATCATGCCATTTGCAAACAAAGATAGTTTGACTTCCTCTCTTCCTATTCGAATATCCTTTATTTCTTTCTCTTGCCTGTTTCCCTGGCCAGAACTTCCAGTACTACATTGAATAGGAAAGGTGAGAGAGGGCATCCTTGTCTTGTGGCAGTTTTCAAGGGGAATGCTTCCAGCTTTTGCCCATTCAGTATGATATTGGCTGTGGGTTTGTCATACATGGCTTTTATTATTTTGAGGTATGTTTCTTCAATACCTAGTTTATTGAGAGTTTAAACATGAAAGGATGTTGAATTTTATTGAAGGCCTTTTCTGCATCTGTTGAGATAATCGTGGTTTTTTTCTAGTTCTATTTATGTGATGAATTACATTTATTGATTTGCATATGTTGAACCAACTTTGCATCCCACGGATGAAGCCTACTTGATTGTGGTGGATAAACTTTTTGATGTGCTGCTGGATTGAGTTTGCCAGTAAAATTTTGTAATTTTTAATATCTACTAAGATAAATCATATGGCTTTTTTATCCCATTAATGTGGTAGATTATGTTAATGGCTTTTGTAGTGTTAAATCATCCTTGCATTGCCAAATAAACTATACTTAGTTATTTAAAAAGAATATATTGCTGTAATCCCAGCACTTTGGGAGGCCGAGGTGGGCGGATCACAAGGTCTGGAGATCAAGACCATCCTGGCTGACACGGTGAAACCCTGTCTCTACTAAAAATACAAAAAGAAATTAGCCAGGTGTGGTGGCGGGTGCCTGTAGTCCCAGCTACTCGGGACGCTGAGGCAGGAGAACGGCGTGAACCCGGGAGGTGGAGGTTGCAGTGAGCTGAGATCGCGCCACTGCACTCCAGCCTGGGCAACACAGCAAGACTCCGTCTCAAAAAAAAAAAAAAAAAAAAAAAGAATATATTGGTGGATTTTTTTGTTACTATTTTGTTTAAGAATTCCTTGTAGTTTTTGTTTGTAGTACCGATTTTTCTTTCTAGATTATAGAAGAAGCTCAGCAGCTTTCTTCATTTTCTATTCTCTGGAAAAATTTTTATAACATAGGATTTTCTCATCATGAAGATATGGTAAAACTTATTTCCACATCCTCCATACTTGATGGAGTTTCTAAGTAGGAGGGCTTTTAAAAATAATTTATAAATTGAAATATAATGTATTTATGGGAAAATTGCACAAATGATAAATGTAGCTGTAGCTCAATGAATTTTCACAAACTGAACAATCTCATGTAACCAGAATCCAGATGAAGAAACAAAAAATTACCAATGTCCCAGAAGCCCCCACTGTGTGCCCTTTCAGCCACTGCCTTTTCTGAGGGTGACCACCTACTCCAGTTTCTAAACTGTGTATTTTAGGGGGGTTTGGTTCGTTTTTGAACTGTATACAGATGAAATTATACAGAATGCTTTTTTTTTGGTATATGGCCTTTTTCACTCTGTAGTGTATTTGTGAGATTCATCATGTTGTATTGTGTAGTTGTGGTTCATTCTGTTTGCTGTGCAGTATACTATTTTGTGATTATTCATACAATAGAACATATTACATATTTATGTATCCATTCTACCATTCTACTGTGTGTGTGTGTGTTTTTTTTTTTTTTTTTTTTTTTTTTTGAGACAGTGTCTCTCTCTGTTGCCCAGGCTGGAGTGCAATGGCAGATCTCAGCTCACTGCAACCTCCGCATCCCACGTTCAAACAATTCTCCTGCCTCAGGCTCCTGGGCAGCTGGGATTACAGGTGCATGCCACCACGCCCAGCTAATTTTTGTATTTTTAATTGAGGTGGGGTTTCACCATGTTAGTCAGGCTGATCTCGAACTCCTGACTTCATGATCTGCCTGCCTCGACCTCCCAAAGTGCTGGGATTACAGGCGTGAGCCACCATGCCTGGCCCATTCTACTGATAATGGAGTTTTGCATGCCTTCTAGTTTTAGCCTAGTGTAAATAGGGCTGCTATGGACATTTTGGTGGACTTATTTGCACATTTCTTTCAACCTAGGAGTTGAATTATTGGGTCATCAGTTATGCATGTATTTAGCTTAGTGATGTTGCCAAACAGTTAAGTTGTTGAACTAATTTATATTCTTACCAGCAGTGTTGGAGTACTGGTTGCTGCACATTCTTGTTGGGCTTCGTATTTAACTACTATATTTTAGCTACTCTAGTGGGTATATTGAATAACATGTAGTATGCTGTTAACTTGCCTTTCTTTGATGATTAAGCACATTAAACACTTTTTTCATATACTTATTGGTTATTTGTATAATTTTGGTGAAGTGATGTATTGCTTCTCGACATGCTATAAAGAAATACCTAATACTGGGTAATTTATAAAGAAAAGAAGTTTAACTGGCTTATGGTTCCATAGGCTGTACAGGAAGCATAACGGCTTCTGGGGAGGCCTCAAGAAACTTTGAATCATGGCAAAAGACAAAGGGGAAGCAGGTGCATCTTACATGGCAGGTGGAAGAGAGAGAGGAGGGATGTGCTCTACACTTTTAGCAGGAGGAAGAGAGAGAGGAAGGAGGTGATAACACTTTTAAACAACCAGGTGTCGTGAGAACTCTATGAGGAGAACAGCACCAAAGTGATGGTGCTAAACCATTTATGAAGGATCCACCTCCATGATTCAAACACCTTCCACCAGGCCCCACCTCCAACATTGGGGATTATACTTGAACGTAAGATTTGGGTGGGACACAGATCCAAACCATACCAAGTGCCTACTCAAGTTTTTGTCCATTTGAGTTGTCTGCCTTTTTCTTAATGACATGCAGAAGTTCTTTATATATTATAAATACCAATTCTTTGTTGATTTTATGTACTACAACTAGCTTCTCTATGGGTATATTTTTATTAGTTACTCAGTTTTTAAATAGTTATCCAAACTTTCTATTTCCTTTTGAGATCTTTTTAATAACATTTTTCCAGAAAGTTGTTGATTTATCTTAATTTTTAAACCTACTGATAAAAAGTTGTTTAATCTATTTTTGGTATCCTTTCAATTATTCTAGAAAATTATTAGTTGCTATCGCTTTAAATATTGCATATACAAGTATATATGAGGATGTGTGTGTATTTTTAATATAACTGGTAGCATACTTTACATACTGTTTTGTACCTTATTTTCTTCACTTAATATTTCTTGGAAATCCTTGCATTTCATTATATAAGGAGTGCATCATTTAAAAAATACTTTCATAGTATTTAATAATATTATGTGATAATATATTTACCCAATTTTTTATTGATAGGAATTTGAATTACTGCTAGTCTTTTGCTGTACCAAGCAAAGCTGAAATTAGGATAAATACATAAAGTGGAATTTCTGGTCTTATAAACTCCTGGGCTGATGATAGAGTATTAACTTTTATGTTTATGTTCCATTTTTAATGTTTTAAGTCTTTTAGAAATTGAGATATAAATGACATGCAATAAAATTCACCATTTTAAAGTGTACAGTTCAGTGGTTTTTACTTTATTCATGGAGTTGTGCGATCACTACCAGTATATAACTCCAGAACATTTTCATCATCCCAGAAAAAACCCTTAGTAGTCACTCCAGATTCCTGCTTTCCCCCAGCTCCTGGCACCCTCTAATCTATTAGTTTTCTGTCACTGTGTATTCGTCTATTCTGGACCTTTCATATAAATATAGCTATACAAATGTGATCTTTTGTGCTTGGTTTCTTTTACTTAGTATAATGTTTTCAAGGCTCATCTATATTACAACATGTATTTATGCTTATTTTCTTTTATGTATGGTCAAATAATATTTCAGTGTATGGATATACCACATTTTATTTGATGGTTATTTGACTCAGTTTTACTTTTTGTCTATTATCAATAGTGCTGCTATGAATACTTGTATCTACGTTTTGTTTGGACATGTGCTTTTAATTCTCTTGACTCTATATCTGGGAGTAGAATTGCTGGGTTCTATAGTAATCCTATGTTTAACTATTTGAGGAACTGCCGAACTGTTTTTCTCAGTAGCTGCACCATTAGCACTGTGTGAGGTTCCAATTTCTTCACACTTTTATCAACGCTTTTTATTTTCCTTACAAATTAAAAAAAAAATTATACCTGCTATTCTAACGAGTATGAAGTGGTATATCATGGTTTTGATTTTCATTTTCCTAATGTCTAATGATGTTGAGCAGATTTTCATGTGCTGATTGGATATTTACATCTCTTCTTTGGCAAACTGTCTTTTCAGAGCCTTTGCCTCTTGTTTAATTGGGTAATTTGTCTTTTTATTGTTGAGTTGTAAGAGTTCTTTATAGAGATACTTATATTATGTGTGTTGATAAAGGGCAAATATCTCCATATGAAGTGTTCCTTTATGTTAATGAGAGTAAAAATGCTAACTTCCAAATAGAAAAATGGCCAAATAATACAAAAAGGAATTCACAGGGAAGAAAAACAAGTAGCTAATAGTAAAAAAATAAAGAAAAAGCAAATTACATTACTGAAATAAATGCAAATTGGAATGATGACTTTTTTGCGTATTATATTTTTAAAAATATGATTTTTTTTGTGGGTGAGTATGGGGTGAAACTCTCAGGTAACATAGGAAATGTAAATTGATTACCTTTGTAGAGGATATTTGGCAACATTATAAAATTATATAGAATATGTCTATATAATTTGAATCAGTAGTTTTACTTCTTGGAATTTTTTCTGAGAAAATAATCATTATTTTGCATATAGATTACATACAGTGATACTCATGCCAGTATCATCTTTAATGGCATAAATTTATAATCAGCAAGAGGATGGTTAATTACATATAGTACAATATTTTACCATTGTTAAAATTTATATTTTAAAATATAGACAAATTGATCTTCATATAATGTTAATGTTAAGTGAAAAGTAGTAAGATACAAAGCTGTGTAAAATGTATGATAACAATTCATAAAAAGCAACATTCACCCACACAAAAACCTCCACCACCACACACACACAGAAATAAGAGTGAAAATAAACATTCCATCATATTGACAGTGATTACCTTCGGGCGGTGTAATTAAGGTTGATATTTATTTTCTCCTTTATGTAGTTCTGAATTTCCCAGATTTTTAAGATTAAATATGTATTGCTCTCTAACTAGGGAAAGAAGTAAAATAATTATAAATAAGATAGATTAAATGGATTATTATGGTGCAGTGAGACCTTTTCCCATTGGCCCTGGGATTTTCTTCCTTTGGTTTATGAGTTTAAAGTGTTGACAGTTGTGAACTAGTTTGCTAAGTGATAGGAAGCAGTGTTGAAATGAAATACTTTAAATCCTGAAGATTTATGAGGAAGAAAATACTTGGGCAAATAGTGTCAATGAGTCCTGATACGTATTGCTAACTTGTCACTAGTTCACTTTACATCTGTGTAGTGATAACTTTGTTTTTTCCTCCCTCATTGATTATAGTCTCTCATCCCACCATTTGCCAAGGCCGTGTAAATAGTTTGCTGTCGTAGAGATACGCAGCAGGCCCATTTGAGTAGTTCTCTTTCACTCTGATCTCCTTAGAAACCTATCACTTTTACCTTTAAATGATACATTTTTAAAAAACTATTGTTGTTGTTGAATGGGATTTCCCTAAATAAGAAGAGCCATCTCCCTAGTTTCAGGATTGTGGCTTCTTTAATTGTAATGGAGTTTTAATATTATATCTACGGTGGAAATCAGAGTCAATTCAATCTTATTTTGCATCCCCTGTATGCTATCATACTGATTAGGGGTGTAACAAAGAATGGACTGTGATTTTTGCCATTTTGTGGTTTTCACTGGAGATTTTATAGTACAGAGGGAGAGAATGGCATAGTAAATAAAAGAATGAGCTTAGAAGTGAGACTTTGTGGGTTTAAATACCTGCTCTCTAATTTATCAGTTTGTATTTAACTTCTCAATATCCTTATCTGTAAAGTAGAAATAACAGCACTATCATTCATCACTTTCTATTTCCTTATCTTTTTGCCTTTTCTTCATGGAAGTTTTCACTTCCAAGACATTATGTTTTTCTTCATTTATTTACAGTAATGTAAAATCCTGGAATACATGTACCTTTTTGGTTCACTCATGTATTTTTAGTGTCTAGTGTAGGGTTTGCTACATAATAGCTCCTAATATTCGTTCCTTCTACTGGGAACTTCTTCCAACATGAATATCCATATAGCTTATCCCCATGCTTTATTTAGTTCCCTGCTCAAGCATCACCTCACTAGAGAGAACTTGCTAGACGACCTCTTCTATAAAATAGCACCCTTTAGTTTTCTCTATTTTTTCCTGCTTTATTTTTCTTCATAATACTTTACTGACTGCTAAGTAGTAACATCAATTTATTTTTATATTTTCGAGTGCCTTGCAAAAATTAGGGTCTTCATAAATGTTTGTTTAACTGAAATTAATTATCTTAGACTATTCTATCTTATTCTCATATGTAATAAATTACCAGCTTGTGACTGTTTATTTCTAGGCTCCTTCAACCTATTCATTTGTTTCTATGCTTATTTCCACTTCTTTTTTCACTACACTAATTCAGTTAACTGCCACCTGTTTTGTGAACAATTGAGTAGTTTCTCAATTTTGTTTTGTTTTCCTCCAGTTCCTCAACCTGCACAAAACATCTAGCTTACTGCTCTTCAAATATGCTATTATCATTTCATTCTTTTTCAATGGCTTCCCATAATCCATTGAATTAAATGATATTCAAATCTCTTTATATCTAATTGGAACCTACCTTTCCATAGCACTAAGGAGAGTTGTAAGGAGGTGAGTACTTGGTGTAAAAATTGCTTATAGATGTAGTTAGCTTGCTATGAGATTAAAATGATTTTTAAAGTACAGAGAAAAATAAGAAATAACTTTAATGCAAGTCAATATATAATCAACTGATTATACGTGATTTAGTCCACAGATTTATAGAAATTCAGATAAAAAGATCATTGAAACCTTGGCTCATCAGAGAGAGCTTCATTAGAAAAACTGATAGTTGTTTGGGGTCCTGTATCATTTATTCATTTTATTTATTCAGACCCAATTTCTCCCTGTTTTTCTAATACAAATATATAAGATTTTAGAGTAATGGATTCTGTTTTGTTAATATAAAAATATTTCTTGTGTCAGAAGAATTCAGATGCTTATAGATATTCTTGTAAAATGTTATTATTTTTAATGAGATTGGGTCTTATTCCATTACTTTGAAAATGTATACAACTGAGCTGTTTCTTCTGATCAGCTTATACTATGGACACTTAGTTTGAAGTCATATTGGAATAATTTGGAGAAAGGTAGAATTTAGTAGATATTACAGAATTTAGGTATCTATTGTAAAATTTAGGTTTTATATAGGGCATGACATTTTTTAAGCGAATTTATAATAAATAGGGCTTTTTCAATTATACAGTAATGTAGGTTCCAAAGTGCTATTTTGTGGGTTTTCTGTGTGTTTAGCTGTTTTGTCTGTACTTATATTTGTATTTGTATTGTACAAAGGATATAAGTTTCTTTGTAGTTTGGATAATCTTTTGGATGAAAGAAAGGTAGTGAGTCATACAAAATAGTGAAAAAAATCAGATATTTTGAAATAATACTTCTAATTTTCCAAGGATTTACCAAAATAGAGGATGTTAATTTTTAGTATGAATTTTTAATGATTGGATTGGTTTTCTGATGACTGTTTTAATTAGTTCTGCAGGGCATCCCATTTCTATCAACATAGTGTGTGCAACACCTTATTTACCAGTAATCAACTCATATCTACTCTCAGTCTGTAAAGAGGGGTGTATATGAACCTTTACTTGTTATTTTTTACTTACGTAAATTTATTTACTTTTACATTCCTGGTCAAAGTGAATAAACATTTTTTATACAGATGAGTTCATTTCCTCACTCCCATATCCATTCCAGTTTCTAAGAGCCTTCTGATTAACAGGCTCCCCAAAATTTTTCCCTTCCAATTTAAATTTAAGTAATTAGCTTTTTCCTAATTTGGAACCTTGGTTAGAAAACACATTTGTTTGATTTGTCATTAGTTTGGGCATCTTACTTCAAATGAGGTCATGTAGCTTTGAGTTTAGATGATCACAGAAGTGTTCACTGAGCAGCATCTTCGTAGCTTTGAGGAAACAGAAAAACAACTTTTTTCTACTTTGATTATGATTCTTTTTGACAGTTGCTTTAACTACAGTTAGGTACTGGCTGTACCAGTTCCAGTTTAAACAACTGGACTCTGAACCTGTTTTTGTTCTGATTAAGAAGTTTATTTATATGTTCAGGAATACAGCGGCACAACCTGTTAACAGCTGTAAATTTGCTTGATTAAGCTGTGTGTAGACAAATTTACTAGAGGGAACTGTTCCCTAAAAATTCCAGTTCACTTACATATGAAGTTAGTCTGGCTGTTTCTCACCAGTTTCCATCATTTCCTGCCAAGAATAATAAACATTTTCTTGCAAAGCATCGACACTAAAGGTTAGAAGTGTTCAGTGTTTTATCAATCACACTGGGCTGTCATGAATCTCAATAAACAAACACAGAGATATCTATGTGGATGCCTGGAGAAGCCGTTAGACCCTAGAAAAATAATTTCTTTCAGACAGTATCCTAGACCTTTTCAAAGTAGATAAATGTCAATTATGAAGAGACATTTATTGTAATGGAAATAATGGATTCTTCGGTCTAGATTTTCATTTACTGACCTAGTTCAGGGAAGCTTGTACTTTTAGTGGATAATAATAAGCTAGAGCAAGAAAGTGTGTTTTCTTAATTTCATATAACTGTAGATGCTATTATGAGTATTATAATAAAGATGGGTTTATTAATTTAAACTTATAGTATTAACATTTCTCTACCATGGTCTGTCAGGCAAACTGTGGCTCACGACTGGTGCACAGCGTGTTATTGTAGCACTCACAAGTTAAGAATGGGTTTATAGTTTTAAGTGATTGTAACAAACATAAAACAAAGAATTTTATATATATATATCTAGAGAGAGCGAGAGAGGAGAGAGAGCCCTCAAAGTCTAAAATATTTATTATCTGGCCCTTTAAGATAAAGTTTGCCAAACCCTGGTCTATATTAGTAGTAATAGTTTACTACCAGCATTCAAAACGTGCCAGCAACAAAGCAGGATGAAATTATAGTCTTAGTGTTAGGGTATTTTATTTCTTATTTAGTGTTAGGATATTTTATTTCTTATTTGCATGTGGTATATAAAATAAAAATATAACAGTATCCTTATAGGGTTATTGGGAGCATTAAATCATAACTTTTTGTGGTGCTTCTTACACATGGAGGACAATAACTGTTTTGTTAGCTGTTGCTGTTGTTATATGTCAGATGCCTGACAGTTGTTTCAACTTTGTTTTATGTGTGTATCTTCTGTTTATTCTCTGCTCTATTTGCATTATGTTTAATTTTGTAAGTCTTTTAAAAATCTTTTTGATTTTAGTTGCAATGCAAATTTTAAAAGTATAGCAGTTTTATTGTTCCCATTCCTGTGGCTGTGTAACAGATTACCCCACAACTTAGTGGCACAAAGCAATCAGTTATTATGCTCACAGATTCTGTGGGTCAGGAATTCGGACAGGGCACAGCAGGAATGGCTTCTCTTAGTTCCACAGTGTTTGAGGCTGGAACCTCAAAGGCTAGGCACTATAATCATTCATTCATTTATATGTCTGGCAGATGTCACTGGCTGTTGGCCCCAGTTCCTCTCCACATGGGTCTTTCCATGTGATGTCTCCAAATGAACTAGTTTGGGCTTCCTTAAGTAGAGTGTCTGGGTTCCTCAGAGCAAACATTTCAAAAAGAGAAAGATAGGCAGAAGCTATATCCTTCTTATGACAGAGCCTTGGAAGTCACAGAACATTATTTCTATTTTGCTCTGTTGGCCAGAATAATTAGAAATCCCCCTAGGTTCAAGAGGAGAGAAATAGACTCTACCATGTGATGGGTGGGGTTGGCAAGATTCTGGAAGAGCATGCTGGACCAGAAATACGGCTGAAGCCATTTTTGGAAATATGATCTGCCACAATGATATTACTTTATTTAATAATTGCTTATGTAGCATTTAATCTATATGCTAGGGACTACTGTAAATACTAAACAAATATTAATTCATTTAATCCATAACAGTCTTATTTTACAGATGAGGAAACTAAATCAGAATATTGTATTACGTAGAATATAACTTTCTCTGCTCTTGATGGACAACAAATAATTTACTATGATTTTAAAAACTTGTCTAGTATTATTTAAACATTAAATATTTTGGATGCAAATTTGCATTTCCTGCATGCATCATATTAGAATAGACTTGAGAGGTGCAGTTTCTATTAAGTAATGTCTTAAATAAGTACAAAGGTCAGGCATCCAGGAGCTCATCCTTCCATATTCTTAGAATTGGGATGTGATAAATAAGTCAGAATTTTTTCATGAAGCAGTGCCCAGATGAGTACATGTTATCAAATATTTTATTTGATAATAATGCAGGACTGACTGACCAAACTTGATTTATAAATTAGTTCCATGTCCTTTTATGAGAATAAATACAATATCTTGGTCTTGTTGTGATAATATTACCTAATGGCTATGTTTTCCTTCATTGGCATTGAAATCAGAACTGATTTTTGGTAAGGTTAGTAATTTGCGTTATTTTTAAATCTCCATTATTATGAAGATATTTTATCAGGGACAAAGATTGCCTTTTCTCTCTCCCTCTCCTTTTCTTTTCTTTCTTTTTTTTTTTTTTTCCCATTAACAGTTGATGGAGGAAGGTAACTTTGTATGAGTTATTGTTGGACATGCAAGCCCTGTTTTTTTACATTTGTTGATTCTGCTTTGGAGATTTATCAGTCTCTGAGCAAGTTGCTTTGAAGCATTTCAGTCTTCTTTGTCTCTCAGAACCCATTAGTGCTATCTTCAGGATGTGCCAGAGTGACTTTTACCCTGGTACATTTGTGACACAGTTACACCATATCTCCTACTCTCTACTCATCACTGTATAGCAAGTACAAGTTACCAGATAGAAGCATATTCTTGTTGGATTATCAAAACTCAGGTGGAGTGTTTAACATCTTTTTTGAATATTTAAATAGTGTTTTTCTTTCTAATTGGCAAATTTTGGGTATTCTTTAAAAACAATATTTGATTAGGAGATCATGGAGAAATTTGTATGGTCAAAACTTGCCAAATTTGAGACTCACTTATTTGTTTAAATTTAAGGATCAGTAAAAATAAATAAATAAATAAATAAATAAATGTAGGAATCTAAGATAGAGACCTGTACTATTCTGAATGTGAATGAACTGATTACATTGATTGGAATACGTAATTTAGGAGCATTCATTATTACTTTTTGACTTGGAAACAATATAAGAATGAATGCAAAAAAAAAAAAAAAAGGAGCATGTGGATTCATTGCTATCTTGTTTACTGCTCAGTCACTTATTTGAGAGTGCCAAACCCTACCCACTAGGGCCACCCGGGATGCTTTGTTTATTTGAGAGGGGGTGTGGAGGCATGGTGAAGGGCAGGAGCTCCAGAGTTAGGCTGACTGGGTTTTAAACCCAGCCCTCCTGCCATCTGTGCAATCTTGGTCCAGTTACTTAAAACACTCTGTGATTCAGTCTGCTTTTCTGTAAAATGGCTGAGTTTTCTCATTGGTAGAAATGGCATCTACTTCATGGTGTTGTAAACATTAAATGATTAAATATATGTAAAGTGCTTAGGATAGTGCTTAGCACATTATAAGCTCATAAATGTGCGCTCCTATTCATTAAATCATTCTTTCATTCACTTATTAAAAGCATGACATTTATTTAACACCTACTATGATGGGGATACAAAGGTGACTACTCAGGAGATATGAATATTATAATAGGGGGAGGCAGAGGTATATTATAGTCATTACAACATACGATGGTGTATTAGTCTGTTCTCATGTTGCTAATAAAGACATACCTAAGACTGGGTAATTTATAAAGGAAAGAGGTTTAATGGATTCACAGTTCCACATGGCTGGGAGGCTTCATAATCATGGTGGAAGGCGAAGGAGGAGCAAAGTCATGTCTTACATGGCCGCAGAGAAGAGGGCGCGTACAGAAGAACTGCCCTTTATAAAACCATCAGATTTCGGGAGACTTATTCACTATCATGAGAACAGCATGGGAAAAAACCTGTCCCCGTGATTCAATTACCTCCCACTGGGTCCCTCCCATGACACGTGGGGATTATGGGAGCTGCAATTCAAGATGAGATTTGGGTGGGGACACAGCCAAACCATATCAGGTGGAGAGTGATATAGGTTATAAAACAAATATGTCAAAGTGCCATGAAAAGAAGAGGACAAAATTTTTGATAGCCTTAAACAATCGTTTCACTTTTCTCTGACACCATTTATTCATTTATAAATGCCTTACCTTTTATGGAACTTTTACAGTTCTTCAGCAGGAAATAATCTCTCCTTTATTGGCATCCCTATATCATTTTGCCTTATGGCAATTATTATTTTCTATCTTTCTTTTGGCAGCTGTTGATAGTAATCATTTTGTATCTTGTTAAATCATTATTTGTTCCTATCTTGTCCATTTTACTTGAAGACAGTTCACAGTCACTCAACACAGTACTTATCAAAAATGCTTCAAAAATATTTACTGAGTGAGTCAGGTAACAAAACGATTAAAATGCTTAGCCATCAGCGTATGCCTCTATTTTTTAAGGGCTTTTTATAAGCAAATACGGGTAGAAAAACATTGGCAGTTTGAGAGTAAAATAAACATATATAACTCACCAACTGACTGATCAGGATAATTATCTGGGAGTCTCTGGGGGTAAAAAGCCCCCAGTTTGTTCCATTTTACAACTCCCACCATGGCCTCAGTCAGGCCACCAACATGATACAACTAGATGTGGAGTTTGGAAGGGTGTGCACTGGAACACCATCATATAGTAATCCTGCCAACTGGATACAATAGTGTAAGCAACCCCAAGAGCACAGATAATAGTAAAATGTCCAACATATTTAACAAATGAGGTGTTTTGAGTATTTATTATCTTTGTTTTAATATAATTTTTATTTATTGGTACATTTATAACATTTAGCTTTAAATGATGGCTGTGTTTAACAACTGGCTTAGAAAATTCCTGAAAATTTAGTAGTCAGCTCTTGTGAAAGAGTACAAGCCAACTCACATACACTTTTACCCAGGCTCTGCTGACTGTGTAACTTTTGCTAGTAATTTCACTCCTAGAATCTGTGCTAAGGAAATTATCTGTGAATTGGAAAAAGCACAAAGATGTTTATCATAGCATTAGTAGTAACAGCAAAAAGTTGGAAGCAACCTAATTGTTTAAAGTGAGCTGTGGTTAAGTAAATTCACTGGAATGTTTTCTGGAATTAAGTGACTTCTTTGAAGACTTTATAACAACAAGGGAAAATGCCATAAAGTTAAATGAAAAAGAAAAAAGAAAGAATGCTAAATATCTAATTTATATAGAATGATCAAAATTTAAAAATATAGACATATGCTAATGGAAGAAGGAAATGTCAGTGTTTGGAGCTAATAAGGACATGGCTTTTTTTCTTTAACCCTTTCTTCATTTTCCAAATTTCTAATAATGAGTATATTTTATAATTATAATGAAAAGATATATCATTTTTGTCACAAAACCAAATTCTAATTTATAGCTCTAGTTTTTTGTTGAATTACAAGGCATTATCAAAATAAATCTTTTTTATTTTATTTTTTTTGAGATGGAATCTCATTCTGTTACCCAGGCTGGAATGCAGTGGAGTGATCTCAGCTCACTGCATCCTCCACCTCCTAGGTTCAAGTTATTCTTCTGCCTCAGCCTCCTGACTAGCTGGAACTACAGGCACGTGCCACCATACCCGGCTAAATTTTTGTATTTTAGTAGAGACAAGGTTTCACCGTGTTGCCTAGGGTGGTCTTGAACTCCGGAGCTCAGGCAGCCTGCCCACCTTGGCCTCCCAAAGTGCTAGGATTACAGGCGTGAGCCACCACACCCAGCCTATCTTTTTTATCTTAGAAATTTAATATTTTCCTCTAACAACCAATAGAGCATATACCAATTGAATTTGTTTTTTAGAGATCAATGCTGAGTTCATTTTGCCCCTAGATTTTATTTACAGTCTATCATAGATTTTCATGGAGGATTTTAAAGTTTGAATTTTTCAAAAGTATCCTACATTACAAAATAAATTTTAGGCCAGGCATGGTGGCTCATGCCTGTAATCTCAGCACTTTGGGAGGCCAAGGCAGGCAGATCACGAGGTCAAGAGATTGAGACCATCCTGGCCAACTTGGTGAAACCCCATCTCTACTAAAAATATAAAAATTAGCTGAGTGTGGTGGCACGCACCTGTAGTCCCAGCTACTCGGGACGCTGAGGCAGGAGAATGACTTGAACCCGGGAGGCGGAGATTGCAGTGAGCTGAGATCGTGTCACTGTACTCCAGCCTAGTGACAGAGCAAGACTCCGTCTCGAATAAATAAATAAATAAATAAATAAATAAATTTTAACTGCAGAATTACCTATTTAAAAAGCTGCTTAGTAGTTAAGTAGCTGATTGTCCCTTTAAAACAATTGATAGTTATATTGTTCTAAAATTGAGTCTGGGTCTGTGTGTCCCACATTCGTGTCTAAGCTATGCATTGTTAAAATTTTATTTGACCATTTATAGCTTGTCTCACTTTGTGAAGGAATTTTTCAGACCTTTTCAAAATACATTTAAATATAAGCAGATAATCTAATTTTACACACTTCCTGTCCCCTTTTTAATCAGTAATTGGTTAACTTCAATAGACAATTTAGACAAGCTAAGCTTCTGTGTAATTTTTCTCCCTAAAGATTAAGATTTGATGAAATAAATAATCTGTAGCGTACCTTGTAGAAGGAAAATGCTTTCCTAATTACTTTTTAAAGGTACTAATTTAAATGTCACAGCAAGTTCTGTTAAGGTTTTACTTCTATTTTAAGGTTGTAATATCTGTTACCACTCTATTTACTTGGTGTGGGCGAGTTTCAACAAGGATTAGATTTTTTAAATTAATTCTCTATATTTTTATGGGGGAGAAATTGAAGCATTCCATTATATTGTAGGAATTCCCGGAACTTCTTAGTATTCCTTTTCTACCTTGTTAAACCATTAATTTGTTTCTATCTTATTCATTTTACTTGAAGACTTAAACATTTCTGTATCACTGACAGCCACTCAAACAGTACTCATAAAAAATGTGTCATAAACATGTACTGAGTCAAGTAGCAAAACCTTTTAAATTATTCAGCTTTTTATGTGTCTGGATTTTGAGTCATAGACTTGTGTGTGCCATGGGGTATAATGAATGGGTAATGGACTTTGGAGTAAATAAGCCTAAGTTCAAAGTCTGATTCTTCCATTTACCAGCTGTGAAAACTTGGGTAATTATTCTTTGGGCCTCAGACGCATCTCTGAAATGAATATAATAATCCCTAGCTTGTGGAGTTGCTGAGAGGATTAGAGATAAAATATGTAATGTTCCTTGCATATAGTAAGCATTCAATACATGGTTAGTTATTAGGCATTCAGTAATAATTGAGTGGATGACTGCTTCAGGGAAAATTTGGTGGCTGATTTACTGAAACACCCAGTAAACATATATGAAAAAAAAAAACACACCAAAACTGACTTTTAGTTAGAACAGTTTAGAGAAACTGAGAGTCAGTTTATAAAGGAGCCTTGCAAGGAAACTGAAAAGGTGAAATAGACGGGAACAAAACCTACAGAGTACCGCTGCAGTGGAGAAAAGAAGTTTCAGAATGCTAGAATGGTGGCAGTGGCAAATTCTATAGTGAATTCAAACAAGAAGGTCAATAATTGGTCATCTCTGGATTTGGTCACCTTTGTTATTTCCCAATTTCTGTATATTCTTTTTATGATCATGGTTGACAAAAGTATAGCGCTGAACATAAGACATGCTAGGAAGGAAAATGATTTAGGAGGTACAGTTGATTCTTGAAAATCATGGGTTTAACTGCATGGGTCCAATTATATGTAGATTTTTTTCAAGCAAATTTCCATTGCAAATACAGTATTTATGAGATGCAAAACCTGCATGTATGGAGGGCTGACATTTCATATATGTGAGTTCCAGAGGGTGGACTTTGGAACTTGAGTGTGTGTGGATTTTGGTATATGTGGTGCAGGAGTGGCCCTGGATCCAATTCCCAGTATATGCCAAGGGATGACTGTGATTTTATCAGTTAAGATTAGGATGACTGCGTATAACAAAAAAAGAGACATCTATCTTATTTCTTGTTCGTTCTTACCGTATTGCCACATTGTCCAATATGGCTGCTAGAGATTCAGCCATTGCATCAGTATTACAGCTGGCAGGAGGAGAAAAGACCAAAAAGAATGTGCCCCTTCCCTGTAAGGACATTTCTGGGAAGTTACACATTGCACTTTCTCTTTGGCTAAAATTTAGTTCTATGGCCACAGCTAACTGCAAGAATGACAACCAGAAATATTGTCTTTTGGCTGAGCATAGTGTACCCAGCTAAGCTTTGGGGTTCTTATTTTTAGGAAGCAGAGGAAAATTACCAGATCATAACAAGGTGATGAGCATGGCCTCTAATCCTGCTTTTCTTTTCTTTCTTTTTCTTTAACGGGGTCTCACTATCTCACCTAGACTGGAGTACAATGGTGCAATCTCAGCTCACTGCAACCTCTGTCTCCTGGGCTCAAGCAATCCTCCCAGCTCAGCCTCTCGAGTAGCTGGGACCACAGGCACGTGCCACCATGCCTGGCTAATTTTTTATATTTTTCGTAGAGCCCAGGGTTTCGCTATTTGCCCAGGCTGGTCTTGAACTCCTGAGCTCAAGCAATCTGCCCATCTCAGCCTCCCAGAATGCTAGGATTACAGGTGTGAGCCATTGCACCAGCCTCTTTGCTTTTTTAATGTTTTAACTCTCAGCGTCTTTTAAAAACATCACTTAAAGTTACTTTAAAATTACACTAGAAATACACTTCCTTTTAGAAAAAATTAGGAAATATAGAAGACTAAAAAATAGGAAAAAACTACCTAAAATTGTCCACTATTAACATTTTTGGTGTATATCTGTTCAGACTTTTTCTGTTAATATGTAAATATTCATATTACTTATATATATAGAGTTTCAGTTTGGGATGATGAAAAGGTTCTGAGATGGATGTTGTTGGTTGCGCAAGACTGTGAATATAGGTAATGCTACTCAACTGTACACTTGAAAATGGTTTAAATGGTAAATTTTATGTATACTTTACTGCAATTTAAAAAACATTGATTGTTTACAAAAAGGAGATCAAACTCAACATATTATTTTCTAATCTGCTTTTTAGAGGTAAGAGAATACCTTTCCATGTAAAAATATATATGTTTGCAGCATGATTTTTGTGGCTGAATATTTATTTTATCCTTTAGGTGTACCACCTTTTATTGACAAGAGTGTTGAAGCAAATAAACAGGAGTGTTAGTTCTTTCCTTGTTAAGTGGATTCACAGAGAGCTTTGTGATGCATGAGAGAGGACCTGGGGAAATAACCAGATGATGGAAACTGAATACCCCCCTGGGACCTTACACTGTGTCTGCCTTGTTCAAGTGACTCTCTAAATAAACAGTTTTACTGCTCTGAGGACAATATAGTACCCTTTTGTTTTTTTCACATATAATTATTATTTTTAGTTCATCTAAAAGAATGTCCCAACTAAGTTAATGTTCTATTAGAGGACTCAGGGCAAAAGAGAGGGATAAAGGGAGAACATTGCCTCCTGAGAAATGATGCCTTCACACGAGGATCAGATGCCAGTGATGGCAGCAATGTCTGCAATTTCGATATTGCTAAGCCACTCTCAGGAAGGTTTTTCCTGATTGGAGGTCTGGCTCTCCCGTGAGATGGTGTTTCTCTTACAGCCAGAATGTTTGTCATTTTCCCATATCTTCACTGTCACAGGGTCATTGTCCTTCTAAGTCTTCCCTGCCACTTTTAGAACGTCATTTTTTCACCTACTATAAAATACTCTGCCTCTTTGTTATATGGGTAAACAAATTGCTACCTAGCTAAACTAAGTGTTATTTCTTTTCTGTGCTGTTATTGACATTTGTCCCCCAACTCCCTTCCACTTTACTCTTCATCTTATTTACAGGCATACCTTGGAGATATTGTGGGTTCAGTTCCAGACTGCTGCAATAAAGCAGTTATAGCAATAAAGTGGGCAACACAAAATTTTTTGTTTCCTAATGCATATAAAACTTATGTTTGCACTGTACGGTAGTCTACTAAGTGTATCATAGCATTATGTCTAAAAAATGTACAAGCCTTATTTTAAAAATATGGTTAAAAAATGTTAACAATCATCTGTGCCTTCAATGAGTTGTAATCTTTTTGCTGGTGGAGGGTCTTGCCTTGATGTTGATGGCTTCTGACTAAACAGGCTGGTGGTTGGTGAAAGTTGGGTAGCTATGGCAATTTCTTAAAATAAGACAACAATGAAGTTTGTTGATTGACTCTTGAATCAGTTTATTTGCTTGGTAATAAGAGTAGTACCCAATAGGTAGTTTTTCAACCTATACTCCTCTCCATTCCTCCCACCCCTAGTAGTCCACAGTGTCTATTGTTCCCATGTTTATGTTCATGTGTAGTCAATGTTTAGCTCCCATTTATAAGTGAGAACATGTATTGTTTGGTTTTCTGTTCCTGCATTAATTTGCTTGGGATTATGGCCTCCAGCTTTCTCCATGTTGCTGCAAAGGACATGATTTTATTCTTTTACATGGCTGTGTAGTATTTCATGGTATATATGTACCACATTTTCTTTATCCGATCCATTATTGATGGGCACCCAGATTGATACTATGTCTTTGCTATTGTGAATATCCTGGTGATGAACATATGAGTGCCTGTGTCTTTTTGGTAGAATGATTTATTTTCTTTCAGGTATATCCCCAGTATTGGGATGGATGGGTCAAATGGTAGCTCTGTTTTAAGTTCTTTGAGAAATAGCCATCTGTTGTTTTTTGACTTTTAGTAATAGCCATTCTGACTGGTGTGAGATGGTATCTCATTGCGGTTTTGATTTACATTTTTCTGACTTTTAGTGTTGATGGGCATTTTTTCATGTTTGTTGGCTGCTTGTCTCTCTTTTTTTTTTCTTCCAACTCTTATTTCAGGTTCAAGGGGTACATGTGCACGTTCATTACATGGGTAAATTGCATGTTGTGGGGTTTGGTGTCTAGATAATTTTGTCACCTAGGTAATCAGCATAATACCTAATAGGCACATTTTCAGTCCTCACCCTTCTCCCACCCTCCACCCTCAAGTGGGCTCTATTGTCTATTTTCTTCGTTATGTCCTGGTGTACTCAATATTTCACTTGTACTTATATGTGAGAACTTGTGGTATTTGGGTTTTTGTTTCTGCATTAATTTGCTTAGGATAATGGTCTCTAGCTCCATCCATGTTGCTACAAAGGACATGATCTCATTCTTTTTTATGGCTGTTTAGTATTCTGTGGTATATATGCACCCCATTTTCTTTATCCAGTGCATTGTTGATGGGCAGCTATAATAGGTTGATTCCATGTCTTTGCTATTGTGCATAGTGCTGCAGTGAACATACATGTGCATTTGTCTTTATGGTAGAATGATTTATATTCTTTTGGGTATATACCCAGTAATGGGATTACTGGGCCAATTGACAGCTCTGTTGCAGGTTCTTTGAGAAACCTTCAAACTACTTTCTACAATGGCTGAACTAATTTGCAGTCCCACCAGTGGCGTATAAACATTCCCTTTTCTCCACAATCCACAATCTCATGAACATCTATTATTTTTTGGTATGTCTTCTTTTTTTTTGAGACAGTCTCCCTCTGTCATCCAGGCTGGAGTGAAGTCCTGGCTGACTGCAACCTCCGCCTCCCAGGTTCAAGCGGTTCTCCTGCCTCGCCTCCTGAGTAGCTGTGATTACAGGCGTGCGCCATGAGGCCTGGCTAATTTTTGTATTTTTAGTAGAGATGGGGTTTCACCATGTTGTCCAGGCTGGTCCTGAACTCCTGACCTCAAGTGATCTGCCTGCCTCTGTCTCTCAAAGTGCCAGGATTACTGGTGTGAGGCACCGCACCTGACCTGCTTTTTGGTATGTCTTCTTTTGAGAAGTGTTTGTTCATGTCCTTTGCCCATTTTTTAATGGGGCTGTTTTTTGCTTGTTGAATTGTTTAAATTCCTTATAGATTCTGGATATTAGACCTCTGCTGGATGCAGAGTTTGTGAATACTCTCTCCCATTCCGTGGGTTTTCTGTTTACTCTGTTGATAGTTTCTTTTGCTGTGTGGAAGTTCTTTACTTTAATTAGGTCCCACTTGTCAATTTTTGTTGTTGTTGTTGCATTTGCTTTTGGGGGCTTAGCTAAAACTTCTTTGCCCAGGTTGATATCAAGAAAGTTATTTTCTGGGTTTTCTTCTAAGACGTTTATAGTTTGAGGTCTTACACTTAAATATTTAATCTACCCTGAGTTAATTTTTGTATATGGGGAAAATTAGGAGTTCAATTTCATTTTTCTTTATATGGCTAGCCAGCTATCCCAGCACCATTTATTGAATAGGGAGTTCTTTTCCTATTGCTTGTTGTCAGTCTTGTCAAAGATCAGATGATTGAATGTGTGGCTTTATTTCTGAGTTTTCTATTCTGCTGTATTGATCTATGTGTTTTTATACCAGTACCATGCTGTTTTGGTTACTGTAGCCATATAGTACAGTTTGAAGTCAATTAGTGTAATGCTTCCAGCTTTGTTCTTTTTGCTTGGTATTGCTTTGGCTATTTGGGCTCTAAAATTCTATATGAATTTTAGAATAGTTTTTTCCTAATTCTTTGAAAATGACATTGGTAGTTTGATAGGAATAGCATTGAATCTGCAGATTGCTTTGGGCAGTGTGACCATTTTAATTATATTGATTCTTCCAATTCATGATCATGGAATAATGTTTCTTCATTTATTTGTGTCATCTCTGATTTTTTCAGCAGTGTTTTGTAGTTGTCCTTATAGAGATCTTTCCCCTCCTTGGTTTGATGTATTCTTAGGTATTTTATTTACTTTGTGGCTATTGTAAATGGGATTGTGTTCTTGATTTGATTCTCAGCCTGGATGTTATGGTTGTATAGAAATGCTACTGATTTTTATACATTGATTTTTTTTAAAATCCTGAAACTTTTCTAAAACTGTTTATTAGCCCTAGGAGGCTTTTGGCAGAGTCTTCAGGGTTTTGTAGGTATGAAATCATATTGTCAGTGAAGAGAGATAGTTTGACTTCTTCTTTTCCTATTTGGATGCCTTTTTATTTATTTTTTATTTTTTTGCCTGATTGCTGTGGCTAGGATTTCCAGTAGTATGTTGAATAGTAGTGGCGAGATTAGGCACCTTTTTCTTGTTCCAGTTCTCAAGGGGAATTGTTTCAGCTCATACTCATTCAGTATGACATTGGCTGTGGGTTTGTCATAGCTTTTATTATTTTGAAGTATATTCCTTTGGTGCCTACTCTGTTGAGGGTTTTTTTAATCACAAAGGGAAGTTGGATTTTATTGAAAGCTTTTTCTGCATCTATTATGATCATATTTTTTGCTTTTAATTCTGTTTATGTTGTGAATCACATTGATTGATTTGCATATGTTGAGCTAGCCTTGCATCTCAGGAATGAAGCCTACTTGATCATGGTGTATTAAATTTTTGATATGCTGCTGGATTCAGTTTGCTAGTATTTTGTTGAGGATTTTTACACCTATGTTTATCAGGGATATTGGCCTGAAGTTTGCTACGTTTATTATGTCTCTGCTAGATTCTGGTATCAGGTAATGCTGGCTTCATAGAATGAGTTATGGAGGAGTCCCTCTTCCTCAATTTTCTGAAATAGTTTTAGTAGGATTGGTACCAGTTCTTCTTTGTATGTCTGGTAGAATTTGGCTGTGAATCCATCTGGTCTAGGCTTTTTTTTTTTTTTTTTTTTTTTGGTTGGTTGGTAGGGTTTTTAAAATTATTATTATTACTGATTTAATTTCAGAACTCAGTATTGGTCTACTCAGGGTTTCAGTCTCTTCCTGATTCAATCTTGGGAGACTGTGTGTTTCCAGGAATTTATCCACTTTCTCTAGATCTTCTAATTAGTATGCATAGAGTTGTTCAAAGTAGTCTCTGAGGATCTTTCGTTTTTCTGTGGGATCAGTTGTAATGCCATCTTTGTTATTTGTTTACTAATTTGATCTCTCTCTTTTTTGTTAATTTAGCTAGCAGTCTATCAGTCTTGTTGATTCTTTCAAAGAACCAGCTGTTGGTTTTATTGATCTTTCGTATGGATTTTTATGTCTCAATTTCATTCAGTTTTTCTCTAATTTTAGTTATTTCTTTTTTTCTGCTAGCTTTGAGGGTGTGTTTTTTCTGTTAGTTGTAAAGTTAGATTGTTAATTTGAGATATTTCTAACTTCTTGATGAGGGAATTTCGTGTTATAAGCTTTCCTCTCAATGCTGTTTTAGCTGCATCCTAGAGGTTTTTGGAAGTTATGTTTCTATTTTCATTATTATCATTTTTTTATTTCTGCCTTAATTTTGATGTTCACCCAGGACTTATTCAGGAGCAAGTTGTGTAATTTCCATGTATTTGTGTAATTTTGAGAGATCTTGTTGGTGTTGATTTCTGTTTTTATTGCACTGTGGTCCAAGAGTGTGCTTGATATGATTTTGAATTTTTTGAATTTATTGATACTTGCTTTATGATCAAACATATGGTTGATCTTAGAATGTATTCCATGTGGAGATGAGAAGAATATATATTCTGTGGTTATTGGGTAGAGTGTTCTATAGATGTCTATTAGGTCTAATTGGTCTAGTGTCGAATCTAAGTCTAGAATTTCTTTATTAGTTTTCTGCCTCAATGATCTTTCTAATGCTGTCAGTGGGGCATTGAAGTCCCCCTCTATTTTTGTTTAGCTGTCTGAGTCTTTTCATAGGTCAAGAAGAACTTGTTTTATGAATCTCGGTGCTCCAGTGTTGGGTGGGTATATATTTAGGATAGTTAAGTCTTCTTGTTGATGTGTACCCTTTATCATTATGTAATGCCCTTCTTTGTTCTTCTTTGTTATTGTTTTGAAGTCTGTTCTGTCTGATATAAGAATAGTAACTCCTGCTTGTTTTTATTTTCCATTTGCATGCTAGATCTTTCTTTATCTCTTTACTTGGAGCCTGTGGATTTCATTACATGTGAAATGAATCTCTTAACAGCAGACGGTTGAGTCCTGTTTTTATATTCAGCTTCCCACTCTGTGTCTTTTACATGGGATGTTCAGCTCATTTACATTCACGGTTAGTATTGATATGTGAGATTTTGATCCTGTCATCATATTGTTGCCTGGTTTTCATGTAAGACTTCATTGTATAGTTGCTTTATAGTGTATGTAGGCGCCATGCTTAAGGGTGTTTTGTGGTAACAGGTGTCATTCTCTTGATTCCATGTTTAGCACTCCCTTATAGGCCTCTTATAAGGCTTCTCTAGTTGAAATGGATTCCCTCAGCCTTTGCTTATCTGAGAAGGATTTTATTTTTCCTTAGTTTATGAAGCTTAGTTTGGTGGGATATGAAATTCTTGGTTGGAATTTCTTTTCTTTAAGGATGCTGATAGTAGGTCTTCACTCTCTTCTGGCTTGTAAGGTTTCTGCTTGGAGGTTCCCTGCTAGCCTGATAGGGTTCTGTCTGTACATGACCTGACCCTTCTCTCTAGCTGCCTTTACAATTTTTGTCTTTTACATTGACTTTGGTGAATCTGATGTCTGTGTGCCTCGGGGATGGTAATCTTGTATGGTATCTAGCTGAGCTTCTCTGTATTTCTTGAATTTACATGTCAACGTGAGATTAGGGAAATTTTCGTGGACTGTATCCTCAAAAATATTTTCCAAGTTGCTTACTCTCTTTTTTTCTCACTCAGGAATGCCAGTGAGTCATAGATTTGATCTCTTTACATGCGCTCATATTTCTTGAATATTTTGTTCATTTTTTAAAATTCTTTTTTCTTGGTGTCTGACTGAGTTGATTCAAAGAACTGGTCTTCGAGTTCTGGGATTCTTTCCTCAGTGTGGTCTGTTCCACTGTTAATACTTCCAATTATTCCAATTATGAAATTCTTGTAGTGAATTTTTCAGCTCTAGAATTTCAGTTTGGTTCTTTCTGAAAATGGCTATTTTGTCTTTCAGCTCTTGGATCATTTTACTGGATTCCTTGGTTGAGGTTTCAACTTTCTGCTGAATCTAGATGAGCTTCCTTGCCATCTAGATTCTGAATTTTATATCTGTCATTTCAGACTGGTTAAGAACCATTGTTGGGGAGCTAGAGGACTCATTTGTAGTTAAGTGGACACTCTGGCTTTTTGAACTGCCAGAATTCTTGCACTGATTTTTTTTCTCATCTGGGAAGTTTGGTGTTTCTTTATCTGTGATGCAGGTTGAGTATAGTCAGTTGGCGTCATTTCTGGGTATTTTCAGAGGGTCAGGACTCTGTACAGGGTCTTTGTGGCTGAATTCTTGCCCCTGGTTTCATGGAGTTAGGGGGGCATATTACCAAAATATTTTTGGTGGTGTACTTCAGGCTGTGATCTGGTAGATGGCACTTAAGAGTAATGATCAGTAGCTAGGCTTTTATTCATCTGTGTGTCTTCTTTGTATTTCCTCATGTTGCAGTCATGCCCTCTGTCACCAGTACGTTGGGGAGAGAGATGACCTTTCCACCAGGTTTGCTTCTGGGCCTTGGGGGAGCCCCCTCTGATCACTGTTACCATGCCTGCCTTTCTTTTGCTAGGTGTTCTGGGCCATGAGGCTCTCTTGGGCAGAAACCATGGCAGGGAGATAGGCCACACCCTTTCTATATTGACCTTGCAGAGGGATGCATGCCCTGCTTTTATGCCAACCCAGAAACCCACACATCTCACCCCCTCAGTGCTCTGTGAGTATGGGCTCCTCCTCTGCTCCAGTGCCAGCCACATAACTCGACTTGGCACTCCCGAGCTGTCCACCACAGCCCTGGGGTGCCGGGACTAACTTGGGGCTCATCTGCTGGACCCTCAGAGTTGGGTTTTGGATATTTTGGGGGATCTGAAGTGCTCCCAGGCTGCTGGAAATGTACTCAAGAGGAGCAGAGCATCCAGGCTGGACAGGAGAGGCTGCACTGCACACATGCTCTTGCAGTGGGGGGTCAGGGAGGGGCCCTGGAAGGAGATGGCAGGCAAGTGGTCCTGTAGCACAGATGTGCCCCCATGCTGGCCCTACTTTCTCCTGCCTCAGCGGTCAGCTGGGTTAGAGCTTCTTGGAGGGAGATGGGGAGCCCTGGGAGATGGGTGTCTATGGCTGTGCTCTGCTGGCCTCTCCCACGCACAGAGGTCCTTGGCTCCATGCTGGCTGAAGCCCTGATTCTGTCTACTCCCTGGGCATATCCCTTTGCCAGCTCAAATATCCATGGTGGATGTGGGTTCCCCTGTAGCTAGGATTCCAGAGGTCCACAGTGATAGTGTGCAGTCCCACAGTCTCTTCATTAACCCTCTCCCGTGGAGCTGTTCAGGGCTGGGAAGTAGCCCTAGGCTTTGGGTAGCTCACACAGGGTTCCCAGCTTCCTGTCTCATCAGTCTCAGTATCTCTGTCACATCTCCATCTACTTTCAGTGTTTCTTCTCTGAAGATCCGTTCAAATTGTGTTGGTTTACTTGAAATTTTGGTCTCTCTTGTGGGGAGCAGTGCTTCTTGGCTTCATCTAGTCAGCCATCTTGTCCTTTTTCAAACTTTTTTTAAAATTTGGGTCAGTCCTCTGAAACCCTGCCACTGCTTTATCAGCTAAGTTTATGGAATATTCTAAATCTTTTGTTGTCATTTCAACAGTGTTCACAGCTTCTTCGCCAGGAGTAGTTTCCATCTCAAGAAAAAAAGTGTTATCCATAAGATAGATCCATAACTCTTTTTGGTAATCCATAAGAAATAAATGCTTTTCTCTCTTTTGTTCAAGTTTTATGGTGAGATTGCAACAATTCAATCGTATCTTCAGGCTCTACTTCTCATTCTAGTTCTTTTGCTGTTTTTCCCGCATCTGCAGTTACTTCCTTCACTGGAGTCTTAAACTCCTCAAAGTAATGCATGACAGCTGGAATCTTCTTCACTCCTGTGCATGTTGCTATTTTGACCTTTTCCAGCGAATCAGGAATGTTCTGAATAGCATCTAGAATGGTGAATCCTTCCCAGAAAGTTTTCAATTTGCTGTACCCAGATCCATCAGACGAATCCGTATCTGTGGCACTTACAGCCTCTTGAATTGTGTTTCTTAAGTAATAAGACTTGAAAGTTGAAATTAATCCTCGATCTATGGGCTACAGAATGGGTCTTGTGTTAGCAGTCATGAAACTGCTATTAATCCCCTGGTACATCTCTATTAGAGCTCTTGGTTGACTGGGTACATTGTCAATAAGCAATACTATTTTGAAATGAATCTTTCTTCTGAGCAGTAAGTCTCAACACTGGACTTAAAATATTCAGTGAACCACACTGTAACCAGAGGTGCTGTGATCTAGGTTTTGTTGTTCTATTTCCAGTGCACAGGCAGAGTAGATTAGCATAATTCTTAGGAGCCTCGGATTTTTGGAATGACAAATGAGCATTGGTTTCAACTTAAAGTCACCAGCTGCATTAGCCCATTTTAAAAAAAGTCAGCCTGTCTTTTGTAGCTTTGTAGCCAGGCACTGACTTTTCCTCTCAAGCTATGAAAATCTGAGATGGCATCTTCTTCCAATAGAAGGCTGTTTTGTTTGCATGAAAACTCTGTTGTTTAGTGTAGCCACCTTCATTAATGATCTTATCTAGATTTTCTGGATAACTTTCTGCCGGTTTTATATCAGTACTTCCTGCTTCACCTTGCACTTCTATAATATGTTATGGAATGGAACGGCTTCTTTCCTTAAACCTCATGAAGCAACCTTTGCTAGCTCCCTACATTTCTTCTGCAGCTTCCTCACCTCTCTCAGCCTTCATAGAATTGAAGACAGTTATGGACTTGCTCTGAATTAGGCTTTGGTTTAAGGTAGTGTTGTGGCTGGTTTCATCCTCTGTCAGATCACCAAAACTCTCCATATCAGCAATACGGCTGTTTCACTTTGTATTATTTATTTGTTCACTGGAGTAGCAGATTTAATTTCCCTTAAGAACTTTTCATTTGCATTCACAGCTTGGCTAACTGTTTGGTGCAGGAAGCCTAGCTTTCAGCCTATCTTGGCTTCCAACATACTTTCCTCACTAAGCTTAATTTAAAGTAAGAGACATGCAACTCTTCCTTTAACGTGAACACCTAGAGGCCACTGTAGGGTTATTAATTGGCCTGATTTCAATATTGTTGTGTCTCAAGGAATAGGAAGGCCTGAAGAGAGGGAGAGAGATGAAGGGGAATGGCCAGTTTGTAAAGCAGTCAGAACTCGCACAACATTTATCAATTAAGTTTACTGTCTTATAAGGTGTGTTTGATAGTGCCCCTGAACAATTACAAGATTACATCTGTATTAGTCCATTTTCACACTGCTGATAAAGACATACCTGAGACTGGGCAGTTTACAAAAGAAAGAGGTTTATTGGACTTACAGTTCCATGTGGCTGGGGAAGCCTCACAATCATGGTGGAAGGCAAGGAGGAGCAAGTCATGTCTTACATGGATGGCAGGCAGGCAAAAAGAGAACGGGGATCAAGTGAAATGGGTTTCCCCTTATCAAACCATCAGATCTTATTCACTACCATGAGAACAGTATAGGAGAAACCACCCTCATGATTCAATTATTTCCACCTGGCCCTGCCCTTGATACCTGGGGATGATTACAATTCAAGGTGAGATTTGGGTGGGGACACAGAGCCAAACCATATCAACATCAAAGATCACTGATCTTAAATCACCATAACAGATAAAACAATGAAAAATTTGAAATATTGTGAAAATTACCAGAATGTAACAAAAACACATGAAGTTGGAAACATGGTGCCAGTAGAGTTGCTCAGTTCAGTGTTGCCACAAACCTTCAATTTGTTAAAATACCAGAGAGGCTGGGGTGGGAAGATCGCTTGAGGTTAGGAGTTTAAGACCAGCCTGAGCAACATGAAGAAACCCTGGTGTCTTTAAAAAAAAAATTGTTCAATGAATCAATGAATGAACGGCAGTTTCAGATATTTTCCACTCTTCTCAAACATCTTACATGTCATTTCTATCTTGATCCTCAGCAAATAACTATTTCCAAGTCAATGGTAAGAATAGAAATCTGAGATGGAAAATTTCTTCCTCATTTACCATCAAAACTACAAATATTCTCCCATGATTATTTTCCTCTGTTGCTTCTGCTCTGAATGATATGACTTTTTTTCTTTTCCTAAAACCCTAGGTTCCATCCACATTCACCTTAGAAGGATTTTGATTTTTCTCTGATTCTATCTTTCTCCCAAATTCTGTATGTAGCCTAGTGATTATGAGCATGGACTTTACAATCAGGCTTTGTGTCTGATTTGACTCAAATTTGTGTCTGTTACTATGAAATCTTGGGCAAATTATGTATCTCTCAGCCTCAGTTTTCTTGTGTGTTGAAGATAATAATACCTAGGTCATGGAGTTGTCGTGAAGATCAAAAGTGATATCTTTAAAGTGCTAAGCATAGCAGGTACACAGTAAGCATGCAAAATAAAGGTCCTTGCATTATTTTTACCTCCCTTTCTAGTGGCTCCTAACCTTATTAAGAGTCTCTTGTCTTAAGAAATTGTTCTACTACTTCAGTATTTAGCACTCTCTCTCTCTCTTCACCATCACAGCTATTCTCCACTTTTTATCTCCTATTTATTTTGGCTCTCACATCAGCCTGGCTTCCCAAGCATTTCAAATTTTATTTTTAATCTTATTTCTTTTCCACCCCTTTCTCTCCAAATTTGCTCTGCTTCCAATAAGTTCATCTATCATGGCTCAAATCAGAAAAATAGCAGATGCCCTTGTTCTTTTGCCCTCTCTACATTTAATCATCAAACAGAGTTCTGATAATTCTGCTGCCTAAATAGTTCCTAAATTTTTCTACATCTCTTCTTTGGGTGCTACCATTTCAGTCCAAGGCACTATCATCTCACACAGTATTGTGACAATAGCCTTCTACTATTCTCCCCTTTGCCACACTATTCCATACTCCACACTATAGATAGAGTGATAACAAGAAATGTTATTTCCCTTTATAAACATTCTAATGAGTTTTCTTGCTCTTAGGGCAGAGCTCTTCTTGATCAGGTCTTATTTATCTCTTCTTTCAGCTCTATCTTATACCACTATTACCCTGTGCATGCCCTAGCTCTGATGAGTTTCTTTCAGTTTCATTCAGATCTCTTATTTCAGCTTTTCCACATAGTGTTCCTCTGCTGCCTTCCTGATCCTTCTTGGGGATCATTGCTACTTGGCCTCTGGTTTCAACCTAAACTTTACTTCCTTGAGTGACCTTCGCTTAGGCTAGGTACTTCTGTGGTCTGTTCTTTATTACCGTATCATCATGGTGCTCATGACATTTTACAGTTCCTTATCTCCCCCCAAGATTCCAGAAGGCAGGAGCCATGTCTTTTTCATTCTCTACCACAATGCCTGGCCTATAGTAGACACCCATTAAAATTTTGTTAAATGTTGTTAAATAATTAAAGCAAGAGAAAAATCATCCTATATAACATGTTAGGGTTTAGAACTACATATGGTATTCCTGTATTTAACTTTGAATATTTCTTTAAACATAAGTAAATGTGGAAAATAATAATGCTGCTTTTCAGCACATGCTCTTATTTTTCTATCTTCACACATTCCCTAATTTTAAAATCTCTTTATGTTTGTTTTTATTCCAGACTACAAACATCAAATCTTTTTTTTTTCTATTTGGATGCTTTTAAGTATAAAGTGTCACTTAATATCAGCACTTCTGCCAACTCTTATTCATTTTTCCAGCTGTATTTGGACAACATTTACATAGATAATTTTGTGAAATTTTCAACTAGAAGTTGAGTTGAGATAAATCATGCAGTTTTCAATTCAGTGTATCCTGAAAGATAACGAAACTCACTGAGCTGCCTGGTTTTCCAACAAGCTACATAGAAAGCATGAGGAGGGCAGAAGGCTATGGCTTCCACTGTTTTGACCACTTCACAGCCCTTCCCGCAGACTGCTTGGAGATGGCTCAAGTGGAACCTGTTGATAAATTAATGATCCTCTTTTTCCCAGTCACCATTGAGCCAAAGTAGGCTATGGGGCTGAATCATCCCAGACAGGGATGAATGAATGTTCTGAAAAGCTGAAACATAAACTGTCAGTTAAGATGCATTTTCTTCAAGTTTATTTGTGACAGATGATGGAAGGTAGTTGATATTGACTGAGTTTGATTGTTTCTTAGGAACAATCACAGTCATTTGATTGTTGTTCCTAAGAAAGTAGTCTTTTTAAAAAAACAAAATCTGAGATACAAATGAATCACTATATGTTAATTTTCCTTGCCCTTCTTAGGTGACCACTGACTATATTTTACCAGTTGTTAATGTAGCTTTGGGGGGGATTTTGTTCATTTTTTTGGTGCACCTTGGATAAAAAATAATTGGAAATATTTCTCATTTTGCAATTACTGACTTTTCATACTACTGGAATACAGGATTTGTCAGAGTTCTTATCTGACCCAGAATAGATTAGACACGTTTTAAGATCAGTAAGAATCATCTGCTTTTTTTTTTTTTGGTGGTGGGGTGGGAACATGGTCTTGCTCTATTACCCAGGTTGGAGTGCAGTGGTACACTCACAGCTTACTGCAGCCTCTACCTCCTGGGCTCAAGCAATCCTCCTACTTCAGGCTCCTGAGTAGCTGGGACTACAGGTGCTTGCCACCATGCCCAGTTAATTTTGTATTTTGTGGAGTCAGAGTCTCACTGTGTTTCCAAGGCTGGTCTCGAACTCTTGGGCTCAAGTGATCCTCATGCCTTGGCCTCCCAAAGTACAAGTATTGCAAATGTGAGCCATTGTGCCCAGCCTATTTGTCTTCTTAAGCCTACAATAAGAATGTTGAAAAGATAGTTTATTTATATAACCCCATTTGATACAAAATTCACATCAAATAGAGTTAATTAAATAATGGATGTCCCTTGTTCATCATTTCAGGCAGATACAAATACCACTTTTAGCAAAAAAGGTAAATCTCTTGTTTTAAGTTACC
The DNA here is from genome assembly GCF_000001405.40 of Homo sapiens. Taxonomy (NCBI): domain Eukaryota; kingdom Metazoa; phylum Chordata; class Mammalia; order Primates; family Hominidae; genus Homo; species Homo sapiens. The sequence goes on from NC_000014.9 coordinate 68,034,751, forward strand.
CAGACGAAGATTATATAGAAAGTTAGGGTAATGACATTCCCAAGGCAAAAGTTCTTCAGGGAAAAATAGTAAGCCATTTCAGTTTCTCAATTTCTGGAGGGCTTATCTGAAGGGATTGGGATGTCTAATATTGCAAATTAGGCAAATTGTGCACATTTATCACCATGCACCTTGGATTTCAAGCAGAAATAAGAGGAGGATTTGACTGAAGGGAATTAACTTTGGTCTTCCAAACTTAAATATATACCAGATGTGTACTGTGGAAGGATCTTCCTGGTTACAGTATAACCTCTGGTTCTTTTGGACTCTTGCTAACTTAATTTACCCAGTTCTTTTCCCGTATAGAAATTAGACTGTGGATTGTTTCTGTGGATTATACTCATGGATTTCTGTGGATTATACTCATGGATTTTATTGTTTTATCTTATTTACAGATTCTGACTTTTTTCTTTTCTTTCTCTTTTTAAAAATAACTTAAGATGTTTGTTTGGAAGATTGGCAGGATGTTCGTTTTACAGTGTTCAAAAATGAGTTGTTTGTGTTTTATGTATATGCCCAAATACTCTGTGAAAACATAAACTGATAAAAGGAAAATTAATTCCTATCTTTATAAAGTGAAGAATTGTTTTTTTTTAACAAATTAACATATCCTGAGTTACATTCTTGAGTGAGATATGAGAATTTAAACATATAACATGAATACCCCCAGTTTTGAGTGCTAATATGCAAGGAAAGGCTTTCCTCATTACTGTTTTACAACTTTTATGCTCCATAAGGTTGATTCTCAGTGCTAGTTCTCTTTCAGAGAGAAGATTCAGTAAAAAACACTGTATACCAGTCCTTAATAACTTAAATGCAAATACTGGCATATATCCAGAAGCTAAGGTTCAATTAGGTGTAGTTGTTTCATCTTACAAAATTATTTTACCAGCAAGAAATCTTGGCAGTTATATTGATGATTTCTCATGAAAGAGGCAAATGGGACGATAAAGAGGCCTGAAGACTATTTTTTAATACTAATTTTCTAATTCCTCATTTTTTTAAATGTCAGAAGCCAGGCCTTAGAAATCAAGCACCTGAGTTTTCCTCTGATTTTCTAATCATTACTGTGGTTATTCTAGTTGTCTCTTATCTGTTCGGAAGTCATAATGTGTAATGATGGCATAAGTGAATGTTAAAGAAGTGGAAATTTGATATGATCTAGATGGCAGTTTATTGGTTTAGTTTCAAAGACAATTTTACCTGGAAAATAAATAAGAAAGCTTATCAAGCTTTTCCCTGTTATCCGTGGTTTATCTGTTCCTTGTGTTTCATCTTGACCACCACTGGTCTTCCAGAAATCGCTAAAATCTCTCCTGCCTATGTCATTTCTTTTTCCTTACAAGATCAAAGCTTTTATGAGCATTATTTATTGTAGCCTCACAATATTCTAGAGAGCAAAGTAGAGGTTATGTGTCTCCATCTTTATTTTTAAAGCCAAGTGAGGAACAGATAAATCTCTTCGCTAACGTTACAAAATGAAGCAGTGGTAGAGGCAGAAATAAACTCCTGAGGCAGAAACATCTCCTAATTCTGGCCCTTACGTCTAAGATGCAGTAGACTGTTTGGCCTTTCTCTAAACAGGCCTTTGACATTTAGGGTATGTGGAAAGTATGTGCTCCCGTCAGAGTTTCGCTGTTTAGTTATTCTTTGCCTGTTAAAGTAATGACTAGAAGACTGGAGAAAGCAGAAAGAACATCCAAGTCTTATTTCAGCCTCTGCGTTTAGTACATGTGAGCTTTGGACAGAGAGTGCCTTTATTTCCTGGGAATTAACTTTTCTCTCTTTATACTTAGAAGGAATTTTTCTTTGGGGCACTGCTGATATTGAGAATTTGGGGGAAATTATTATTTTTTTCATTCAAGTTTTATGTGTGAAAACATATATTCCAATACTAGACCACACTGAGAGGATTTGGGGAGATGACTGCAAAGTTTTACATTTTAAAATGTAGGTTTAGTGCCTTTTTTTTAAACCTGAAAGTCATTGCAAAAATCGATTAAATTTTAAAATTGACTTAATTCATCAATCTATATTGCTATAAAGTTTTTTAAAAACTAACAACTTGTTTGCCCTATGACAAATATTTTTAAAAATAATTTTCAACTGTATTTTTATTTCAATATTTATCACCCTGTGGTTATTTTATTTTATGATTTTAGCTGTTTCACTTTTTTTTTTCTTTAGTATCCATAATTGCTGATTGGGAATTTTTAACACAAGACAGGAATTGTTACCCTCCCTCCCCCCCTCCCTTCCTTCCTTCCTTCCTCCCTCCCTTCCTTTATCCTTTCTCCTTTCTCCTTTCCCTCCCCTCCCCTCCCCTCCCCTACCCTCCCCTACCCTACCCTCCCCCCCTCCCCCCCTCCCCTCCCCTCCCCTCCCCTCCCCTCCCCTCTCCTCTCCTCCCCTTTCCCCTCCCCTCCTCTCCTCTCTTCTTTTCTTTTTTTCCTTTCTTTGTCTTGCTCTGTCACCAGGTTGGGGTGCAGTGGCACGCTCTCGCTCACTGCAACCTCCGCCTCCTGGGTTCAAGCAATTCTTGTGCCTCAGCCTCCCGAGTAGCTGGGATTACAGGCACGTGCCGCCACACCCAGCTAATTTTTATATTTTTAGTAGAGACAGGGTTTTACCACGTTGGCCAGGATGGTCTCAATCTTCTGACCTCGTGATCTGCCTGCCTTGGCCTCCCAAAGTGCTGGAATTACAGGTGTGAGCCACCGTGCCTGGCTGCCTCTTTCTTTTTTTAAAGGGCTGCTTTTCATATTGACCTACATGACTAAACCTGAGTTATAATTCAGAAGAAACAGTTGAACTATTGTGTGCCATCTTGTCATAAAGCGCAGGTTAGCACAAATGTCTTGCCAATGTCTTAAATGTTGCAATTTTTGTAAAATCTTCCGTGTGCCTCCAACATCTCCAGTTGGTGAACAGATCTCACTGTATTTATCCCTGTTGTGTTCTTCCACATGTTTGTTTTGCAGCATAATAACACTTGACAGTTGTAAATTTTTCCGTATGTTCTGTTTTGTAGAGATAAACAATGTACTTTCTGTGTATTTCCCTGAGCTTTGAAGACTTAACTTTTGAAATAAACAATTCCATAGGATTTTATAGGAGGCTTTGGTACGTTATTCACACAAACTATTCTCCTTGAAAGGGAAGGTAGTTGAATGTTCATCCTTTTGATATAAACTGGTTAACTGAACTTTTCCAAGGGATCAAGCACAACTTAACTGCTTTTAGCTTTGCAACCAGGGCAATGCAGACCAGACCAGTGTTTGAAAGTCTTTAAAAGTATTATTTGACATCATAAATGACCATTCTGTGGAATAAGCTCTCTAATTCTCTGAGTGGTTTACTTCAGTTAGAGGGATTAGTGAATTAGCTTTGGATTTGCTTATAATTTCCTCTTTTATCTTTTACAAATTAAAAAGTTGGTATCGGCATGTAATGATAGCATCTAAAACATTTATGTTGTGGTGGTTGTATCATAGAAAACATTCTTTAGGATTCAATTATAAGCAGCCTCCTTCCATTAGCATGTCAAGTTTTTCTGAGCAGTTTTATTTGTGAAAAATCAGTACAGATATTTTTATTCATAGCTTGATATCCTTTTTTTTTTTCTTACTCAAATGAATATCTGTTTCCTACCTTTCTCCCTCAAGATGCAGTGGTGCTTTTATTATTTGATTTTGTAAAGCCTGAAGGGCAGAAATATTTCTTAAGTTTTCCATTGTTAACTACAAACTTGGCTATATAAAATATACAAATCATAATATCTGTATGGTTATTTTTATTGTCATTTCTTTAACACACAAAATTTATCACATTTATGCAAGAATTTTTTAACTTAGAAAACTCAAAATTGATATGTAAATTGGGTGGTAGCAACAATGTGTGGGATGTGGTACGTGGCCAATGATGTGTTGGAGGCAGCCCCCACCAGCTCCCAAGATCTAGTGATTAAATTTTCAGAAATTTTGTGAGCCAGTTATCAGTAAAAATTAAACTATATAAACTTACAATTAAATAAATTATTTAAAAACAAAGATAATACTCAAAACTCAGTAATTATGTTTTACTACATTTTATTATCTATGCTCTTGAGGTTATTTGTGTCTCTTGTATCTGTATTGGAAATACTATATAATGGTGTATACTATTGTATATCTCTTCACAACTTCATGTTCATTAACATCATGTTGATAGCTTCAAATTAGCCATGGTAGAAGTATTAACACCATGAAAATCAGCAAACACAACCAATCAGGGGCTGATTTATTGTTTTGCTGATTGTCTAGACTTAAGAAAGTGATGGAAAAAATGTTAATAACACATATTAAAAAGTGTGTTATATCTGGCCGGGTGCGGTGGCTCATGCTGTAATCCCAGCACTTTGGGAGGCTGAGGCAGGCAGATCACAAGGTCAGGAGATCGAGAACCATCCTGGCCAACATGGTGAAACCCCATCTGTACTAAAAATAAAAAATTTGCTGGGTGTGGTGGCGCATGCCTGTAATCCCAGCTACTCAGGAGGCTGAGGCAGGAGAATCGCTTGAACCTGAGAGGCGAAGGTTGCTGTGAGCCATTATGGCGCCACTGCACTCCAGCCTGGTGACAGAGCGAGACTTCATTCCAAAAAAAAAAAAAAAAAAAAAGTGTGTTATATATCTATAACCATTATACTATGAATAGCACCAAAAACTTGAGAAAATATTCTTTCAGGACAGTATTTGAAAACTATTATCTAATTCATTGGAGAAGTGGTTCACGTCACAGACAAGTGAATGACTGAAGTTTGGGCATATGCCTGTGTTTACCTTTTATTTATTAACTAAACAAACCCATCAGCCTTCTACAGCAAAATTGTAAGAATGAGATGTTGCTTCAAGTACATCAGACATTAGATGCTACATACATCAGGAAGCCTTTTATAGTTCTCTTTTGAAAACTGTACTACTCATAATATGCTGTTTCCTACTCACCTATGACCCTAGACTTCCTGTTTGCTCTAATGGTTGCTGTTAAAGGTATGACAAATTCAGCTGTAAAGTGTTTAGTTATCCACATCCATCTCTTTGACCACAAATTACCTAAGAATGGTGTTACACTACTTTTGTGGGAAAAGAGAAACATCATAATACTGGATACATAAAATCATAGCTTTTCCTTTCCTTGGGGGAATAATTCTGTTATCTACCCACTGTTGGGAGGTAGTTTAGATTGGTTAATGTAAGTATCAAGGGGGAAAATGGCTGTATTCAACAGAATTTGTTTCCCTTAATCTTATGGATAGCTTCACAATTCATGATAGCATAGTTATGCAACATATATGAATAAGGATGAAGATGAGTATCATTTGATTAAAGTATAGCTTCTAAGACTTAAATGACCAGAAAGAATTGAACTGCGTTTAAACTCTACCACACACCTGCTCCTTATAGTAGGATAATCTGGTCAAGCCCTTGACTTCAAGGAGCTTGCTAACCCTGGTATTAATTGATGTTTCCCAAACTTTAGTCAACTGAGTATCATCCTCACCATATTTGTTCTATCTCTGTACCGCTTGTACTTTTATTTACTTTGTAATTTTTTAAATTAACTTTTTCTTTTAAACTTAGCTTTATCCTAAGTGATAATACTCATGAAATCTTGGGTTTAAGGTAATAGTTATGTTTTTTCTAGTATCTATTAAAATATTGCCTAACAATTACAATTTTAGAAAGACTTTTCTTTTTACCACCAATGGTATGTCTATTTTGCTTTGGGAACTATTGTGCTAGTGATGATAATAGCTAGGCATTAAGTTAAATTGTCTTGTTTGTTCCTCACATCAATGTGATAAGCGTTGCTCTCTCTATTCAGTAAATGAAGACACCAAAAAATCAGAGAAGTTCAACAACTTGTCCAGGTCATGAGGCAAGCCAGAACTTACCTGGGTAAGGTCCATATGAGCCCTTGGTCCTCACAGCATTCTTAGAGAATCACCCGGGAGCTTTTTGAAAATGCAAAATCTCTGGCCTCACTCCAGACCTCCTGAATCAGAATCTGCATTTGAACAAGATCCTCCAGGTGATTCTCATGCACATTAAAGTTTGAGAAGCACTGAGCTTAACATTTGGGTATTCTGCCTCCCGTAGGAGAAGATGGGTGACTGGGTCATTAGTTTGGTTGTTCTGTGATCTGGTTTGGCTCTGTGTGCCCACCTAAATCTCATGTTGAACTATAATTCCCAGTGTTGTGGGAGGGACCTGGTGGGAAGTGATTGGATCATGGGGGTGAATTTCCCTTTTGCTGTTCTTGTGATAGTGAGTGAGTTCTCATGAGATCTGGTTATTTAAAAGTGTATAGCCCTTTCCGCCTTTGCTCTCTCTCCTGTTCTGCCATGTGAAGATGTGCAGGCATCCCCTTCGCCTCCTGCCACAGTTGTAAGTTTCCTGAGGCTTCCTCAGCCATGCTTCCTTAACAGCCTGTGGAACCGTGAGCCAACTAAACCTCTTTCTTTATAAATTACCCAGTCTCAGGTAGTTCTTTATAGCAGTGTGAGAATGCACTAATACAGTCTCCTTGTCTCTCTGTAGTGTTATTTTCTTCATGCCATGCTATTCTGAGCTGCAACTATTTTTGAGCCATGTGATATTGATGCTAAGGTAGAAGATAATATTCTCAATCCTTTTGATTATTTTTTCTCTCCTAAAGTCATAATTTGTCCACTTTCCTTCCTTCCTTAATTGGAGTACCAGGACTAGCCTGAGGGTCAACATTTATACTCTCTTTTTTTTTTTTAATCCTTGTTTTCTTCCCCAGCAGCCACAGGTCAAGTTCTTGCCCCTTCTAATGGTCTGGTCATTTCTTTTCCTGTCTGCCTGAAACTGGCAGACCCTGAGAACTGTCTACAGGCCTATAGCTAATTCTCAGTTTTTCCTGGATAGTTTTAATAGTATGGATGTCATCCTGACTCTTAGCTTCTTTTCCTTCTCCCACCAGTTCTCTGCCATTCAGCTATTTTACCGCTGCTTTTCTTTTTACTAAGATGTGCCTATCTCTGCATCCATGAGGCCTCTGTTTCCATTCTACCTTGCAGCCATCTGCTTCTCACTTTTGCTGTTGTTGCTCGTAATTGTAAGTTTAATATAAGCAGCAGCCTCAGGAGACCCCATGAAAGCAATCTTCTGGAAACAGTCAAAGTGCTGGGAATTTGATGGTTGGATCTGGGAATATCAATAATGTCTACAACTGATGAATGTAGCTGGCTATAGATTCTGAAGTACTCCAGTGCGTCATCAGCATTTCATGAGTATACTGTCTGTGTGATTTTTTCACAGAGTTTCCCTTTGAATTTTATGTCTGCAGAGTTTCTAAACACTGCACCTGGCTCATACAGTTACAAGCCTTCTTTCTCAGTATTTATATAGTTGTTTATTCAGTCTCCAAGATGATTAGTTATTTGAGATGAGTAGAAGTTGCATCTATTCATGTAATCAGAGCTTGTTTTCTTGCTCACTGGTGGCCAGATACAGGTCATAATAGTATTTTATTTTCTTAACTTTGAATAGCGTTAAAGGGGAGTGGACTCATTTGAATTACAGGAGGTACTGAAAGAAAACTATATTATTCATTACATTTTGTAAAGCAAGGAACAAAGAGGAATAGTTGTTTCCTACCATGGTAATTTCAGACTCTGAAAGATCTGTTTATAAGCCAAATGTAGACATACCTATCCCTAACCCAGATTTTTTTATGGTCTTCAATTTTGTAATTATTTAGAATTGAAGGGTTTTTTTTCCTTTCTGCCACATATTTTTGTACACACCCTTTCTCCCTCCCCTTTCCCATGCTTTTGTTTCCTTGAGAAAAGGAGCGTCCCTCTTAGAGCATAGAATAAACATTCTTTGTGAAGTGTGACTTATTTATGCTTCAGGGGTTGTCAGTGTATACACAATAGAGAAGGTGATGGAGGCTCCGAGGCATGCCAAGTCAGCACTTTGTGCATGTTGAGGCCAAAGAGCATGTTAAGCAGGCTTAAAAAATTTTAACAAGTCAGAACATTTTACAATTTCCATATTTATCAAACATGTCAGGGGATGGGATCACAAAGCCTTCCAGGGATTAACTGCCTCTCTGACTTGAACTGTTTTATTAAGATGGAAGAAGCCAAGTTCTCAACACCCTGTGATTTGCTCTAATAACCACAAGAATCAGAATGTAGGTGATCCTTGCTGAATGAAAGCAATCCTAAGGCTAAATGCTCTTTGAATGGGGAAAAAAAAAAACTCTCTCAACAGATGAACTATGTGTGAAACTTTCTAACAGAGCTTAGGAGTTTGAAGTTTATTTACCTAGAGCTTCAGTTTTATTAATTCTCTGGTTGGTGGTTCTTGACCTTTGACACCCAAGGACTTAGACTGTGAAGCCTAAATAGAAGGCATTCAGAAACCTGAAGACATTCTCAAAGAGGGGTGGCCATTGGCTTTTTTGGGGTTGGCAAAACATCCTAGAGTTATTATTTGTTTTTACATGTTTGGGGTTTGGCAGATCCTAAGATGCATTTTGCCAAGCACTTTCCTTTGAATTTTAGTACAGGAATATCTTGGGTGGAATTTAATTCGTGATTCATTTGCATTATACTGATCAGAATGCCATTTTGGAAAAGATATCTGATGACTGAGAAATATTAGGAGATTTACAATTTTTAAGTACCAACTTTTTCTTAGATGGGAAGAAAAATGGAATTCAAGCCCCAATTATTTTCAGTGAGATTTGGAACTTGGAATCTTGAACTAAGTAGTAGTTTCCAAATGTGTCTGTATTACTTTCTCTACAAAAGCGAACCAGACTACTTCCCTGGCTTGATCTGCAAATCTTTAGAAAAGTTACAGAGCTGATATGCAACCTTGGGCTGGTATTTAATTTGAAAACTAATGTTAAAAAGGCTTTCTGATAAGTAAGTAGGGAGAGTAACCCTCTTCTGAAGAAATAGATTGGAATTAAAAAACAAACTAAGACTAAGCATAAGTGAGATCTTGGGTTTGAAAGCCAAATTGCCAAAGATGGCAAAACCCCTAGAGGGCTAAAGTTATGTGAAGTGCCATGAGGTAGCTTTTCCATTACTGTTTGCAGAAAAGGTTGTAAAAGAAGGAACTGTGCTGAAACTTTACAAATGAGTACCAAACCATAAACTTTTTAAAGAACAGGGAAAGCACATAGCTAAATATGGTACCCAACATTATTGCCCATCAGGCTGCAACAAAGCATGATGACAAAAACAGGTTTTTTCTTGTCTACTGTCAGCTTCCTATTGTTTGTAACTGGCCCAGGAAAAGCAGTGCCAGCAACTCAAATGACTGCTCTCACTGTCTTCTTGAGAAAACAGCAGTGCAAGCAAGCGTCCATCAGGAAAAGAAAGAAGCATTTTAAACAAATTTACATGGATATCTTTAGGTTCAAATTATTTTGAAACCAAAGGATATGAAGTGTTGGGAATTCTAGTTCTGAATTCTATAAATCAGTGTAAGGAGAAGGACAGTGTGATAGAGACTCTTTTATTTGCTTCAAATAGTGGGGTGAATAAGTTATAAGAGTATCACTGGGCCAGTGTTGATGATTTTCTTTTCTCTCTTGTTCCCCATGTTCTTCAAACTGCTTAAAAGTCAAAACACAAGATGTATTTTGAGTTCTTGACCTTATCCTGGCCCTGACTTAGTTTGTCAGAATATTAGGTTGTCTACAGAGATCCACCCTGGTTTCCATCTAAATTTTTTTAGATTTTGGTCAACTTTCTATATCTTTATTTAAATAACTGTAAGTATTCCTTTCAGTATAATAAAAATTTATGTTTTTCTTCTTCTTAAACTTTGGTCCTTGTCCTTGTTACTTTAAAACAGAGAACTTAGTAAAGATAACTTTTTCTTTTATTTCTCATTTTTCTCTTTCTCTCTCTATACCCCTCTTTGCTTGCCCCCGCCCCCAACCTTGTCTCTTTCTTACTGGCTATAATCTAATTAGTGAATGCTTATCAATGACCAATGAGAACATTGTCACATTTTACATTTTGCTTGTTACTGAACTGTAATCTCTGTTGCAGAAAGCAGGATTTTTGTGAGGTTGAAAGGAAAGTGTGGCATCCCATGAGTCTGATGCTATTACGTTTTAGAAAATTGAAATGACTGGCCAGGCGTGGTGGCTCACGCCTGTAATCCCAGCACTTTGGGAGGCCAAGGCGGGTGGATCACCTGAGGTCAGGAGTTTGAGACCAGCCTCATCATGGAGAAACCTCGTCTCTACTAAAAATACAAAATTAGCCAGGTGTGGTGGTGCATGCCTGTAATCCCAGCTACTCGGGAGGCTGAGGCAGGAGTATTGCTTGAACCTGGGAGGCAGAGGTTGTAGTGAGCCAAGATCGCGCCATTGCACTCCAGCCTGGGCAACAAGAGCGAAACTCTGTCTCAAAAAAAAAAAAAAAAAAAAAAAAAAAGAAAAGAAAATTGAAATGACTTACTACATTATTGAGAGCATATCTTAGCTTTGGATAATAAAGAATATAGATAAACATTTTAAGAGCAGCTCTTGTTTCATACTTCTTATCTCACACACAGTGCCTTTTACACAATAAGGGCTGAATAAAATTGTTACCCATTTTAGTTCAGTTAATTTTTGAATGTGAGGGCAGATCATTTAATTCCGTATCTTAATATATAATCCAGGACTGGTGAATAATACTTCCTGCCAAAAATCCATTAACCTTACAGGAAACAAAACCCAGTGAGGATCATAGAAGTAAAAATAACTTAATTTAGATTTCATAAGTTGTTATTTTTTTAGAGAAAAGCATAAAATGTTCTGTACCTGCACATTTGAAAATAAAATCAAGAAGCAAAACATTCTCATGAGTAAGAATATGAAACAATAATTTGAAAATACCAAAACTCAGTATTTATTACTGTTCTACAGTAGATATTAGTGACTAGGGAAAGGACAAGGTGGCTATGGGGTAGTAGAAAAGGGAGCCAGATATGCAAACCTTTGGGGATGATGATTTAACTGCTTCATGACAGTTAAGAAAAGATTTATTTTTTTTAGGGTTTAAAATTACTATATTTAAAAATATATAAATATTTGAGTTTTTTCCTCAAGTCTGGAAGCAGAAGCATTCCTCAGTCTTTCTCTCCTTCGACATGGCAGCAACAGCAACAGCAGCAGCAGCCACCGCTGCTGCCACGGCCCTGGCTCCACCTAGGGAAATTGCAGAAGACCCTATCTCATTCTAGTGAGGAAGGTTCTATGAAGTAGATAGTTCATCTTGTAGACTTTTTAGACCATTGCTGTAAAAGACTTTTATATTTTTTATTTTTTGAGACAAGGTCTCACTCTGTCACCCAGGCTGGAGTGCAGTGGCACAATCATGGCTCACTGCAGCCTTGACCTTTCGGGCTCAAGCAATCCTCTCACTTCAGCCTCCCAAGTAGCTGGGACTACATGCACATGCCACTCTGTCAGCTAATTCTTTTTGTAGAGACAAAGTCTGACTTTGTTGCCCAAGCTGATCTTGAACTCCTGGGCTTAAGTGATCCTCCTGCCTTGGTCTCCGGAAGTTCTGGGATTATAGATGTGAGCCACCATGCTTGGCCCTAAAACTTTTAGAGCCATCTTCAAATGTTGTGATTGTCTAGCTGGACATGGTGGCTCATGCCTGCAATCCCAGCACTTTGGGAGGCCGAGGCTGGTGGATTGCTTGAACCCAGGAATTGGAGGCCAGCCTGGGCAACATGGTGAAACCCTGTCTCTGCAAAAAATTTAAAATAGTTGGGGATGGTGGCGCAGCCTATAGTCCCAACTACTCTGGAGGCTGAGATGGGAGGATCGCTCGAGCCCAGCAGGCTGAGGCTGCAGTGAGCTGTGATCATGCCACTGCACTCCAACCTGGGCGACAGAGTGAGACCCTGTCTCAAAACCACCCCACCTCCCAAAAATGCTGTGGTTTTCTGTATAAAATGGGACTAACTATTGACACTTCTTTATAAATCAGATAAAATTATATTGAAGTCCAGTTTAAGCTCATTGGATGAAGGATATTGCATTTCAGTGTAGTGTTTATAAGAAGTCTACTTTAAAAATATATTTTTAAAAATGATTGTAGGATCCTGTTTTTTTGTTTTGTTTTGTTTTTTGCTTTTTGTTTTTTTTTTTATTCTAACATTTCCTATGTTCCCACAATATTAAGAGACCATTTCACATCACAGTCTCACTGCTGGAGACTTTTACTATAATATATATTTATCTAAATAAGGTTTTATTTATTTGTAGCTGCATAAATAAGGTTTCTACTTAGAAGGAAGCCTCTTGAGAGCCTATATTTGTTTTTTGTACATTTTAAACTTCTGTTCTTTAACACCAGAAAGCAAAAGAATGAATAGCAGGTGAACAACTCTAAAAAAGTAGAGATAACAAGTAGAAGGAAAATAATGTTTATGAGAAGAAAAGTGGTCTTGTTATTGAGGGAGCCAAGCTGCTAAACAGAGTGGGAAGAGAACATTTGTTCAGTCTCTACTTGCTGGGGCAATAAAGCCTTCTATCTGCCCCTGTTCTGTGTAAAATCCTGTTAATATTAGATATTTTAAATTTATGATGATAAAAGAAATGTGCACCTTTTGTGGGAAATTCGAAAAGAACGAGGAAAAATAAAGAAGGGCAACCACCTCTAACACCACCACCCAGAAATAATGACAGCTTTCAAGTGTGTTTCTTTCTAATCTTTTCTGTGTAATTTAACATAATTGAAATTATACGGAATAAACAGTTTCTTGGCCTGCTATTGTTTTCATGGACTACAATTTTGTACTCTCATTTTGAGTAATTATAATGTGCCAGGCACTGTGTTAAACATTTTACAAATATTAATATTATCTCTTCTCAGCACTATGAGGGTGGGTATAGTTATACCTTGAGCTTATATTTCAGGGAATGTCTACAAATGAGTCTACTGCTTTAAGTAGGCTTCACTGTATGAAGAAAATGCAGACAGCAGAAAAGAAAGCTAGACGTTTTTCATGGATGCTTCTTTCTTTCTTTTTCTTTTTTTTAGGTTTTATTTTGGAGGGAAGGAAGAAGAACCTGTCTTCTTTAAAAAATGAAATATTTTTAACCGAAATGTTATCTAGTGTTTAGTGTGTCAACAAGTTCTAAATTGTGGAAAAGTCTTATCAGAAGAAAGGCTGCTTTGAAAACGATATGGAAATATTTGTTGGGTGTTCACTCCTTCAACGTCTAAATGAAATACACTGGGGAGTAACTGAATTTTACAGTATTTAGATAGCTACATAGTGAGCAATCAAAACATTCTTTAAGTATTTAATAAGAGGTTAAGATCGGCCCGCCTAAAGCTTATATAATAGAACTGAGTCAGTGATGATGAGCATTTTTTCATGTGTCTGTTGGCTGCATAAATGTCTTCTTTTGAGAAATGTCTGTTCATATCCTTCGCCCACTTTTTGATGGGGTTGTTTGTTTTTTCCTTGTAAATTTGTTTGAGTTCTTTGTAGATTGTGGATATTAGCCCTTTGTCAGATGAGTAGATTGCAAAAATTTTCTCCCGTTCTCTAGGTTGCCTGTTCACTCTGATAGTAGTTTCTTTTGCTGTGCAGAAGCTCTTTAGTTTAATTAGATCCCATTTGTCAATTTTGGCTTTTGTTGCCATTGCTTTTGGTGTTTTAGACATGAAGTCCTTGCCCATGCCTATGTCCTGAATGGTATTGCCTAGGTTTTCTTCTAGGGTTTTTATGGTTTTAGGTCTAACATTTAAGTCTTTAATCCATCTTGAATTAATTTTTGTGTAAGGCAATCAGAGAAATGCAAATCAAAACCACAGTGAAATATCATCTCACACCAGTTAGAATGGCAATCATTAAAAAGTCAGGAAACAACAGGTGCTGGAGAGGATGTGGAGAAATAGGAACACTTTTACACTGTTGATGTGATTGTAAACTAGTTCAACCATTGTGGAAGTTGGTGTGGTGATTCCTCAGGGATCTAGAACTAGAAATACCATTTGACCCAGCCATCCCATTACTGGGTATATACCCAAAGGAATATAAATCATTCTGCTATAAAGACACATGCACAGATATGTTTATTGCGGTACTATTCACAATAGCAAAGACTTGGAACCAACCCAAATGTCCAACAATGATAGACTGGATTGAGAAAATGTGGCACATTTACATCATGGAATACTATGCAGCCATAAAAAATGATGAGTTCATGTCCTTTGTAGGGACATGGATGAAGCTGGAAACCATCATTCTCAGCAGACTACCGCAAGGACAAAAAACCAAACACTGCATGTTCTCACTCACAGGTGGGAATTGAACAATGAGAACACTTGGACCAGGAAGGGGAACATCACACACTGGGGCCTGTTGTGGGGTGGGGGGAGCGGGGAGGGATAGCATTAAGAGATATACCTAATGTAAATGACGAGTTAATGGGTGTAGCACACCAACATGGCACATGTATACATATGTAACAAACCTGCACATTGTGCACATGTACCCTAGAACTTAAAGTATAATAAAATATATATACATATGTATAAAGTAATAGAAATGAGTCCAGGAATCAGTAACTTGGATACTTTGTTAGCTGTTCGAGACCCTGGGCCAGGCCAACACTTCCTAAAGGTGCCAGAGCACACAGAGAGCATAGAGATTGCACTGATTGCAAACCTATCCAAGGGCCCCAGCTCCTCTGCTAACACCCAAGGCCTCTCCACCTGTTTTTCTCCGAGTTGCTCGTCACCCTGTCCTTTACCTTCTAGATTCCCCAGGGCTCCTGGTCTCCTTGGAATTAAGACTTTGAGATTTTGTTGTAAGAGTTTCCAAACAATTCTTCACAATATCTCTTGGGTTTGTCCTTGTTTATCCAGGCCTTTGTTACTCCCACAGCCTCCTTGCCAGCCTTTTTGATGCATCCTTTGCTGCTCACTGCCTTAATACCCATGCCATCTCCAGGTCTGTATTTCTAAAACATTTCTCTTGTGTCATTCCTCTGCTCCAAGAAGGCCTTGAATGTCAAGCCTGTTTTTCAGCTTGTCTTTTGAGGTCTTCTGTAATCTGGCTGTACACAACCTTACACTTTTATTTCCGGCTCCAACGTAAAGCTTCCTATGAAGTCCAGTGGTGTGAATTTCAACTTGTATACCTTGATTGTATTTTTCACAGGTCTAGAAAATCCTTACTTTACAATTTATTTAAATCTTTCTAATCTTAAGTTCTATTTTTTCTATGAAGTATTCCCTGATTCAGTCTACCTAGGTCTTTTCTTTCTCTGTACTTCTCTTACAGGCAGTATCATAAAGATGAAGTCATGTTTTTATGGAAGCCATTTTTCCCCAACGAGATTATAGCTGTGATGGTAAAGCTGGTACCCTTCAAAAGCTTATTCCTTTCCTTTCCCTTTCCCTTTCTTCTGTTTTCTCTTTTCTTTTTTCTTTTCTTTTCTTTTCTACCTCTGTCCTCTTCCCCATCACCCCCTTGATATTAACATCATTGCACTATATATCCTTTTCCTCCCATCATCTTTCATTTTCTCCTGACTCATCAATATACCAGCATAACATAGGATGTATCATTTTTTAGTCGACAACAAAAAGATTTTATTTTTTTCTTCATAGCATTGCATAATATATTTTCATGTAATACAGTTTTGAATCCTACAGAAAAATATGAAGAAATAAAAGTACCTGAAGAGCCATCACTGTGAGTAGTCCACCATCAAAATTTTGATAACTGTCTTTTTAGGCATCTCTATTCACACGCATGTGTGTGTGCTCACACATCGACATGAGTACCATACTGCTTTCTCATGAATATCTTTTTTAAAATGCAGATTTTTTTTGGAGAAGGAAGTTTACCTGCCCTCTTCTCTTCCCCCTCTCCCCACCATCTCTTAACGCATTTATGTTAACAAGCTGTGTGTTTTTGCATTCATCAAACCCATTTTATTATATGCAAATACATTATATATAATGGTATAAATGGGGAGGGGGAGTGTGTTTTGCCAAAATGGGATCACCTTATATACAGTTATTTGGATCTTGCCTTTTTTTTTATTTATTTATAATTATATGTTAAGAAAATCCTTCTAAGAAAACATTTTATATCCAACTCCAGGAGAAATATTAAAAAGGGAAAAATTTGATTGGATGAGCAGATATTAAATATATATATATCAATAAGATTTTCTCTGTACCATTAAATAACTAACTTTAAAAAATAAAGAATAATTGTCATTCATAGTAGTGTCAAAAATCTTTAAAATGCCTAAGAATAAACTAAAAGGGAAAGTTACCAGATTTCTAGAATCCTGATTTTCTTAAAAACTGGATAAAATAATGTTAAAATTTATATAGAAAAATTAATATTTGAAAAGAACCAAGAAGTTCATGAAAAAGATTATCTACTTCTTAAATTTAAATAAAAACATATATTGCCTGTTTTCTTGGCACTACTAAATTATTCTACAACATGACTTAATGACTGCAGAGTATTTCAACATCGGAATGTACTCTCATTTATTTTACTAGTCTACTTTTGAAATTTAGGTTGTTTGTTTGTTTTCAACATATATATTTTTGCTATATAAATATGCTGTAGGGAATAGCCTTATGGACAAATTCTTATATACAACCCTGGTTGTTTTTATAAAATAAAAACCTAGAAGTGAAATTGCTAGGTGAATTTTCACATTTTTAAAACTT
This sequence comes from Homo sapiens, assembly GCF_000001405.40. NCBI lineage: Eukaryota > Metazoa > Chordata > Mammalia > Primates > Hominidae > Homo > Homo sapiens. The sequence goes on from NC_000014.9 coordinate 68,051,543, forward strand.
TTGCCACAGGAGTGCTCATTATTGCACTTTGCTAATAATAGAGTTTGTTAATCTAATTTTTTTTTTTTTAAGAGTCAGGATCTTGCTTTGTTGCCCAGGCTGGAATATAGTATAAGCATGATCATAGCTCACTGTAACCTCAGACTCCTGGGCTGAAGCAATCCTTCCCCTTCAGCCTCCCAAGTAGCTAGGACTACAGGTGCACATGACCATGCCTGGCTAATTTTTTTCATGTAATTTTGTAGAGATGGGGTCTCACTGTATTGTCCAGGCTGGTCTTGAACTCCTGGCCTCAAGCGATTCTCCCATACGCATATATATCCTCCCACATATGTGTGTGTGTGTGTGTGTGTGTGTAAAATGCAGTGTTTTTAGGAAAAATATAAAGAGGTCAACTTACTAGCTTTCAAAACTAAGAAGAAAAGAAGAACACTCCCTTGAGGTTTAAGGCATTTTGACATGTAAATTGTACACCAATAGATAGGCACATTACATGTAATAACCAGACCATAGACTCTTAATTTTGTTGAACATGCCCAAAAGCTCTGTGTCTCTTTATCTCAGTCTGCTTCAGTCACTAGGGCAATGAGGACATTAACTATCACATCTTGAAGTAACTTACAAACAACACTTTGACATTTGGAGCATTCTATACCAGAAATCTCTTAAATTACAATTTGTTTCTTAGGTCTAGCATGAGTAACACCATCAAAGTGTATTTCTTTGGCTTCTGCTATAATCAACAATAATAGTAATAATAACTAACATTTAATATATACAACAAATGCTGTGTCAGGCACTGTGCACTGTAACTGAGGTGGTATATTTACTTTTTTTTTTTTCTTTTTTTAACTGATGAGGAAACTTACCCGTAAGAGCATTTAACTAATTTGCCAAGCCAGCAAGTGAGGATAGAGCCCTGGAGTTGGTCCCATTACCACTATAATCACTTCCTCTAGTCATTCTTTCCTTACTCCAAAGTTTACTTCATCATCTCTAGCCATTTCTAGATACCTTTATTCTTTTCTTCTCTTGATGTCTTCATTTTATCTGTCTCACTTCCATGACTTCTTCTTCTTCTTCTTCTTTTTTTTTTTGGATGAGGTCTCACTCTGTTGCCCAGGCTGGAGTGCAATGGTGCCATCATAGCTCACTGCAACCTCTGCCTCCGAGGCTCCAGCGATCCTCCCACCTCAGCCTCCAGAGTAGCTGGGACTATGGGTGTGTGCCACCATGCCTGGCTATTTTTTTGTGTTTTTTTTTTTTTCTTTTGTAGAGACAGGTTTCACCACGTTGGCCAGCCTGGTCTTAAACTCCTGAGCTCAAGCAATCTGCCTGCCTTGGGCTCCCAAAATGCTGAGATTACAAACGTGAGCCACCGTGTCCGGCCAATTTCTTGTATGGATACCAAACTGTGTCTTATCCTGCCTCTTTTAGTTCTATGTCTTATCACCCATTAGTTTTACAGGTAGCCATATTTATATTTAACCTACGCAAACTTGATCTTCATCTGCAGAAAAAGGGAATCAAATCTACTGCTCATTTCATTGGAAAGAATATTTATTTATCTTGATGTTTAATCGAGCTGTGGGCTCTGCCTTTTAAATACTGATTAGTTCTCCAATAGAACAGTTCTTTTGGGAACTGGGAAGCTTTTATTTTAGACATTTAGGGTATAGTTTTGAATTAAAGGCTATTTTTCCATAAGCGGTTCTGAAAGGTTAAGTTTTGTACGAAAGAATGGGCTCTAGAAATTTACTTTGGAACTTAGATCACTTCATTGGGAATGCCTAAGTGAATCTTTGACATAAGTTGTCCAGGTGTCTTTGCTTTATTCTTTGGAATGAAAAAATGTATGGGTCAAACAGAACCCATCTGTTTGGAATATCTTTAGTATCCAGACTCTGACCTCCATGTTTTTGGTTGTGAGAATGTCAGCATAGTACCTGGCTTCTAGAAAATGCTCTATAAATATAAATTGCCTGGGTGAATAACTGAATTAATGAGTGACTTAATGATAGAGACTGAGAATGAGAAGATAGAATGGTTGTTCTGGAAGTGATTGCTTCTCTCCAGCTAAGCCTTTAACTCTGGGCTGTACCATCAGTAGTCCTTGCATACTGAAGTCAGACTTTTCTGGTCAAGAAGAACCTTTTAGGTTCTTGATAAAATACCTTTTATTCTTAATTTTCCTGTAAGTACCTGAATGTATTATCTTGAATAACTCCAATTCAGGTCCTTAGATTCCTCACGTTACTTGAAATTCTTTGTTTCCTCTAAGAGTTCACTGTATCTCACAAATATCCTGATATAATTCTGTTGGTAAATATTGATCTCACTTTGCTCTGAGATCAGGCTGATGTATATGTGTGGTAGGTAATAATCCCTATTTAGGCTGATACATTGTTCACATATGCACATATTATAATACACGCAAACATACAGAAATACACACTTTTTCCCTCTGAATTTTTGGAATTGAAGACATGATACTCCTTTATCCTTAAATGTTTCCATGCATGTTTCCTGAAAACAAGGACAGTCTCTTATACAAACATGATGTAATTATCAAAACCAGGAAATTAACATTGATACAATACTATTATCTAGTCTGCAGACTGTATTTGGGTTTTTCCAGTTGTTCCAGTAATGGCCTTTATAACAAGTTAAAATCCCTGAGCATGTGTTGCATTCACTTGTCATGCCTCTTAATCTTTAGTCTGGAACAATTTATTCTTTGTCCCCTGCAACTTGACATTTTTTATGAGTGTAGGCTTTTTATTTTATAAAAAGCTGCTCTTTTGATTTTCTCTAATGATTTCTTATTATTAGATTCAGGTTATGAATTTGGGGAAGTAACACCACAGAATTGATATTTTGTTTTTATCTGTTGTTATGTAAAACTATGAATTCATATTGATAACTACAATTTCCTTTCAGCATCACACTATTCATTCTGTGATTCCTCCCTTCCATGTTTTTAGCTTCCTTCTTCAACAGCAAGAAGCCTGGTTCCATTACCCTCAATAAATTTACTTATTTACTCAATCCTAGATATGAAAAAGCAACTTCAGAATTGCTAACCCATACATCTTTAAAAAGGAATCCTGTTAACTAGTATTCAGTATTTGTTTAGGGTGCTTTTTGGTTTTAGTCTGAGGACATATAGTGTAAATACTATCTTTAAATAAAGTTACTTGGGTTAGTTTTTCGTTCTCTCTTCTACCCCCAACTCTGTCCGTTGGAAGCATAGGCAAGACAACCTGGGGCTTGTGATTGATCATCAGAAGTTTGGTGGGGGGCGGTTGGTCTTGGGGACTGAGCCCTCAAACTATGGGATCTGACACTATCTCCAGGTAGAGTCAGAATTAAACTGAAGTAGTGGACACCCAGCTGGTGTCTACTAAAGAACCGATTGCTTGCTTGGTGTGTGGGGGGAAAATCCCCACACATTTGGTCACAGAAGTCTTCAGTGTTGATGGTGGTGTGAAAACAGAAGAAAAACAGTTTGTGTTTTTCCACTCAGTGTATTATAATAATCCCCCTTAACAATTTAGGAATAAACTGATATTCCTGACAAGCAAAAATAACTTATCTAAACATGTAATCATTTGGGCTTTAGTTTTCACATTCATAAAAATGAAGGCATTGGTCTAGGTGATCTGTAATGTGCTTTCCATCCTTAATATTTTTGAAAAAATATCTGTGACATGTTCAGTATAGCTAATTTTGATTAAATAAACATATTTTAAACCTATTTTTAGAACCAGTTTTGGGGAGAATTTTTGCCTTTAGTGATAGAGAATTTTTCCCTTAATGTAGGTAGTAAATGTTATAAGATTATATTGTTTATCTACAAATCAGCAAGTATAACCAGGGTTCTGAATTCTCATGTCATATGTAAATCAGTAACCTTTCAGAGATTAAATGAGAGCAATCATGTGATAGCAGCAGCAAAAGATCAATATGCAATGCTAGATATAGAAATCTTCTTGTATCTTTAATATATATCTTAATTTTAGTCCTTGTATTACTGATCTTGTGCCATGTAACAAATTAACTCAAAACATAGTGATTAAAAACAACATTAATATGTATGAGCACTCATAGTTTCTGGCTGGGTACTTCTAGCATTGGATCTCTCATGAGGTTTCAGTTAGATATAGGTTAATGAAACACGCATCTGACAGCTTGACTGAGCATGGAAGATCTTCTGTGTTGGTCACTCGTAGGCTGGCATGTTGATGCTTATTCTTAATGCTGGCTCTACACAGTGAGCAAAGAGACCTAGTGTTAGAAGTCACAAAACGTGAGTTTTATATTCCATTGGTCACACTGACCAACTCCAATTCAATATGGAAGAAAAACTACCCAAGAGCATGAGCATCACTGGGAGTCATCTTGGAGGCTGGGTTTTAGTGTCTGTCCTTGTTTTTGTTTTCAGTAGAAGAAATGACTTTTTTAGTGCCCTTGAAATAATTGCTAAAATGGTCCTCAATGAGATATAATCCTTTTGCACAGATAATGGTACATTTTTTTCTTACTAGAAACTAGAGCTTACTTACTATATTTACTTACTAGTCCTAGAGCTCAGTGTTATTTGCTAAAGAAAAGTTTTCTTTTGTTTTGTTTTTGAGACAGGGTCTCGCTTTGTCACCCAGGTTGGAGTGTAGTGGCAAGATCTTGTCTCACTGTAAACTCTGCCTCCCAGGCTCAAGTGATCCTCCCACCTCAGCCTCCCAAGTAGCAGGGATGCCACCATGCCTGGCTAATTTTTTGTATTTTTAGTAGAGATGGGTTTTTCTCATGTTGGTCAGGCTGGTCTCTAACTCCTGAGCTCAGGTGATCCACCCGCCTCGGCCTCCCAAAGTGCTGGGATTACAGGTGTGAGCCACCACACCAGGACTTAAAGAAATATTTGTGGGGCTAGGTGCAGTGGCTCATGCCTGTAGTTCCAGCACTTTGGGAGGCTGAGACAGGCGGATTGCCTGAGCTCAGGAGTTTGAGACCAACCTGGGCAACACGGTGAAACCCTGTCTCTACTAAAATACAAAAAATTAGCCAGGCGTGGTGATGTGTGCCTGTAGTCCCAGCTACTCGGGAGGCTGAGGCAGAGAATATCTTGAATCCGGGAGGCAGAGGTTGCAGTGAGCCGAGATCACACCACCACACTCCAGCCTTGGCGACAGACCAAGACTCCGTCTCAAAAATAAATAAATAAATAAAAATAATAAATAAAATAAGAAATATTTACGGCCAGGCGCGGTGGCTCACACCTGTAATCCCAACACTTTGGGAAGCTGAGGCGGGTGGATCACCTGAGGTCAGGAGTTCGAGACCAGCCTGGCCAACATGGCGAACATGGTGAAACCCTGTCTCTACTAAAATTACAAAAAATTAGCCCACCATGGTAGCAGATGCCTATAATCCCAGCTACTCAGGAAGCTGAGGCAGGAGAATTGCTTGAACCTGGGAGGCAGAGGTTGCAGTGAGCTGAGGTTGTGCCATTGCACTCCAGCCTGGACAACAAGAGTGAAACTCCGTCTCAAAAAAAAAAAAAACAAAGGAAGAAGGAAATATTTATTGGGTTGGGTGGAGTAGGCTCAGAGCCATGAATGTTCCAAATGATAGTAAAATTGGATCTCAGCTTCCTATTTTATGGCAAACGAGGTGATTACTGGTAAAATAAATGAATAAATAAAAAATAATAAAAATAAAGCCTTTAAAGAGAAAATGTAATAGTTCTTTCCAATGATCTTTAGATTTTTTACCATAATCATCAGAATTATCTTTGATGGTTTCTAAAATGTGTTGTATTAATGTATAATGTAAACTTTAATAAATGTGCTTTTAAATGCCAGTTGCTGACATTAAAATATATCTATAATGAAGTTCAAAGATAAATGGAACTTTCTGAAAACTCCTTTGCAAGTTAATTTAGATATAGGAGGTAGGATTTGAAAACAGGATCACATTATAAACTCAATAGTCCTAGAATTATTATTTAATATATAAAAGATATCAAAATGCATTTGTAAACATTTGAAAGATAACAGAATTGGAAAATTATTGTTCATTTAATACAAAAATGCTTTCAGAATCTCTTAGCTTTTTTTGTCATTTACTAGAAAAATTGCTGGTTTCTGTATTTTTTCTTTTTCTTCTTCTAACTTTTTAATTTATTATACATCATTGTACTAACAGTAAAGGAAATTTAAATGATGAAAATAAAATCTGCCATCTTATCAAGTTCAATGTGACTGTAACCTTTTAGTTCTTTGTGTGTGTGTGTGTGTGTGTGTGTGTGTGTGTGTGTTTGGTTGGCTTTTATTGATGTATATAAAAAGATTACAGACAGCAAGAGAAGATAATCAGAGGCCTTTTCGTTCTTATCAAATTAAGTTGCTTTATAGTTGTATTTTTCTTTTATATTTTAATATGCATTTGTAATTGATAGAGGAAAGAATTTGTCTTTCCTCTGTCTCCTCTAATTTTGTGCCAAGGAAAATCTGGCACAGAATTAATCAAATTTTTGCCTAATTTTTATCATGATATAATTAAAAAATTGAGTATATGATACTCAATTTTATCTTTATTGTATTTTATTAGCAAGGGCTTATTTATTAATGTATACTAGGTTTTGGAGAATGACTTTCAAGTATAATCTGTTTATTTATTCACAATTGGTTTACCAGTTTCCTGATGTTTCTGTCCCTTTGCATTTTTGGTCACATACCTTTGACCCTTTTTGGCCTTTCCAGTAGAGGCCAACTATAGATGGAGAAAAAATTCAATGCATCATTTGCCTTCCAGTTTAATCAGTAGAGTAGGCAATACGTGTACATTTTTTGTTTGTTTTTTAAAAGTCTCTCTGCCATGACATTTCCAATCCCCTAGCTCCCTCTTTACCACTGTTATCAGTCTCAGAATTATACTTCCAAAGATAATCTGTGCACAAACAAGCATGTGTAGGCATATCTGTTTTTCTTGTACACAGTTAGTTGCATATCATACATACTCTTTTGCACCTCACTTTTTTTACTTATAAATCTGACTCATTTTTTAAGGTTGTATAGTATACCATCATATCTCTTTGGTATCATTTCTTTAACCAAACATTATTGCTGGACATTTAAGTTATGTTTTGATTGTTAGTGAACAATGCAGTATGTATATCCTTTTAAATTCTTAGTGTATATATGTGAGATTATCTGTGAGATGAATTCTGAAAAACGTAATTTCTAGTCAAAGAACAGTGCACATTTAAAATTTTGTTAGATTCTATGAAATTGCCTAAGAAGTTGAACCAATTTATATTTCCACCAATAACACATAGGCATATTCTTTTGCCAACACCTGCCAATTGAAGATATTTCAAGGGCCAGCATTTGATGTCATACAAGAGACATCAAATATACCACTTAGTGAAAAATACTTTGTTCTATCCCAAAGAAAACTATTGATAACCCCTCTAAGCCTCCACCCTCCTAACTTTTTTTTCTTTCATGGGTTATTCATGGCTAGTGTCCTCTTCCAGCAAGCTTAAGCCCCCAAATCAGTCCCTTTCTTTTGTCCTCCACATCACTTATGCGTGATCCCAATTGGATTTCACCTCTGCATTTAGTACCTCCTTTCCATTTCCACTGCCACTGCCCTAATTCTGGCCTACTTATAACATCTTTGGATTATTACAAAGCCAACTAATCTTCCGTTAAAAAAATTCTCCCTTCTGTAATTCCTTCTCCCAAGTGCTGTAGTTATCTTCACAAGATCTGAGTATGTAACTGCATTACTTTTTAACTATTTCTTACCCACGCCTAGAGTTTTCACGTTGACCTTCAAGACACAATGGCCTGGCCTTACCTTTCCTTTTCAACTTTATTACCCACTACTCTCTCTCATGTCTTCCTTGCATGCACACATAGCTGCAATTATTCTGGATTTTTCATCATTTCCTGGATAGCCCTCCATTTTCCTGCGTAATCCCTTTGCTTTTGTTATTTGTAACATATGCCCGTAATATTCCCTTTTGCATTTCTGCTAGGTGGAATTCTACTTTTTAAAACTTAGGTCATATACGACTCCTTCCATGACATCCTGTTTCCCTGGCCAAAAGTAGTTTTTTCTATATGCGTCATAATAATGTATTTTGAGATATTGCTAGTATCAAACATATTTCATTATGTATTTTAGTTGTACATGTCTTTTTCCCTCAGGAGATCACAATCACTTTGAGAGCAGTGGCAATATCATATCCATTTTCATATACTTCTCTATCCCACACATAATGTATGTTTCTAGTAAACTGAATTATAAATCCTGTATTTAAAATTTTTTATTTTATAGTGATTTTAGAGTTTTCCTCTTTGTTACAGTTTTTAGAATGCTTTAAAAGATTTAAAAGTTTAGTATGTGCAGAGAAGAATGTCTGAATTAAAACCTGAAATATCTTTCAGATTCAGTGCCAGAAAGGCAGTGTGATGCCAGAGGAAGAATAAGGTCTTGGAAGTCATGTATATTTAGACAAGAGTCCCAGTGCCATGACCACTTTTTAGCTATGATTATATAAAAACCCGAACCTTTTTCCTTGTCTTTAAAATGAGGTGACTGGAGTAGGTCAGTGTTTCTTAACACATTTCTGTTATAAAGCATATGCCAGATTATATGTATGCACATGTTCCCATCAGCATACTTAGATTTTGATAGAAGATAAAAGAATTAAAATGTTTTAATTTTAATTGGATTTTGTAGTTACCACAACTATTTCTGCTATACTTGGTATAGCAGTAAGTGGCCGACTTCAGAATGCAGCACAGGAAAGATAGATTGCTAGTTATATGTGAGCCTCTCTCTTGCTTCCCAGTGAGCTGCAGCTACTTTCTCAGAATGCAAGTGGGTTAGTGAGGTTGTTATAGGAATAACTTTGAATGTAATCTAAGTTATGCAGACATTAATCAAAACAGTCATAGTATTTTAATTATTTATAGGAATAAATTACTTCTTACAGTTGATCTTGGCTCCTGATCTTGTTACATTGTTATGAGCTGCTGAACAAGAAGATCTTGAAATTTTCGTCCAACTTTCCAATTCTGATTGTTTATTCTCCTTTCCAAAGTATAGTTGGGAATAAGAAGACACTGAAAGTTTTCAGCAGTTCTTTTTGACCTGGGCTTATGGTAACGTAATAGGGGAAAAAATGCTTTCAGTTAAAGTAATTGGACATCTAATTAGCATTTCCTATTGAAGGTTAAATATTAAATATTTTTCCCAGCACCATTTATTGAGAAGACAATTCTTTTCCCAATGTGTGTTTTTAGTGCCTTTGTCAAAAATTAGTTGGCTATAAATATGTGGATTTATTTCTGGGTTCTCTATTCTCTTGCATTGGTCTGGGTCTGTTTTTGTGTCAGTACCATGCTGTCTTGGTTACTACAACTATATTTTAAGTAAGGTAGCATGATGCCTCAAGCTTTGTTCTTTCTGCTCAGAATTGCTTTAGGTATTTGAGGTCTTTTTTTTTTTTTTTTTTTTTTTCTTTTCTTTTGAGACACAGTCTTGCCGTATCACCCAGGCTGGAGTGCAGTCTCTCAATCTTGGCTCACTGCAACCTCTGCCTCCCGGGTTTGAGTGATTCTCATGCCCCAGCCTCACCAGTAGCTGGGATTACAGGCATGCGCGCCACACCCAGCTAATTTTTTGTATTTTTAGTATAGATGGGGTTTCACTATGTTGGCCAGGCTGGTCTCAAACTCCTGGCCTCAAATGATCCACCCACCTTGGCCTCCCAAAGTGCTGTGCTTACAGGTGTGAGCCACCACGCCCAGCTATTTGAGATCTTTTGGGGTTCTATACAAATTTGAGGATTGTTTTTGTCTAATTTTGTGAAAAATGTCATTAGTATTTTGAGGGGGATCACACTGAATCTGTAGATTGCTTTGGGTAAGATGGTCATTTTAATATTTTTTAGTCTGTCAATTATGAATATGGGCTGCCTTTTCATTTTTTTGTGTTCTCTTCAATTTCTTTCACCAGTGTTTTATAGTTTCCATTGTTGAGATTTTTTTCACCTCCTTTGTTAAGTTTATTCCTAGGTATTTTATTTTATTTTATAGCTACTGTAAATGGGATTGCTTTCTTGATTTCTTTTTCAGCTAGTTTGTTATTGGTGTAGAGAAACACTCCTGAGTTTCGTATGTTGATTTTGTATACTGCAACTTTACTGAGTTTGTCTATTCATTCTAAGAGGTTTTTTGATGGAGTATTTAGGTTTTTCTATATGTTAAATTATGTCTTTTGCAAACAGGGACAATTTGACTTTCTCCTTTTCGATTTGGATGCCTTTTATTTCTTTCTTTTGCCTGATTGCTCTGGCTAGGACTTCCGGTACTAAATTGAATAAAAGTGGTGAATGTGAGCATCTTTGTCTTGTTCTGGTTCTTAGAGGGAGAACATTCAACTTTTTCACCATAAGGTATGATGTTGGCTGTGGATTTGTCAGATATGGCCTTTATTTTGCTTAGGTACATTCCTTCTATACTGAATTCATTGACAGTTTTTACTATAAAGGGATGTTGAATTTTATCAAATGCTTTTTCTGCATCTGTTGAGATGATCTTTTTTTGTTATTTATTCTGTTGATATGAGGTGTCATGTTTATTGATTTGCATATGTTGAACCATTCTTGCATCCATGGAACAAATCCCAGTTGATCATGATGCATAACCTTTTTGATGTGCTGCTGGATTTAATTTGTTAGTGTTTTATTGAGGATTTTTACATCTGTGTTTATCAGGACTATTGGCCTGTAGTTTTCTCTTTTGGTTGTGTCCTTGTCTGGTTTTGGTATCAGGGTAATGCTGGACTTATAGAATGAGTTTTAAAGAATTCCCTTCCCTTCAATTTCTTGGAGTAGTTTCAGAAGAATTGGTGTTAGTTCATTGTTAAAAGTTTGGTAGAATTCAGCAGTGGAGGCTAGGTGCGGTGGCTCATGCCTGTAATCCCAGCACTTTGGGAGGGTGAGGCAGGCGGATCACTTGAGGTCAGGAGTTCGAGACCAGCCTGGCCAATATGGTGAAATCCCGTCTCTACTAAAAAAACAACAACAAAATACAAAAAAATTAGCTGGCCATGGTGACAGGCACCTGTAATCCTAGCTACTCAGGAGGCTGAGACATGAGAATCACTTGAACCTAGGGGGCAGAGGTTGCAGTTAGCTGAGATTGTACCACTGCACTCCAGCCTGCCAGCCTGGGCAAGAGTGAGACTCTGTGACAAAAAAAAAAAAAAAAAGAAAAAAAAAAAAGAATTCAGCCTTGAAGCCATCTGGTCCTGGGCTTTTCTTTGTAGGGAGACTTTGTATTGCTGATTCAATTTTATTACTCGTCATTGGTCTGTTCATGCTTTCCATTTCTTTCTGGTTCAATCTTGGTAGATCGTATGTGCCCAGAAGTTGATCCATTTCCTCTAGGTTTTTAATTTGTTAGTATGTAGTTGTTCATGATTGTCTCTAATAATCATTTACATTTCTTCTGTATTAGTTGTAATGTCTCCATTTTTTATTTTATTTTGGGGGGTTTTCTTTCTCTCTTTTTTGGCTAGCTAAATGGTTTGTTGATTTTGTTTATCTTTTTGAAAATGCAACTTTCCATCTTGGTCTTTTGGTTTTTTAAGTCTCTATTTTGTTTATTTTTGCTCTAATCTTTATTATTTCTTTCTAATATGATTTACATATTTATTCTTGGCCAAATCTCATGTTGAATTGTAATCCCCAGTGTTGGAGGTGGGGCCCACTGGAAGGTGATTGGATAATGGGGGTGAATTTCTCATGAATGGTTTAGTTTCATCACTTTGTTGGTGTTCTCATGACAGTGAGTGAATTTTTGGGAGATCTGGTCATTTAAAAGTGTATGGGGGCTGGGCGCAGTGGCTCACACCTGTAATCCCAGCACTTTGGGAGGCCGAAGCGGGCGGAAATCATGAGGTCAAGAGATTGAGACCATCCTGGCCAACATGGTGAAACCCTGTCTCTACTAAAAATACAAAAATTAGCTGGGTGTGGTGATACACGCCTGTGGTCCCAGCTACTCAGGAGGCTGAGGCAGGAGAATCACTTGAACCCAGGAGGCGGAGGTTGCAGTGAGCCAAGATTGTGCCACAGCACTCCAGCCTGGCGACAGAATGAGACTCCATCTCAAAAAGATAAATAAATAAATAAAAAGGTGTCAGGCACCTCCTCTTGTAGGAAGCATATAGTCGGATCTTGTTTTATTATACATTCCACCAGTTCATATCTTTTAGATGGGGAATTTAATCCTTTTACATTCAAGGTTATTATTTACAGGTGAGAACTTACTCTTGTTATTTTGTTATTTGTTTTCTGCTGTTTTATATGTCCTTTTTGTCTTTTTCCTTTTTCTTAATTGTTTATCTTGCAGTTTGGTGGTTTTTTGAAGTGATATGTTTTGATTCCTTTTCTTTTCTCATTTGTGTATCTGCACTGTCAGTGTTTTATGCTTCCCCATGTTTTCATGATGGTAGTTATCATTCTTTTGCTTACAGATGTAGGACTCCCTTAATCATTTCTTGTAATGCCAGCCTAGTGGTGATGAATTCTCTCAGTGTTTGCTTTCTTAGGAAAGACTTTATTTCTTCCTTATTTCTATAGAATAGCTTTGATCGGTATAGTATTCATGGCTAGCAATTTTTTTCTTTCAGTGCTGTGAACATGTGATTTTATTCTCTCTTGGCCTGAAGGTTTCTACTGAGGAGTCTCTTCTTAGTCTAATGGGGATTCCCTAATATGTGACCTGATGCTTTTCCTATGCTGTTTTACAATTCTTTCTTTGTCTTTGACTTTTGACAGTTTGACTATAATGTGCCTCGGAGAGGACCTTATTGGTTTGAAATTTTCTAGATTTTTGAGCTTCCTGGATTTAGATGTCTATATCTCTCCCAAGACTTGGGTAGTTCTCAGCTATTATTTTATTAAATAGTTTTTATAGGCCTTTTTCCTTGTTTTCTTTTTCTGGGATTCTCATAGTATTAATATTTGTTCACTTAATGGTGTCCCAAAGTCTTGTAGGCTTTCTTTGTTCTTTTTTATTTCCTTTTCTTTTCTTCCTGTTTTTTCTCTTTTATTCTTTTGTCTGAGTTATTTCAAAAACTTGTTTTGAAAGTCAGGGATTCTTTTTTCTGCTTTATCTAATCTGTTATTGAGATTTTTCTGTTCTATTTTTATTTCATCCACTGAATTCTTCAGCTCCAAGTTTTCTGTTTGGTTCTCTTTTTATTATGTCTATCCCTGCATTGAATTTCTCATTGAGATAATGATTTTCTTCTATTTTATCGAATTGTCTATTTGTATTATTTTGTATCTTGCTGAGTTTAAGATTTTTGCTTTGATTTCCTTTTTTGGCAATTTATAAATTTTCATTTTGGTGGGTAAATTACTGGGGAATTGTGTCTCATTGGTGGTGTCATGTTTCATTGCTTTTCATCTTGGATCCCTGTGTTGATATCTGTGCATCTGGTGGAACAGTTGCCTATTCCAATTTTGTAGAGGGGCTTTCGTTGGGGAAGACTTTCACCTGCAGATGTGTTTTAGGGTCTCAGTTGGGTGGGGTATGTTGCTTTGTTTTGAAGGGGTAGCATAGTGTAGTCTCCATGCAGTTTCTTCAGCTGTAGTCAGTGTTGGCAAATGCCTGCAAGTGTCTCAGTGGCTTAAGCTGCAGAGTTGTGTGAGGCTGGCCTACCTACTCAGGGTCTCCTCCCTTGAGAGTGGGGCACTTGGTTGGTTAATGCTCCAGGGAAGTGTGGGGCTGGTCAGCTGACAGCTTGGCTCAGGTGCTACTCCCCTGGGGCCATGTGCTGGCCTGGTCTGTGCTCAGGGAAAACATGGAAATGGTTGGCCTACCTCTTGGCTTGGGCACTGCTTCCCTAGGGGTGAGGTGTCAGGCTAGTCCATTCTCCAAGGGAGTGCAGGGCTGATTGGCCATCGGAATGGCTTGGATGCTGCTCGCCTAGGGGTGGGATACCAGGGTGGTCCGCACTCCAGGAAAGCAGGGAGCTAGCTGGCTGGTGGTTCTGCTTGGATGCCAGTCCCCTGTGGGCAGGGCACTTGGACCAAAGGTGTTCTTGTGGATTTAGGTTTTGAGTGGCTGGGATTGAGGTGCTGCAACCCTTGGGATGGGGAATATGGAGCACCCTGGGCAGCTTGTTTTCAGGAGTTTGGAAGCTGTATCATCTCAGCTTGGTACACACTTAAAATTTAGGTTTTGTGTTTTGGTTATGTTTAGACATAATGCCTAATACTATATATGATATGGGAACTCTCATATACTTCTGGTTGGGAATATAAAATGATACAACTTTACTGGAATGTAATTTGGTGTTATAATATCAGAAGCTTTACATTGTCTCATATATCTTCTTTTACTTCATAATTATTTGATTAGAAAATATGTCTTGAGGGAATAATTATATGTATATAAATATTTATCTGCAAATATATTTATTGCATTATTTATGATTAATAATCTAAAACAACCCAAATATTCAACAGTGATTAAATATTATTTTATATTTATACAGTATAGTCTTATGAAGTCATTAAATTATTTACAAAACATTTTAATGATGTTGGAAAACACTTACGTTGTAATAGTAATTAAATAAGGCAGGATAATAAAACTGTAAAGAACATGATTTCATATATTTGAGAGAGAAGAGAGAAAATTTGAAAGAGTGTGTTTGAGTGTAATGGGGGATTTGGTAAAATTTAAAAAAAAGATTCTGATTTAGTTTTCATTTCTATTTTCTGTTTTAAAATTTTTTTCCTCTAAAGTCCATGTACAATTTTCATAATAAGAAAAGCTAATGCATCCTATTTTTAAACTAACATTGTTAGAATTAGGGAGAAGATGGTTCATTTATAGGAAAGGATATCATGTTTGCAAGAAAATTTGTAATGGCATGAGGAAACATAATAAAGGGAGAAATCTACGAAAGTATTAATAATGCATTGACAAAAGTATAGAAGGGAATACAGAAACATATTAGTCTTTCTTCTGGTTCTGTAATATGATAAAAACATTTATAAAGCTGGGCATGCTGGTATACACCTATAGTCTCAACTACTTGGGAGAGTGAGGCAGGAGGATTTCTTGTGCCCAGGAGTTTGAGTCTAGCCTGGGCAATGCAATGAGACCTTATCTCTAAAATATAAAACAATAAAAATATAAAATTTAAAAAATTTTTCTGCTTTTCAATTTTTCTGGAAAGAAATATATCTTAATTAAAGGAAAAGAATTTAAAAGCAGGCTGATACTCGAGCATTTTGAGGTCATATTTGATGTGAAATGACATTCAAAATTTCAGGGAGTTAATTTTTTTCTAGCAGCACATTGAATGATGCTAAAAGGAAACAAAATGGGAAAAAATGGAAAGAGCATTAGACTGTTGCACAACGTTGATTTAGTATATTTTGTTTATTCATATGGAAGGGCAAACTCATTCAGCAAACTTTGTAAGAGTACCTTGTAGGTGCAGAGAAAAGTACTGCTCACTTATGGAATGAAGTGGGAAAAAAGTAAAAACATTTTTACTTTTCCATTTTTCTGGAAAGAAATACATAATGTTTTGGCTGGTCATGGTGGCTCATGCCTGTAATCCCAGCACTTTGGGAGGCCGAGGTGGGCAGATCACCTGAGGTCAGGAGTTTGAGAGCAGCCTGGCCAACATGGTGAAACCCCATTTTCTACTAAAAATATAAAAATTAGCCAGGCGTGGTGGCAGGCGCCTGTAATCCCAGCTACTTAGGAGGCTGAGGCAGCAGAATTGCTTGAACCCAAGAGGTGGAGGTTGCAGTGAGCCGAGATTGTGCCACTGCACTCCAACCTGGGCAACAGAGCAAGACTCCATCTCGGAAAAAAAAAAACAAAAAAAAAAAAACAGGAAAAGAAAAAGAAATACATCATGTTTTAATTAAAGGAAAAGTATTGAAAAGCACACTGATACTAGAGAATTTTGAAGTCACATTTGATTATGCACAAAGAAGGCATGATCCTTGTTCTCAAGGTTCGTACTATTCAGTATGGAAGATAAAAGGTATTCACAAAGAACTAATAAAGTTAACGTATTTAAAGTGACATATTTGGGTGGCCAAGGATTGCTTGAGGCCAAGAGTTTGAGACCGTCATGGGCAACACAGCAAGACCCCATCTTTACAAAAAATACAAAAAAATTAGCCAGGCTTGGTGGTATGCACCTACAGTCCTAGCTACTAGGGAGGCTGAGGCAGGAGAATCCCTCGAACCCAGGAGGCAGAGGTTGCGGTGAGTCATGATCATGCCACTGCACTGCAGTCTGTCTGACAGAGCGAGACTCCATCTCAAAAAAAAAAAAAAAAAAAAAAAAAAAAGAAGGACACTATGGAAATAGTGGTATTTGAATGGGCTCTTAGAGAATGGGTCTGATTTCAACAGTTTTTCATGAAAAGGATGTGCATTTCAGGTAGAGGAAAGATATGAGCAGAGAAACAAAGGTGACAAGGTATGGGAGCAATTTTTAGATCAATGAAAACTTTTTTTAAAACCAGCTTTTAAATAATACTTTCAATGTACAATTTAGTGGTTTTTTAGTATATTTAAAGAGTTGTGCAACCATCACCAATACCTAATTGTAGAATATCTTCATCACTTTAAAAAGAACTCTGTACCATTAATAGTCACTCTGCATTTCTTCTTCTCTCTCACCCCTGGCAACCACATCCATTTTCTTTCCCTGTGGATTTGCCTATTCTTGACATTTCATAGAACTCTATCATACAAAATGTGGCCTTTTGTGACTAGCCTCTTTTCTCTTTGTAGAATGTTCACTCATGTTTTAGTATTTATCAGCACTTTATTTTTATGACTTCACTGCCAAATAATATTCCACAATATGGATATACCACATCCATTTGTTTCCCTTTTCATCAATTGATAGAAATTTGGGGTGTTTCAACTTTTTGGCTGTTATGAATAATGCTGCTCTGGATATTTGTTTAAAAGTTTTATATGGACATGTTTTCAATTCTCTTGGGTGTATAGCTGGGTGTTTACTTCCTAGGTCATATGTTAATTTTTTGTTTAAATTTTTGAGGAACTGTTAAATTGGTTTCCAGAGTAGTGGTAACATTTTATATCCTCACCAGCAATGCATGAAGATTCCGATTCCTCCACATACACACCAATACTTATTATTGTATATCTTCCATGGTTACATGACTTGGTTTTCTAGTGTACCTTGGAGTTGGAGAATGGAAGATGGGAATAGAGAAAATTAAAATGCCATAGAGCTCTCTATTCTTAGCAAGATTCACTCATTTTTCTTGAATAAACACTTCTCGATTATTGCAAGTCTTTGGTTAATTTCCAGAGCTCCAGAAGAATTGATTCTGACAATTTTGCTGGTGTTCTTGTTGCTTTTAGGAAACAGCAGATTTTCTAAGATTCTTACACTACCATTCTAAAGTTGCTTTAGTATTCTTCTAAAGTTGAATACTCCTTTTTGTTCGTTTTTATGCCAAAGGTAGGTTGATGCCAGACATTGATGAGAATTGCTCTTTCTTTTTAGGCTACTGAGCAGGGGTATGACCTGCTATGCCTTGATCAGAGCTATGGTTTATAAATTGGAGCAAGGAATAAAGGCCTCTGTATATTTAGAGGTGCTTTGGTTTTTGTTGTTGGTTTTTTTCCTTTCCAACTTTTATTTTAGGTTCCAGATATACATGTGCAGGTTTGTTACATGGGTAAATTGTGTGTGTGTCACAGGGGTTTTGTGTACAAATAATTGTGTCACCTGAGTAATCAGCATAATACCCAATTAAGTAGTTTTTAAAATCCTCACCATCCTCCCACTCTCCACCCTTAAGTAGGTCCCAGTGTCTGTTGTTCCCGTTTTTGAGTCCATGTGTACTGAATATTTAGCCCCCACTTATAAGTGAGAACATGCAGAACCAAATACTGTTTTTCTGCATTATATCTTAGGATTATGACCACCAGCTCCATCCATGTTCCTGCAAAATGACATGATCTCACTTTTTTAATAGCTGCATAGTATTCCATGGTATGTATGTACCACATTTTCTTTGTCTAATCTACCATTGCTGTGCATCTGGGTTGATTCCATGTCTTTGCTATTGTGAATAGTGCTGTGATGAACATATGCATGCATGTGTCTTTATGGTAGAATGATTTATTAATACATTTCTTTGGGTATATACCAGTAATGGGATTGCTGGGTCAAAAGGTAATTCTATGTTAAATTCTTTGAGAAGTCTCCAAACTTTCTACAGTGGCTGAACTAATTTACATTCTCACCAGCAGTGTACAAGCATTCCCTTTCCTCTGTAACCTCACCAGCATGTTATTTTTTGAGTTTTTAATAATGGCCAATCTGACTGATGTGAAATGGTATTTCACTGTGGTTTTGATTTGCATTTCCCTAATGGTTAGTGTTATTGAGCATTTTTTTCATGTGCTTGTTGGCCATGTGTATGTTTTTTGAGAAGTGTCTGTTCATGTACTTTGCCCGTTTTTTAATGAAGTTTCTCATTTTTGGCTTGTTGATTTGAGTTTCTTATATATTCTGGATATTAGACCTTGGTTGGATGCATAGTTTGCAAATATTTTCTCCCATTCTATAGGGTGTCTGTTTACTCTGTTTACAGTTTCTTGCCATTCAGAAGCTCTTTAGTTTAATTAGGTCTTACTTGTCGATTTTTGTTTTTGTTGCAGCTGCTTTTGGAGTCTTTGTCTTGAAGTCTTTGCATGGGCTGATATCCAGAATGGTATTTCCTAGATTTTCTTTTAGGGTCTTTATACTTTTAGGTTTTACATTTAAGTCTTTAATCCATCTTGAGTTGATTTTGGTACACAGTGAAGGTAAGGATCCAGTTTCAATCATTTGCATATGGCTAGCCAGTTATCCCCAAAACATTTATTGAATAGGGAGTCCTTTCCCCATTGCTTGTTTTTATTGACTCTGTTGAAGATCAGCTAGTTGTAGGTGTGTGGATTTATTTCTGGATTCTCTAACATGTTCCATTTGCCTGTGTGTCTGTTTTTGTAACAGTACCATGCTGTTTTAGTTACTGTAGCCTTGTAGTATAGTTTGAAGTCAGGTAGTGTGATGCCTCCAGCTTTGTTCTTTTTGCTTAGGATTGCTTTGGCTATTCAGGCTCTTTTTTGGTTCCAATTGAATTTTAGTGCTTTTTTTTTTTTCTAATTATGTGAAACATGTCATTGGTAGTTTGATAGGAACAGCATTGAATCTGTGTATTGCTTTTGGCAATATGGCCATTTTAACAATATTGATTCTTCTTATCAATGAGGATGGAATGTTTTTCCATTTGTTTGTGTCATCTCTGATTTCTCTTAGCAGTGTTGTGTAATTCTTGTTGAGAGATCTTTCACCTCCATGATTAGGTGTATTCCTAAGTATTTTGGTTTTTTTGTGGCTGTTGTGAATGGGATTGCTTTCTTGATTTGGCTCTCAGCTTGGATATTGTTGATGTATGGAAATGACATTGATTTTGTATGCTGAAACTTTGCCGAAGTTATTTATCAGATCTAGGAGCCTTTGGGCAGAGACTGGAGTTTCCCAGGTATAGTATCATATTGTCTATGAAGAGAGATAGTTTGACTTCCTTTCTTCCTATGTGGATGCCTTTTATTTCTGTATCTTGCCTAATTGCTTTAACTAGGACTCCCTGTAGTGTACTGAATAGGAGCAGTGAGAGTGAGCATCCTTGTCTTGTTCTGGTTCTCAGGGGGAATGCTTCTAGTTTTTGCCCCTTCATATGATGTTGGATGTGGATTTGTTGTAAATGGTGCTTCTTATTTTGAAGTATATACCTTTGATGCCTAGTTTGTTTTTAGCACAAAAGGATGTTGAGTTTTATATAAAGCCTTTCTTGCGGCTATTGAGATAATCACGTGGCTTTTGCTTTTAGTTCTCTTTATATGATTAATCACATTTATTGATTTGTGTATGTTAAACCAACCTTGCATCCCAGGAATAAAGCCTACTTGATTGTGATGGATTAGCTTTTTGAGGGATGTGCTGCTGGATTGAGTTTACTAGTATTTTGTTGAGGATTTTTTACATCTATGTTCATCAGGAATATTGGCCTGAAGATTTCTTTTTTCATTTCATCTCTTCCAGGTATTGGTATTAGGATGATGCTGGCTTCATAGAATGAGTAAGGGAGGAGTCTCTTCTCCCCAGTTTTCTGGATAGGTTTAATAGGATAGGTAGAACTCTTCTTCATCTGGTAGGATTCTGCTGTGAATCTACCTGGTCCAGGGCTTTTTCTGGTTGATAGTTTTTGTATTACCGATTCAATTTTGGAACTCATTATTGATCTGTTCAGGGATTCAATTTCTTTCTGCTTCAATCTTGGGATGTTGTATGTTTCCAGGAATTTACCCATTTCTTCTAGGTTTTCTAGATTTTATATATATATATAATTATATATATTTATATAAATATATAAATATATATAAATATATAATATATAAAATATAAAAAATATATAAAATATATATATAATTATATATATATTTTATATATATTTTTTTCTAGGTTTTATATATATATTTTCTAGGTTTCTAGGTTTTCTAGGTTTTATATATATATATAAAATAAACTCCTATATATATAATGCTTAATAAACTGTATATATAGGAGTTTATTAAGCATTATATATATATAGGAGTTTATTAAGTATTAACTTACATTATCACAAGGTCCCGCAATAGGCTGTCTGCAAGCTGAGGAGCAAGGAGAGTGAGTCCAAGTCCCAAAACTGAAGAACTTGAAGTCCACTGTTTGAGGGCAGGAAGCATCCAGCATGGGAGAAAGATGTAGACTGGGAGGCTAGGCTCATCTCGTCACTTCATGTTTTCTGCTTTACATTCGCTGGCAGCTGATTAAATGGTGCCCATGCGATTAAGAGTGGGTCTGCCTTCCCCAGCCCTCTGACTCAGATGTTAATCTCCTTTGACAACACCCTCACAGACACATCCAGGATCAATATTGCATCCTTCAATCCAATCAAGTTGACACTCAGTATTAACCATCACAGGTACTATAAACTTTCCTCTTAATACTGCTTTAGCTCTGTCCCAGAGAATCTGCTATGTTGTATCTTGTTTTCATTAGTTTCAAATAATTTCTTGATTCCTGCCTTAATTTCATTGTTTACCCTTAATTCATTCAGGAGCAGATTGTTTAATTTCCATTTAATTGTATGGTTCTGAGAGATTTTCTTGGTATTGGTTTCTGTTTTTATTGTGCTGTGGTCTGAGAATGTGGTTGGTATAATTTCGGTTTTTAAAAATTTGTTGAGAATTGCTTTGTGTTCTAGTGTGTGGTCAATTTTACAGTATGTGCCATGTGCAGATCAGAAGGATGTATATGCTGTTTTTGTTGGGTGCAGTGTTCTTTAGATGTATGTTTAGTGTATTTGGTCAACTGTCAAGTTTAAGTCTCCAATATTCTGCCTCGATGGTTTGTCCGATACTGTCAGTGGGGTGTTGGAAGTTTCCCACTATTATCATGTGGTTATCTATGTCTTTTCGTAAGTCTCTAGGAATTCATGTTATGAATCTAGGTGCTCCAGTGTTGGGTGCATATATATTTAGGATTGTTAAGACTTCTTGTTGATTTGAACCCTTTATGATTATGTAATTCCCTTCTTTGTCCTTTTTGATCATTGTTGGTTTAAAGTCAGTTTTGTCTGAAATAAGAATAGCAACCCCTGCTCTTTTTTATTTTATGTTTGCTTGTTGGATCTTTCTCCATCCCTTTACTCTGAGCCTTTACTTTCCCACTGTATGTGAGATGGGTCTGTTGAAGACATTATAGCGTTAGGTCTTGCTTATTTATTCAACTTGCCACTTTGTGCCTTTTAGGTGGGATGCTTAACCTGTTTTTCTTCATGGTTAATATTGATATGTGCAGATTTGATCCTGTCATCATGTTGTTGGCTGGTTGTTATGTAGACTTGTTTGTGTATTTGCTTTATACTGTCGATGGTCTTTGTATTTGAGTATATTTTTGTAGTGGTCAGTAATTGTCCTTCATTTCTGTAGTACTCCCTTAAAGATGCAAGGACTTCTTGTAAGGCACATCACTAGATAATAGGTAATAAATTATCTTAGCATTTGCTTGCCTGAAAAGGGTCTTATTTCTCCTGAAGCTAGTTTGGCTGGATATGAAATTCTTGGTTTCAATTTATTTTCCTTAAGGATGCTGAATATAGGCCTCCATACTCTTCTGGCTTGTAGGGTTTCTGCTGAAAAGTCTACTGTTAGCCTGATGTGGTTCCCTTTGTAAGTGACCTGACCCTTCTCTCTAGGTGCCTTTAATATTTTTTCTCTCACATTGATGTTGGAGGATTTGACGACTGGGTGCTTTGGGGATGGTCATGTTGTATAGTAGCTCACGGCAGTTCTTTGAATTTTCTGAATTTGTATGTCAACCTCTCTAGTGAGGTTGGGAAAATTTTTGTTGACAATATTCTCAAATATGTTTTTCAAGTTGCTTGCTCTCTCTTTCTCTCTTTCAGGGATGCCAATAAGTTGTTGATTTGGTCTCTTTACATAATTCCATATTTCACAGAGACTTTGTTCAGTTTTTTAAAATTCTTTTTTCTTTATTTTTGTCTGAGTTAATTTGAAGAACTAGTCTTTGAGCTCTGAGATTCTTTTCTCAGCCTTGTCTATTCTGCTGTTAATACTTCCCTTTGTGTTATGAAAATCTTGTAGTGAGTTTTTCAGCTTTATCATCTCAGTTTGTTTCTTTCTTAAATTGAGTGTTTTGTCTTTTATTCTCTTGAATCATTTGATTGGATTCGTCAGATTCATTGGAATAGGTTTCAATTTTCTGTTGAATCTTGATTAATTTCATTGCCATCCAGATTCTGAATTCTACGTCTGTCATTTCGGCCACTTCCTTCTGGTTAGGAACCATTGCTGGGGAGATGTTGTAGTCATTTGGAGGTAAGGGAGACACTCTGGCTTTTAGAATTGTCAGAGTTCTTGCGTTGGTTCTTTCTCATATGTGTGGGCTGATGTTCCTTTAACTGCGATGTAATTTGAGTGTAGTCAGTTGACTTCATTTCTGGATGTTTTTAGAGGGCCGAGGCTTTGTGCAGAGTCTGTATTTGTGCCTGAATTCTTGTCCTTGGTTCCCCAGAAGCGTATATTAGCAAAGTATTTTTGGTGTTGATGTTTGGGCTATGATCCAGTAGATGGTGCTTAAACATAATGGCCTGTAGGTAGGTTCTTGCTCAGCCATGTGGCTCCTCTGCATTTCCTTGCATGTGCAGCTGTGCTCCCTTTCAGTGGTCTGAGAATGTCAGCTCCTCTCACACTTGAGTGCTGGCTGCAGATCTGTTTGGCAGTGTTGTGCTATATACTGTAGCCCTGGATGGAGCTCAGGCTTTGTGCTCCCTCCCAAGCTTGGAACCTTGGCAGTGGCGATGGCAGAGAGCCTTTCACTTGTTTCTTGAGGCTCCACCCCAGAGAAACACAAAGCTGCCTGACAATCAGAACAATCAACCTGGGGTGGGGTGGGTGCCTTGTAGGCCCAAGCCAGGAAGGCTTGCCTGGTGACAAACAGAGGGGAGTGAGAGATTCACAGGGAAGAAAGACAGGCCTCTTCCTTGTAGGGTGGCTGTGGCATACTGGAGGTATGAGTAAAGTACTCAGGGTCTTTATTTCTTTCCCAGTCCGAGGGCAGCAAGGGTAGTACCACTGCAGTGGTACTGGCAGAGGGGCTTTCAGTTGCCTCTGGGAGCTCCACCCCAGAAAAACAGAGCTGTTGCCAGTGGGAATGTTCAGCTGGGGTTGGGATGCCTATGCTGCAGAACCAAGCCAAGGGCTCTGCCTGGTGAAGACTAGGGAGGTGGAGGCTGACAAGGAAGAGAGACTGGGCTCCCCTCCACATGGTGGCTGCGGTGTGCTGGAGGCACAAGTCAAGCACTCATGTCTTTGTTCCTTCCTCAGTCTGAGAGCAGTAAGGGCAGTACCACTGCAGTGGCAGTGACAGAGGGGCTGGCAGCTGCCTTTGGGAGCTGCACCCCTGGGAAATACAGAGCCATTGCCAGTGGGAATTTTCAGCCAGGGGGTGGGATAGCTGCTTTGTGGGTCTGAGCCAGGGGCGCTGCCTGGTAAAGAGGAGGGGGTGAGGGCTCACAGGGAAGGGAGACTGGGCTCCTCTCTGTATGGAGGCTGTGGTCTGCCGGCAAAGCAAACAGGCAAAGCCCTTTGTTCCTTCCCCAGCCTAGAGCAATAAGGGCAGTCCTGCTGCAGCTGCAATGGCAGGGGGGCTGTCAGTTGTCTCTGGGATGTCCTCTCCTGAGAGATGCAGAGTTGCTACTGACCGAATTGTTCAGGCCAGGCCGAGAGGCCCTGCCCACTGAGGAGTAACATGGGCAGGGTTTAGGGGTACTTTCTACAGACTAATGAAAATCATTTCATGGGGAAATCATGGCTCCATGACACACTGGATGGACCTGGGGTTAGGAAAGGAAATACTGAGGAGAGTATCAAGCTTTACTATTGCTTGTTTGGAATTGGGCTTCTATGTGTCAGTTTCCTAACTGGGATGATTTTACCTCTCCATCCAGAAATATTCTGTTGGCCTAGAGAAACTTTTTCAATGCCTTGTCTTCACAGATGGAGGAGCTATAAGTAGAGCTTTCTTTAGTAATCACATCTCAGTAACCATGTGCAGAAATCAATTATCTTAATATATACCTTATCAAGTTAATTTTTCAAGAACAGGTAAGAATGAGTGAGCTTAGAAAGTTTAATTGGGAAAAGAGTGAATATAAGAAGGTGATAGGATACCTCCTTCAAAAGGCTAAAAGATTAACACATGGAAAGTAAAAGAAACTTATTTAAATTTCTGTAGAAGATAGAAGTAGGACCAGTGGATCAAAGTTACAGGAAGGTGGATTTTTAGATCTATCTAAAAAAGGACCAAGAAATTAGAACTGGCTTCTTCTGTTCAAATAGTAATCAGTGTGAGTCACTTAGGGAGGTTGTCAAAGAAATTCCTGATTGGGAGTTGTTTGAACTAACACACCCAAGGACCTTTCTTACTTGAAGAATATGTATGATATTTTACATGTATTGAAACAGCTGTAAAGAGAAATGACTCGCCACAATTTCTTGCTTAAAGCTTTAGTTCATTTCTATTTATTACCCAAAAGTGTAATTTTCATTTAAGAATATAAGAAATGATACATCTCAGAATTCAAGGAAATATTATATAGATAGGCCTTAAAAAAGGAGGGACCAGTATGGTTCTGAGAAACTCAGCTGAGCCTTTCTTTTAATGCTCTACCACTGAGATGTTTAGCTTCCAGTTGACAGTCTATGTGCCTTTAAATTCAAATTCTCAAATGAGATACTCTAATTTATTTAGTTTAAGTTATAAGTCTACCCTTGATTCAATCATCTGTAGCCAAAGGAGTAAGGGTCATATAACAGCAACAGGGTTAAAATGGTGGTAGGGATGGGCTTTTTTCTCTGGATGGTGGTCAGTTGCTGCTCTAAGTGGAGAGATGAAGTAAGTCATGGGCTAGATATCTCATAAGATATTTATTAGATTTCCAAAAATGTTAATGGTAGAAGACTATGATTTAGACTGTTTGTTGTCAATTTCACACAACCAGTATTTATCATATGGCTACTATGTGTAAGGCACCATGCTGGATGATTGCCAGAATGTAGAATACAAGATATTGTCCCTGCCCCAGGGTATTTACAAGCACTCTGTCCAGTAGACTGGTCATTATTTAATAAATCATCCTGCTTAGGTTTTACTTTGGAAGGGCTAGCTTTCTGATTATGTAGAAAGGTGCCTTATTAACTTTTGAAAAAGTTTCAAGTTGAGTATTAAAGATGTTTGCCTTTTCTAAGCATACACACATTTAATGTTTGTGTAGACCAAGCCTAAAAGACCATCACAAGCTCATACTCCGAGAACAAAACCCCAATCCGTTCTCCCCAAACAAACAAAAATATGAGTTGAATATCTTATTTGCTAGCAGTATGTTACATTAAAATTTGTGCTTGGCCAGGAGTGGTGGCTCATACCTGTAATCCCAGCACTTTGGGAGGCCAAGGTGGGCGGATCACCTGAGATCAGGAGTTTGAGACCAACCTGACCAACATGGTGAAACCCTGTCTCTACTAAAAGTAGAAAAACTAGCCGGGTGTCGTGGCGCAAGCCTGTAATCCCAGCTACTGGGGTGGCTGAGGCAGGCGAATCGCTTGAACCCGGGAAGTGGAGGTTGCAGTGAGCCAAGACTGCGCCACTGCACTCCATCCTGGGTGACAGTCAGACTCCATCTCAAAAATATAAAAAATAAAAAATGTGTGCTTGTTCTTATATGTACATAAGGTGGAAGGTAAACATTTTAAGTGTCTGTGAGCTACCTAGTATTCTAGGCATGTCATATATGTAACATGCATATGATATGCAGATAGTGTATGCACTATTATAATAATATAATCCAATTATAGTCTTTATTTTCATTATCTTAAGGATATTTATATAGTTCAATTGAGTCGCTAGGAAATAAAAAAAAGTTTTTTAAGGGTGGGGCCTTGCTATGTTGTCCTGGCTGTTCTTGAACTCTGGGCCTCAAGTCATCCTTTTGCCTCAGCCTCCCAAGTAGCTGGGACTACAGGTATGCACCACTGTGCCTGGCCAAGAATATTTCTTTGTTTCCTGTTTCTGTGTTTAAGCTGCATTTAGTTTGGCAGTGTTTGAAAGGTATCATTTCTGGTTTACATTCAGCTCTTGTCCTTTCTACCAGCTGAGTGACTTATGAACAGAAAATTATAGAGTAAAAATAATATGACATATATGTTAGGCTCTAAGCCCTTCACCTTTTTTTTTTCCTTCCAAATAAAGATGAAGCAGCTTGTCTAGGTGCAATGCCATGTTAATATCCTGTAAAGATAATTAGTAGCTGACTTAGCATATTGCTTGGAGGTTTCCTGAGAGACCAACTTTAGCTATAATGCAAGAGATATTTGATTTCTATTAATACTTGAATAAGTCATTGGTTTTATCAAGATCCTATATTTAATTATAACTTGGGGCTGGACACGGTGGCTCATGCCCGTAGTCCCAGCACTTTGGGAGGCCAAAGTGGAAGGACTGCTTGAGCCCAAGGGTTCCAGACCAGCCTGCGCAAAAGAGGGAGCCCCTGTCTCTACAAAAAAATAAAAAATTAGTTGGGTGTGATAGCTTGTGCCTGTAGTCCCAGCTATTCAGGAGGTTGTGGTGGGGGAATTGCTTGAGCCTGGGAGGTTGAGGTTTCAGTGAGCCATGATGGCACCACTGCACTCCCGCCTGGGCAATAGAGCCAAGACCCTATCTCTAAATAAATAAATAAATCCTGGTCTATTTAAAACCCTGGATTTGTTTTAAATAGCCATCTAATTTTTATGCTACAAAAGAGTTAACATACTTTCTTGTTTTTGGAATCT
Organism: Homo sapiens; assembly: GCF_000001405.40. Lineage (NCBI taxonomy): Eukaryota > Metazoa > Chordata > Mammalia > Primates > Hominidae > Homo > Homo sapiens. Next base: position 68,079,100 of record NC_000014.9, read on the forward strand.
CTCTGACCTTAGAACCATACTAACTTTGCCATGGATATTTCTTGGGGCCTATTTTTCCAAAATAATCATTCTCTTTTTTTAGAGTCTACTGTTCATTTTAATTAAATTGTTTCCCACTATGCTGGTATGATTTCAGGAAAGGAGCATTTAAGTCATATGTTCAATCAAAACTTCTGCAGGTAAATTATAACCCACTTTTCTTTTTTATTTCATGTGGTCTTGGCAAATCATGTTTTAATTGTGGTCAAAATCTGCATAGAAACATATTGTTTCATTGATTTGCATAATATTTTGGGGCATTTTAAAAATATACATCAATCCCCAGAGATCTTAAGCTCTACTTGACAGTATTTAGCATTTACTTCTGCTTAAACTCTGATATATTTGAGAAAGCAGAAGGTACCACAGTATAATGGTATTTTTCCCTTTATTATTAGTTGTAGTATATAATATTACTAGCAGTATTGGTAAATATTTTAGAATGTGAATGAGCCTGCCTTTCAAATGAAATCTAAATCTTTATGTTGGTTTTTATTTTATTACTACTGCATCCAGTGTTATCTGAATATTTAAAGTATATTAAAAACATTAAAGACAAAAAGACAAAAGTTTTTTAAAGTATATATTTTTTCTCACTGCATAGGATATTAGACTACATATGTGCCATCTATTTTAAAACTAATTTCATTCATCACCATCTGTTTTCAAGAAAGATTTAAGGTGGCGTATGTGCGCTCTTGTACTTGGTCTCACAGGCTCTGTCTCTCTAACATACAAATCTCCTGGAAGTCAAAGGTCATGTCTTTTCTTCTTTCTCCTCCATCTTTTACATCTGGCTAAAATTATATTCTGTATGCATGAAAATGATAATTACATATTACCTGGTAGTTATCAGATAGTTCACAAATTTCCTGGAGAAGACATAGGAACAAAACAGGGCCTTCTGTGATGAAGAAAGATGAGAAAAATGGAGTATGACATCAGGACACTTAGCCTTAGTGTTCTTACTCATTACTTTTGTAAACCTGTAACATTTTTTCCCATGCTGTTCCCTTTTCTGCTTCATGTCTTGATTTTCCCATTTGCAAAATAAGGATGGAAACAGTTGCTTCCTGTTTATTTGATGGGGAATTTAAGGATGAATGGGCTAGTGTTTCCTTCCCCAGATGTATCAACTTAATCTTATTTATTTTCTGTCCATACTTCTGATTCCATAATGTCCAATTGTATATGTGTTTTCAATTCTTTTATTTACATTCTTTTCCTTTTCTGGGATTCTTCAAAATCAAAGCATGTTAATCACATTTCATAGTGCACTTGAGTACCCAAGATACTCTTCAGATATGGGCTAATGTTTGAATAGCTCTATTTGCTTTTGAGTGTCTATCAAAACCCAGGCCCCAGACCATCAAAGCATGTAATATGAGAGGTGTCCCCAGCCTGAAATGCAGATCAGTTTCCAAGGTGTTAAAGCTTTTTCTGAAAGCCTCACTTTGGTCTGCTCAGATGCCTTCTTTTCTTTTAACCTAGTTGAGCAGTTATGAACCAATGCCATGATGAACAGTTGGGTTTGATCAGTGCAGGGGTCTATTCAGGAGCATTAACTGAAAAGTCTACTTTCTCATCTGAAAAACAGATGTTTTACCGTGATCCTCAACATGTATGTGCCTGGCCTCTCTGATACTGATTGAGAAAAAGAAAAACAGTTTAGTAGTCAATATCTGGGGTCTTCATCAGCTCCAAATAAACTATTAACAGTTAAATTTCAACATAAGAAAAAATAGAGGGCCTTGGGACTCTGAAACAAACCACTCATTGATAGAATTTCACTGAAGATCAGAGCCAAAGTAATGCCTAACAATTTATAAGGTTGTGCAGGGGAAGAAAACTGGTCCTGATCTGATGTAGGGAGTCCAGTGAGAGCAAGCACTTAGTTGGAGACTCAAAGTTCTGTAGCATGGCCTGGAAGAAATTAGCTTGTCCTAGAAGATTTTGAAGTTAGGCGCTAACAATTATAAGCATCTATCACTTTGATATGGCTCTCAAATAATTAAAGAAATTTTGTCCTATAATGAGGTGCCTAAAGGATATAATTGTTTAGTAATATTTGAGTACTATAGAATGTCTTCCAGAGAGCATAGGTTTTGGGTTGCCATAACTGATACTGAGTTGTTTTTTGTTTTTCTGTCTGAAGTGGCCAGAGATTCAAATGCCTCTTGAGCCTCCTCCTCGCATGTGCAAGTAGGACTGTGGTCCTGGCCCACAGGAGCCTCTTCAGCTTTCCTCCAGCTGTGGCACAGGACATGTGTTCGGTTCACTCGATCACATTATTAAGTAACATAGGTATTATTTAAAAGGAGAAGAGTGAGGGCGGAGTCCTATTTTATGGCATTTAAGTTTGGAACCACTTATGTCAAAACTCATTTCTGTGTTTATATGTACTTCCTAATTTATTTATAATAAGCATGTTGAATTATGAAGGAGAATGTTATTTCAAAATTCTATTGGAGGCTACTTAGAGGCTGTGGTGACACTGAATGAGAGCTCTGAAGGAAATCATAGTGAAACAGGAAAAGTTCCCTTGTCCCCGTCGCAGGGCATGCGACAAGGGGGAGTGGCTTGCTTCTTCAGTGCCCCACTGCTCAAACCTCTAGGGGAGAACACAGATGGGCAGGCTGTGGGGCTCTGACCCCACGGCAGTGTCTAGGGGTAAATGTTTACAGCTGAAGCCCCAGTGAATGTTGAAGAATACGCTTTGACCTACATATTGACAGAATTTACTGAGTTATAGAGTGATAAATACTTATTTTTTTTTCCTAACAATTATGTGATGTTTTGGCAAATAATATTTCTTTTTTCTTTTTCTTTTTCTTTTTTTTGAGACAGAGTCTTGCTCTGTTGCCCAGGCTGGAGTGCAGTGGTGCGATCTCGGCTCACTGCAACCTCCACCTTCTGGATTCAAGTGATTCTCCTGCCTCAGCCTCCTGAGTAGCTGGGACTACAAGTGCATGCCACCATACCTGGCTAATTCTTTGTGGTTTTATTAGAGATGGGGTTTCACCATGTTAGCCAGGATGGTCTCGATCTCCTGACCTCGTGATCTGCCTGCCTCGGCCTCCCAAAGTGCTGGGATTATAGATGTGAGCCACTGCGCCCGGCCGCAAATAATATTTCTTAATTTCAGTTGCATTTATTTTTAAATAGGAAATACATTCACCTGGTTCAGAATTTCAGAGGTTACAGAGCTGTACGTAGGAAGAAGTTTTGTTTTCTCCCAATTCCGCAAGCCATCTGATTAGCCCCCTTGAAGGTAGCTCAAGTTACTAGTTTCTTTTATTTCCTTCCATAAATATTTGATATGCATAGGAGAAAGATATATATATATATATGTATTTATGTATGTATGTATGTATGTATATGTATGTGAGAATGAATGGATAAATAAGCATTCCTCTTTCATACAGTTACTTGCTTACCATACCTGCTGTTCTATACCTTGCTTAATTTCACTTAACACTATGTCTTGGAATTCATTCCATGTTAGTACATAAAATGCTGCTTTTTTCTTTCTTGTGGTTTTGTGGTATCTATTGTATAGCTGTATTATAATTTTTTTTTAACTAGGTCCTTACTGATGGACATTTATGTTGTTGCCAGTCTTTTCATTACAATGACTAATGTTGTTTTCTTAGTTTTCACTTTTCAATTCATTTCCTAATTTAGTCTGAGCCTACATATTAGTGCCAAGAACTGAGGTATTTATTGTGTTCTGACACATCTGAGGTATTTGCATATAGACATCTGGGTACATATGCACACTGCTGAACTGTCTAATAATAGTCTCTTTCCCCAGGACACTCTCCTAAGGTAAAACCTATATATTGGAATTCTTATGCTGTACATATATGCTGGATCACAACTCTTACTGTCAGACTAGAGAGTTTCAACTTTTAACCTGTGATTTCAGTTATTGTGACATATCCTATGTTTCAATTAGAAGAGACAAACTTTATTTGGTGAGATTCAAATAGCGTTCATGAAAACGGTATCTTTTAATAAAGTGAGGTTAAAAAAATGGGAACCACCTAAGATCTTAGAGTGAGAGGAGTAGAGATTATGAAAGCAGTTTTACTTTTTGATTTTAGGGTCTTTCTATATAATTTCAGCCTGTATCAGATAATTCCGTTTAGGACACAGCTGGTACATTTAATGATCACAAACTCTGAAGGTAGTAACTGGATGCAATAATCACACAACAAAGTCATTGAGTAGGTTTGTTGACTTATGTCAGATTACTCTAAATCTTGATGATATTGCCTGGAGCACAAAAAAGGAATATTGTCACAGCAAGCAATGGAGGTTTTGATACTCGATCACTGGAGTATTCTTTTCCCCTAAATTTTGCGCTCGTTGTATCATAACTGCTGGTTTCTTAGCCTACTCTGATGTTGTGCAGAAAATTGTACAATACTTAAAAACGTGATATCTAGGAAAGAAAATTAGTAGAAAAAAGCCATTAGAACTGATATATATTAGCATTGGTTTGGTGGTTACTTATTAAAGATAAAAATGGAGAATATTTCATATTTCTTGATAGAAAAAAAGTAAGTTGCCATTCATGCAAGTAAATCATATTAATTTAGGTTTTTGGCATTTTTTTTGTTTTCTGAGAGAAACATGAAGAGTTCTGCTTATTTATTTTTTATCTTGAGAATGGGAACACATTAACAAGTACAAGCGACAATAAAACTTACTCCATAACTACATTATGAACTATATTAACTTACTCTACAACTCGATAACCAACATTATGGTTGGTTAAATAAAGAGAGTGAAAAAGACAGAGAGGGAACGTGAGAAAGAAACAATCTTTTTGTTTCCCAAAGCTGTAAGAAGCAATGATAAGACATTGAGTGTGTACGTGTGTGCATGTTGGGGTATTTTAGTATTGTGTTTATTTTTGTTGGGAGTGAGCAGAAAATGAAGCCTTCAGTAAAGAAATTAATAAATCTTATTAGAACTTGTTGTAAATATTTTTTAAATTCCTAAAGTTGGAACACTAAGGCATTATTTAAACTTTATCTCTGTTTTTTAAAATCTGAGAAACCCATTAACTTTTACCCTAGAAAATGGAAAGTGTCATATCTCATTTTACAGAGGAAGTTAACAGGTTTATTGTCTTGTTGTAACATCCTAATCCTGTGACATTTTGAAATAGTGCTTTTGGTAGTGCCTTGTTTTTGAAACTATAGACCTCTGGGGCACTATGGACATTTTGTACTAGATAATTCCTTGTCACTGGGGGCTGTTCTGTACATTGTAGGATATTTAGCAGCATCTCTGACTTCTACCCACTAGATGCCAGTAGCAGCACTCCCTTGGGGGACAAAATTGTCCCCAGTTCAGAACAACTGCTGTGGACATACATGGTGGTCCTACACAACTGGAGTTTAAATATGGATCCTGAACAGCTTTCATCAGTCTGATGCACTTCCCCAATATTTGTAATCATGAGGAGCAGAGCAAAACAAAGGCATAAATGTTGGGGTAATATTTTGTTTTCCAAAGACCACTGCTCAATTTGGGGGAAATTTTTGAAGAAACAGCAAAGGTAACCCTTGGAGTCTGGATTGGTTGGTTGGTTGATTGATTCATTCATTCAACAAAAATATATTGAACCCCTGCTATATATATGCCTGCCTCAATACTGATGACTTGTACGCTGCTGTGTGTGTCTTATGGCAGTATGTTAAAAAAAATCCGTGGATAATAAGTCTGATGGTAGACCAGTTAAGAAGCTGCTAGCTATAACATTGGTGAGAAATGATGGTTGCCTGGGTTTTGGTAGTGACAGTGGAATTATAAGAAATTTTATACAGAGATATTTAGAAGGTAAAACATTAGGATTTGGTGATTAACTGGAGAAAGGAAGGCGTCAAGAATAATTTCCAGGCTTTCATTAAGATGAGGACTAGAGTAGGAAAAACTGTCCTTTCTTTTGGAATAGGAGCAGATAATTGACTTCAGCTTTTGACATTTCCAATTGGAGCTGCCTTTGAGACATCCACAAGGAAGAGTTAGACAGTGAACTTGGGAAATAAATGGATTGTGTCTGTTTTGTTCCTTATTGTACCTCCTGTTCTTTAGACAGTGTCTGCATTTCTAGAGACACAGAGAGATTTAGGCTGGATGTATAGATTGGGTGTTCTTCAGGGTATATAGCTAGTTTAATTGAAATCAAGGAAGTAGATAACATTATCCAAGGAGAATGCATAGAGAAGAGGGCCTAGTATAGCAACCTTATGAGCAGCTTTTTCAAGGGACTGAAGAGAGGAGGGACTGGAGAAGTATGAGGAAAATCAGGAGTGTATAGTTAAGGAAGCCAAAGGAAGAGAGAGTTTGAAAAAGAAGGGAGTGTTTTATGGTTCTGAATTCAGCTAAGAGTTCAAGTAAAATACAAAAAGATTGTTTAAATTAAAAAAGCCATTGGATTTTGTAACTAAAAAGCATCAGTGGCCTTTTAGAAGCCTTTTTGGTAGTCTGGTAGTTTCAGGAGTTCAGTAAATTTGGTTAAAGAGTTAAGTGGGAGGTGATTGGATAGGATCATGGGAGGTGGGAGGTCATACTTTCATGCATTCTGGCTACAAAGAAGAGACTGAAGATGGTATGTGAAGGTGGTATTGAAATGGGAAAAGTTCCCTTGTCCCCCTTGCAGGGCGTGCCACAGTGGGGAGTGGCTCGCTTCTTCAGTGTCCTGCTGCTCAAACCTCTAGGGGAGGCTAGATGGGCAGGCTGTAGGGCTCTGACCCCATGGCAGCGTCTAGGGGTGAATGTTTACAGCTGAAGCCCCAGTGGGCGTGTGTCACAGAGTGCTCTTTTAGTTTTGCCGTCTGTAGGCGGCTTCTGTTAGCTCAGTTAGACTCCCTTCCTTATCTCAAGGACAGAGGGCTTTCTGTATCCTGGAGTTCTTGCCTTGGTGTAATGGAATAATTGAATCACTCGTGGGCTTGGAGAATGAGCGCAAGGTTTTGAGTGGAGGTAGCTCTCAGCAGATGGGGGAAGCCAGAAGGGGAATGGAGTGGGAAGTTTTTCCCCTGGAGTTGGGCCGCCCAGAGGCCGGGGCTCTCCAACGACTGCCCCAGCCAAACTCCGCGTTGTTGGCTTGCCGGTGTGCTGGTGCCTATTAGTGCGTTCCTCTCGCTGTCCAGCTGCCCGTGTGTTCCTCGGCTCGTGTGCTCCTCTCAACGTCCAGCCACCATGTGTCCGCCTGCTAGGGTCTCGGGGTTTTTATAGGCACAGGATGGGGGGCGTGATGGGCCAGGGCTGTATTGGGAAATACAACATTTGGGCACCAAGGCAGAAGTGCCTATACTCACCTAGGCCTGTGGGCCCAGGTCTGGGGGTAGAGCCCTCGCCAGGGACCACGCGCTCCCCTTCCCATCACTTCCCTGCCCCCTTTCTGTATGGGATGCAGGGAGGGCATGTGGGCTTGAGTATATTTAAATGCTGATAAGGAGTCAAGGATAGAGGTTGATACGAGAGTGGAGAAAATGGGGCAACTTGAGATGGGATGAATCCAAAGCACAGGGAGAATTAATCTTAGGATGGATACCCTCCAAAGTCAAGGGATGTTATTGGTGATGAGAAAGGCATATTCTGTTAGGATTAATTTCTAATATTGGGGGCTTCTTGAGGGAATAATACTTCTGGGGTTTCCTGAAAGTTCAGAATGGCAGGCATTAAAAGATGCCTGGGGCCAGGCGCGGTGGCTCATGACTGTCATCCCAGCACTTTGGGAGGCCAAGGTGGGTGGATCACCTGAGGTCAGGAGTTCGAGACCAGCCTGACCAACATGATGAAACCTCATCTCTACTAAAAATACAAAATTAGCTGGGTGTGGTGGTGCATGCCTGTAATCTCAGCTACTCGGGAGGCTGAGGCAGGAGAACCACTGGAACCCAGGTGGTGGAGGTTGCAGTGAGCCAAGATTGCACCATTGCACTCCAACCTGGGCAACAAGAGTGAAACGCCATCTCAAAAAAAAAAAAAAGAGAGAGAGAGATGCCTGTGACAGCCCATACTATTTCTGATTCCCTAGGGTCCACTGATCCCCAGAGATTCCATTAATTTGATAATGCTCTTTATTTTGGGTAGCTGGCATATACCAGAATTGGACCCTGAACCTATGGATTAAGTTTGGGTTTGGGGCCTAATTCTAGTCTAATAATCAGAGTAGCAGGGTGTTCTGAGACCCTCTGGAGACTTTTCCCATTGTCAAAGTACCTCTAGCCAGTCTACCTTAATTAGCAAAGATATCATTCCCATTATGATTCATCATGATTGACTGGTCTATATGATGGATTACTGATTGTAGAAAACTCTGGATTATTATAGTATTATGCTTAGAAAACCATTCTGTTCAAATGTTAAAGGGTTGACAACAGCTCACTTTCTTCTGTGGTTTAACGGAAAGAAAGTTCGCTGTGGAACCAGAAAAAAAATCTGGCTCCATCGGTGATTGAGCTATGGGGCCTTGAACATCCTGTGAGGATGTTACAGAGTCATTTACTCTCTGTAACATTACCTGGTAATGCCTAATGTGCATCATGGTTAGAATTGAAGGTCATGTATATGTACCATTACATTGTTGATATTAAATAAATAAGAACTGATAGTATTTTTATTGACTTAAAATAATTATTTTATTGACTTAAAAATAATATTTTTAAATATTTAATTATATAATTATTATATATATAATTATATAATATATTATTTATATAATTATATAATATATTATTTATATAATTATATAATATATTATATATAATTATATAATTTATTATTATATATAATTATATAATTTATTATTATATATAATTATATAATATATTATTATATATAATTATATAATATATTATTATATATAATTATATAATTATTTAAATAAAAATAATAACTATTATTTACTACTCTAGGGCCCTAAGTGAGCACTTATTGTTAGAATTTATTGTTAGAATTCCAGATCAAAATCAAGGATCTCATTTCTCCATGAATCTAAGAGCTATTATTGGTGATGTCTTTGGTATAAGTTTTTGTAAGGACAAAGGTTTTGTTACAGTCCTGGCCCTACTAAAACGTCTTTTATTGACCTGCATGCTATCATAGTAAATAGAGAGAAAAGAGATAAAATTCTAGACTTTTTAAGGTATATGGAAATAAATCAAATTTACTTACTTACTTTTTTACCGTGACCAATTTGGATCGCTGTCATTTTCCATGAATGTGTCTCAGGTTTTTGTTTTTTTAATAGAGAGAGTTAGCTGTTTCAACCTCTCTTTCTTTCGTCTAATAACTCCTCATTTTTTTCTCCCTCTTTTTTCATCTTCTTCCTTTCTTTCAGATTATTGGAAACTTTCTCATGTTGCAGCATTTGCTGCTATCAATTATGCCAGAAAAGCTTTCTGTGTACTAGCAGTGTTATGGGATCGTGTGTGTGTGTGTGTGTGCGCGTGTGTGTGAGACAGAGAGAGAGAGAGAGACAGAGAGAGAGAGGTGGGGGGGAGATTGAGATGGAAAGAGTGGCGGGGGATGAAGGAAGTGGGGGAGAGAAATAAATGGTGTCTGGGGTAATTGTGCTGGTGTTTTTTCCTGCATGAGAGAAGCTTCAGATGTCTGTCTGGCTTTGGCTCAGTTGCTGTATGGGCGTAACTGAAGAAGGAGGTTGGGGTAGAGGAGAAGGCAATTAAAACTTTGAACACCTTAAATGCCCTTCCTAATTAAGTGGTGAGGATGGAAAATGAAATACCTTCTTATGCTTCATTTCTGTTCTCCGTTTAAAAGTCTGTGGAGGGATCAGAGCTCATGTCCTTAGAAAGGACAGAACTTTCAAAATAACAACTCTGAAAAACAAGTTTAAAAAAAATTTCTCATCATTTTCTGCTTTTCATGAACTTTTAATATAAAGCCATCATTATTTTTTTTTCCTGGGCCCCCTTACCTATATCCTCTCCCCACTCTCATTAGTCACTCCAACTTTGAAGCACCCAATTCTCTGGAGTATTAATGGAGACAGTTCAAGTATCTAACTGCTGTTTCCTTTGTTCAAGTTGCTTTTGGTCCTTGCTGGGAAATGCTCTGAAAACTGAACCAGCTACTGAACACAAAGGCTGACGGTGTTGTCCCTCCTGGTAATGTACTGTGTGATTTGTTCCCCTCTCCTGTTCATGACTCATTAGTCTCTAAGTACAGAAAAGGTTGCTCCTCTGGAATAAAAGGAACGGACCCAGCTCGGAGTCCTTTTTCGCCTTTTCCTGTGTTTTATATGGGTGCACTCACAGTTCTCCATCTTCATTAGTGACCCAGCAGGGGGCTGGCACAGGGTTGAGACTAGCTTTTGCTGGTTCCCTGGGGTGTATCAGAGACCTCAGAACTCAATACCCTACTATAAAAATAAAATACTGTGCTTCAAACGACCTTTTGATGGAACAAAGCCATACATCCCAATCTGCCTGGGCCTCTCAAATTGAGACCATGCCAAGTGCCAGATTTGCATTTTGCACATGCCCTCCCACCATCCCCTTTCCCCCTTCCTCTAAATGTGGTTCTTTTGGTAGCCTCAGTGTCAGGTAAATGTTTATGTGTGTGTGAAAACGCAGACTTTGGCAAAAGACCTTTTGTATTTAAATTACACTTCAAGATAGTAGTTTCTTGTAAGAGATGTAGGCAGCAGATATTTGTGGGCTTTTATGCCCTAAATGATATCATTTTAGATTTATATATGTGGGCTTTTATGCCCTAAATTATATTATTTTAGATTTATATATGTGAGCTTTTATGCCCTAAATTATATTATTTTAGATTTATATATAAAGTTTAGGAAAGTAAGCGGAAACTAGAAGTGCTATAAAAAACTGAGTTACATATTAAAAATTCAAGTTATTTTTTCTGGTTTTCCAGAGTGGCCAAATTATTTTCTTATTTAAAACCTAGGCACCCTAGAGCCATGTGTGTGCATGTGAACTCTACTAAAGTGAGACACTGACATGAACATAGAGTCCATCAGACCTTTATATCAAGAGCTTGGAGTACTCAGAGCATCGTATCTCGTTAATCTTCCAGCATTGATGTGCTTTAGCTCTTGGGAACAGATTACTATACTTATTTTAAAGCAACAGGGCAAATAAAAATAGGGATCTTTTGGTATTGAATGACCAGCATAACTTTAGAAAATCCAACTCTCTTATCCTTCATTTTTACATCATAGTTACAGTAACAGGTTAAGATTAGCTTTTAACAGATTGTTCTAAATTTCTTTAGGTTTCAAAACATATTGCTATGACATTTAAGTAATACTTTTAAGACTGTATGAGACTTAGGGCCTTGGTTTGTAGAGAATATTCAGTTATTTAAGAAAAGTTCACTTTGATTCTATAGTAAAATAATGTACAGGTGCAAATGTGTGATGTTATTTTTGGTTTGTACTTCAGGTTTGCAAACATACCCTAATTTTTTACAGAAAGTATATGGTAGACTCTTTATTTTAAAAAATGTTCATAGTCTGGGTCTGTATGATTTTATTTATTTTATTTATTTATTTATTATTATTATTATTATTATACTTTAAGTTTTAGGGTACATGTGCACAACGTGCAGGTTTGTTACATATGTATACATGTGCCATGTTGGTGTGCTGCAACCATTAACTTGTCATTTAGCATTAGGTATATCTCCCAATGCTATCCCTCCCCCCTCCCCCCACCCCACAACAGTCCCCAGAGTGTGATGTTCCCCTTCCTGTGTCCATGTGTTCTCATTGTTCAATTCCCACCTATGAGTGAGAACATGCGGTGTTTGGTTTTTTGTCCTTGTGATAGTTTGCTGAGAATGATGGTTTCCAGCTTCATCCATGTCCCTACAAAGGACATGAACTCATCATTTTTTATGGCTGCATAGTATTCCATGGCGTATATGTGCCACATTTTCTTAATCCAGTCTATCATTGTTGGACATTTGGGTTGGTCCCAAGTCTTTGCTATTGTGAATAGTGCCGCAATAAACATACGTTTGCATGTGTCTTTATAGCAGCATGTTTTATAATCCTTTGGGTATATACCCAGTAATGGGATGGCTGGGTCAAATGGTATTTCTAGTTCTAGATCCCTGAGGAACCACCACACTGACTTCCACAATGGTTGAACTAGTTTACAGTCCCACCAACAGTGTAAAAGTGTTCCTTTTTCTCCATATCCTCTCCAGCACCTGTTGTTTCCTGACTTTTTAATGATCGCCATACTAACTGGTGTGAGATGGTATCTCATTGTGGTTTTGATTTGTATTTCTCTGATGGCCAATGATGATGAGCATTTTTTCATGTGTTTTTTGGCTCCATAAATGTCTTCTTTTGAGAAGTGTCTGTTCATATCCTTCACCCACTTTTTGATGGGGTTATTTTTTTCTTGTAAATTTGTTTGAGTTCATTGTAGATTGTGGATATTAGCCCTTTGTCAGATGAGTAGATTGCAAAAATTGTCTCCCATTCTGTGGGTTGCCTGTTCACTCTGATGGTAGTTTCTTTTGCTGTGCAGAAGCTCTTTAGTTTAATTAGATCCCATTTGTCAATTTTGGCTTTTGTGGCCATTGCTTTTGGTGTGTTAGACATGAAGTCCTTGCCCATGTCTGTGTCCTGAATGGTATTGCCTAGGTTTTCTTCTAGGGTTTTTATGGTTTTAGGTCTAACATGTAAGTCTTTAATCCATCTTGAATTAATTTTTGTATAAGGTGTAAGGAAGGGATCCAGTTTCAGCTTTCTACATATAGCTAGCCAGTTTTCCCAGCACCATTTATTAAATAGGGAATCCTTTCCCCATTGCTTGTTTTTGTCAGGTTTGTCAAAGATCAGATAGTTGTAGATATGTGGCATTATTTCTCAGGGCTCTGTTCTGTTCCATCGGTCTATATCTCTGTTATGGCACCAGTACCATGCTGTTTTGGTTACTGTAGCTTTGTAGTATAGTTTGAAGTCAGGTAGCATGATGCCTCCAGCTTTGTTCTTTTGGCTTAGGATTGACTTGGCAATGCAGGCTCTTTTTTGGTTCCACATGAACTGTAAAGTAGTTTTTTCCAATTCTGTGAAGAAAGTCATTGGTAGCTTGATGGGGATGGCATTGAACGTATAAATTACCTTGGGCAGTATGGCCATTTTCACAATATTGAGTCTTCCTATCCATCAGCATGGAATGTTCTTCCATTTGTTTGTATCCTCTTTTATTTCATTGAGCAGTGGTTTGTAGTTCTCCTTGAAGAGGTCCTTCACATGCCTTGTAAGTTCGATTCCTAGGTATTTTATTCTCTTTGAAGCAATTGTGAATGGGAGTTCACTCATGATTTGGCTCTCTGTTTGTCCGTTATTGGTGTATAAGAATGCTTGTGATTTTTGCACATTGATTTTGTATCCTGAGACTTTGCTGAAGTTGCTTATCAGCTTAAGGAGATTTTGGGTTGCGACGATGGGGTTTTCTAGATATACAATCATGTCATCTGCAAACAGGGACAATTTGACTTCCCCTTTTCCTAATTGAATACCCTTTATTTCCTTTTCCTGCCTGATTGCCCTGACCAGAACTTCCAACACTATGTTGAATAGGAGTGGTGAGAGAGGGCATCCCTGTCTTGTGCCAGTTTTCAAAGGGAATGCTTCCAGTTTTTGTCCGTTCAGTATGATATTGGCTGTGGGTTTGTCATAGATAGCTCTTATTATTTTGAGATACGTCCCATCAATACCTAATTTCTTGAGAATTTTTAGCATGAAGGGTCGTTGAATTTTGTCAAAGGCTTTTTCTGCATCTATTGAGATAATCATGTGGTTTTTGTCTTTGGTTCTGTTTATATGCTGGATTACGTTTATTGATTTTCGTATGTTGAACCAGCCTTGCATCCCAGGGATGAAGCCCACTTGATCATGGTGGATAAGCTTTTTGATGTGTTGCTGGATTCGGTTTGCCAGTATTTTATTGAGGATTTTTGCATCAATGTTCATCAAGGATATTGGTCTAAAATTCTCTTTTTTTGTTGTGTCTCTGCTAGGCTTTGGTATCAGGATGATGCTGGCCTCATAAAATGAGTTAGGGAGGATTCCCTCTTTTTCTATTGATAGGAATAGTTTCAGAAGGAATGGTACCAGTTCCTCCTTGTACCTCTGGTAGAATTCGGCTGTGAATCCATCTGGTCCTGGACTCTTTTTGGTTGGTAAGCTATTAATTATTGCCTCAATTTCAGAGCCTGTTATTGGACTATTCAGAGATTCAACTTCTTCCTGGTTTAGTTTTGGGAGGGTGTATGTGTCCAGGAATTTATCCATTTCTTCTAGATTTTCTAGTTTATTTGCATAGAGGTGTTTATAGTATTCTCTGATGTTAGTTTGTATTTCTATGGGATCGGTGGTGATATCCCCTTTATCATTTTTTATTGTGTCTATTTGATTCATCTCTTTTTTCTTCTTTATTAGTCTTGCTAGCGGTCTATCAATTTTGTTGATCTTTTCAAAAAACCAGCTCCTGGATTCATTGATTTTTTGAAGGGTGTTTTGTGTCTCTATTTCCTTCAGTTCTGCTCCGATCTTAGTTATTTCTTGCCTTCTGCTAGCTTTTGAATGTGTTTGCTCTTGCCTCTATATTGCATTTACAAAAAAGTAGATTGTCTCTTCCTCCTTGCTACTGCAAACAATGATGTGAGGAACATCCTGGTACTCTCCAGGGTATGTACTGAGGGGTAGGATTGTAGGGTCATCAAGCATACACACCCTGATGGTCACTAAATCCTGCCAGATTTCTTCCTGGAATGGCTGCACCAGTCTGCAGCCCACCAGTTGTGTAAGAACACTCCTGCTGCCCTACTTCTTTGCCAACATTTTATATGTTTAGACTTTCTCTTTTTTCCAAACTAATGGGTGTAAAGTGGTATTTAATTTTAAGTTGCATTTCTCTGATTACTAATGAAATTGAGTACCTCTTTATATTACTAGTTAGTTATTTGGCTTTTTATTGTTGTGACGATTTAAGATTTCATGTTGATGTAGATCTTAATTTTGAGTTGGTCAAACATATCACTTTTTAAAATCTTATACTTTATAATTTTAGGGCCCAGGGCCACAGAGTTATTTTCTGACGTTTTGTTTTCTGTTAGTCACATTTACATTCAGGCCTTGATTCATCTTGTGGTCACCTTTGGTTATATCAGCATCGTTTGAGGTAGCACATTCACACTCTCAAATACAGTGTGATAGTTTGGTATGCACTAGAGGGCCATGCTGTATCATGGATTCATTTTGAAAGAGTATTTAATGAAAAATATAAAAGAAGGCTATTCATAGCATATTGCCATTTATGAAAATTTAAAACACACACACATATATGTAAAACAACACTTAATATTTTTCAAAGAAACACTCCATATCCAAAGACAGATGCCAGACAATTAAGTTTTTGCTTATGAAGGTTTAGGAGGAAATGGGGGAGTAGTGATAAAGGGGGTAAAAAAATAAAATAAGCCAACAGAGGCCTTGGACAGACTGATAATAATAGTATACCCTGAATTGAGGAGTATGATTATCCCCACAGTCAGGGTGAATATAATTTAGGAGAGATGACCTCCTAATAGGTTAGTGATGAGCAAAGCTGGAAAAAGTTAATTGAAGAAAAGTAGAAATCAAATATTTCAGTTGTTCTGAATCATGAGTAAGATGCCTATAAGGAAGAAAAATTCTCCTAAATGACTACATCTGGTCATGCCTTCTTAGCTTTTAAAGTATTTTGTGATACACAGGAATTTATGTTTTTTTCCTGAGGTGAAGCTCTCTGTAAGAAGGAAAGCAGATGTTTCTTTTTAAGTGCTTGTATACACCTGCCACAAGGCAGACTGAGTAGTTCATATGGAGAGCAGGCTCGGGTTATTTTTTATGTTGCTTGTGAAATTAAAATTCTTTTCCTGGCAAGCATAGGTTTATAATTAAGTAATTTATCATAAGAGTTCTTTTAGCTATATCAAAAATTTGATGATATACAGAAGCAATATGTGAGTGGTTACTTAGAAATTAGATGAATGAGTTATTTCATTGGCATTTATCATTTGATGTGTAGGTTTTTCCTATTTATAACAAACATTGAACACTGACTAATTACCTGCAACTGAAAGAGGGTTAAAAAAAAAAAGTCTTAGTTGAGAACTGTATTCTCAACTTATTTTCAACCCACCAGTGCTCTTGAAGAGTATGATGCACTCCGATTAATAGAAGTTGTGCTCTCTTGGGATCATGCTTAATTGTGTTACAATATAAAGAAGTCTTCCTCCATGGTATTTATGGGTATGAAAAAAAAAGAAGTCTTTCTTTGCCAGATATGGATTTTGTACTTCCCTCCCTTCAATTTCATGTATACTGTTTTTTGTTTTTATTTTTCTGATTAGTTCCCTTGGTATCTGCCCTGCCCCATCCCCATTCATTTTGGTATTCACATACCCAATACCATAGTAGCACTTTATATTTACTTTGTTTACGCCTAATTACAGCCTGCATATTCTAGATAAAACAAACAGACTCAGCCAGGCACGGTGGCTCATGCCTGTAATCCCAGCACTTTGGGAGCCCGAGGTGGGCGGATCACGAGGTCAGGAGATGGAGACCATCCTGGCTAACAAGGTGAAACACCATCTCTACTAAAAATACAAAAAAATTAGCCAGGCGTGGTGGCGGGCGCCTGGAGTCCCAGCTACTCGGGAGGCTGAGGCAGGAGAATGGCGTGAACCAGGGAGGCAGAGCTTGCATGAGCCAAGATCGTGCCTCTCTCCAGCCTGGGTGACAGAGTGAGACTCCGTCTCAAAAAAAAAAAAAAAAAAAAAAAAAGAAACAGACTCAGAAAGGTTAAGTGATTTTTCGAGGGCCATAGAGTAATAAGTAGCAGAACCAGAATGTGAAGCCAAGTCTAACTCTAAAGCCCATCTTTTTCATACTTGACTATCCTATATTTTTCATGGATATTCTACAAAATCCATATTTTTATAGAGTATGATGTCTTCATTACGCTCCTCAATCTTTGAAGAGGATTTTAACCCTGCTCTTTGGTTCAGCTATTGCTGAATATTGACACCTTTAAGCTGCACCATAGAAAATTTGTATTCAGGCTCCTTTTAGAGATGAGTACTTCGAACTCTCTGCTATCCAGTTGCTCAAAAGTCTGTTTCCAAATGTATTTATAGAATATTGTGTGAATGACTTATTCTCCATCCATTTTTCTGGATTGTCTGCATTTTAGTTTCAGGCCAAGTCGTACCGTCCAAGAGCTATGTGCTTAACTCAGCTGCTTTTACCTCTTGCAGAGGTACTTTCTTCCTTCCTCCTACTCCTTTTCGATATTAAATCACTGGCCTTCAATGATGGATGTTATAGCAAACAGCTGAATAAAATTCAG